>NC_000023.11:150839242-151142272 GCF_000001405.40 Homo sapiens
ATGAGAATAACTGGGATCAGACCCGCCTTTCCACTGTAAATCATAAAATGAACAAAACCCATGAGGCAAAATCAGCACTGAACAAGAAAGTAGTGAGAGCCTGCAATCCTTGAGATTAGGGAAATTGTAACAGCTAAATCCAACAGGTGATCTAGGATTGGATCCTGAACCTATAAAGGCCATTACTGGGACAATCAGCAAAGTTAAATTAGGTCTGTAGACCAGCTAGATGATAATACTGATCACTGTCAATTTCTGGTCTTGATGGAAATACTGTAGTCAGGAAGAGAGTATCCTTGTTTTTAGAAACTGCATACTGAAGTATCAAGAGGTAATAGGTATAGGCTTGGTACAGTAGCTCATGCCTGTAATCCCAGCACTTTGGAAGGCTGAAGCGGGAGAATTGCTTGAGCCCAGGAGTTCAAGACCAGCCTGGGTAACATAGGGAGACTCCATCTCAACAACCACAACAACAACAACAAAAATTTAAAAATTAGCCTGGGGTTGGGGGACCAGGTATGGTATCTCATGCCTATAACCCCAGCACTTTGAGAGGCTGAGGTGGGAGGACTCCTTGAGCCCAGGAGTTCAAGACCAGCCAAGGCCACATAGTGAGACCTCATCTCTACTAAGAATAAAAAAAAAACTAGCTGGGTGTGGTGGTGCATGCCTGTAGTCCCAGCTACTTGGGAGGCTAAGGTGGGAGGATCACTTGAGCCCAGGAGGTTGAAGCTTCAGTGAGCTATGATCATACTACTGCACTCAAGCCTGGGCAACAGAGTAAGACTCCGTCTCAAAGAAAAAAAAAATTAGCTGGGCATGGAGGCACATGCTTGTACGCCCAGCTACTCTGGAGGCTGAGGCTGGGGGGATCACTTGAGTCTGAGAGGTTGAGGCTGCACTGAGCCTTGACAATGCCATTGCACTCCATCCTGGGTGCCAGAGGGAGACCCTACCTCAAAAAGAAAAAAGAAAAAAGAAAGAAAGAAAGAAAAAGAAAGAAAAAAAAGAAAAAAGAAAGAAAAAAAGGTAATGGATCTAATGTTTGCAACTAATTCTGAAATGGTTCAGGAAATTCATACACACACACATGCACGTGGGGTGGGGAGAACACATACATATACAGAAAATGTGATAAATCTGGAAAATTTAGGTGAACAACATATATAAACTTTTTTTTTTTTTTGAGACAGGGTCTGGCTCTGTCACCCAGGTTGGATTGCAGTGGTGCAATCATGGCTCCTGCAGCCTCAACCTCCTGGGTTCAAGTGATCTTCCCACCTCAGCCTCCCAAGTAGCTAGGAACACAGGCACATGCCACCATGCCTAACTTTTTTGTATTTTTTGTAGAGATGGGGTCTCACTATGTTGCCCAAGCTGGTCTCAAACTTCTGAGCTCAAGCAATCTGCCTGCCTCAGCCTCCCAAAGTGCTGGGATTACAGGCATGAGCCACTGCACCCAGTCAAGAACTCTTTGTATTAATAATAGACATTATTGGGACAATTGTTAAAACTTGGATGGGGTCTGAGGATTTAGTGGTAATAAGGTATCAGTGTTAGTGTCCTGATTCTGATGGTTGCATTGTAGATATGTAAGAAGATGTCCTTATTTGTAGGAAATGCACTCTAATATATTGGGGGTGGGGGTGATAAGGCATTAGGTAACCAATTTACTCTCAAGTGGCTTGGTGGGGGAAAAAAAAGTTCCTTGCACTGTACTTGCCAATTTTCTGAAAGTTTATAATTATTTCAACATTAAAAAATTAAAATATGCAAATACTTCAACCCAGCAATTCAATTTCTAGGTACCTGTTACAGACAAATACTAGAAACACGTACCCAAAGAAGTATGGACAAGGATGCTTACAACAGGAAAAAGAAATGGAAACAGTCCAAGTGTTCAGCAAAGATGACTGGTGAAATGAAATATGGCTCTTCCATACAATTAATGATTGTGTAGCTGTTAAAAAGAATGGGATAAGCCTATAATAGTGGCATGCAAGAGATCTCCACAATACACTAATAAATAAAGCAAAGTGCAGAGAAGTATTTTTCCATTTGCGTGTCTGTATCCATATCTATATCCATAAACATCTTCTGGAAGTTTACACAGGGAAACTGGTAACAGTAGTTATGTTTAGGGAATGAGAGTAACGGTCAGGGGAAGGGAGAGGGAGCATTTTACATTAATTTAAACTCTTTTCTGCCTTTTTGTTTTCAATCCATGTACGTGTATTTCTCCTAAAAGTTCTACATCAATCCCTCCAAAGCCATAAGCCTACCATCTCAATGGGTCTTCCTTCAAATCTCTATCTCTGCTTCCTCACCCAAGAATTGCAAAAGTAGGTTCTCTGAAATGACATCTTACACAATAAGACGTTTTTAGCCTCAGCCATTCCCCCTACTGCTTGCTCATATATCCTGCTACATGTCATCGGGTAAATATGTTAAGAGGAACATAACACAATGTTGTGCTATGTACCCATCCCTTGTTGACCTTGGATTCAACAGACTCAAACTATCTGTGGATAAAACCATTCAGTTTCAATCTAGATCCTGAGCTATTAAGATGTCTTCAAAGCCCACAAGCAAGCACAGTTGCTAAAATCAAGTTCAGAAGAAATATTCTCAGGAGATACAATGCACCTCAAAAGGTGCAAAATAGGGTCATGTTCTATACCCCTTCTATGCAAGCTATTAACTAAACTCAGTTTTGGATGCAGGCAGACCACAGTCCTCTGTGTTAGTGACACAGACTAACCCTCTGGCACCAACACGCATTAGAAAACAGCTGATTCACCATAGGCTCAATTCACAACCCGCAGTCCCTGTATCTGGGCAGCCAGTATTCAAGTATTCAGCAGAAAATTACTTCCACCGCAGAGGGCCACCAAGAATTCCTTTTAATGTAAAAAGCACCTAATGAGCTGATAATACTTCTCTGAAAATGTCCTTTGGCAATGTTGCCCATGGACTTGTGCATGTCCTTGAGAAGATTAATTTCATAAGAAAAGTGCTGTTTCCACCCACAGACACTCCAACAGCCAGTGTCTGTCCTGGAGTAGATTTTGTCCCTTTGGGAAGGAACACAAGCTTGACCTCATGTTGCAATTTGACCCAACAGGACTGGCATCTAAAGCTAAGGCTAAGGGTGCACTTCAATAAAGGCTGTAAAACAAGGCACAGCTGCCCTTGTTAGAGAATTCCACCCTGAACTGGCTGTGATCCAGCACCTGCCAATGCCTGATTGAAACGTCTGATCCTTGAGAGAGATCATTTGATGGGCCCCTTAAGTAGCCTTTCATTTGGATTTCATTAATTATTCATTCCCTCCTCTGTTGTTGCTATCCACTCCACTCAGTTCATCCTGAAAGTACAGCCATTCCAGTTAAGTGTTTTTGTGTGTCCTCTCTCTAGACTCGCCCCACTTAACATGGTAGCCACTAGCCACATGTGGCCGTTTAAATTAAAATTAGCATTCGATAATTTTTTTAAATTCTGCTTCTTTATTGCACTAACCATATTTCAATGCTTGATAGCCACATGCAGCAGGTAACTACTGTGTTTGACAGCACAGACAGAGAACATTTCCATCATCACAGAAAGTTCCATAGGACAGTGCTGCTCTAGACAGTGAGCTGCCTTAAGCAGGGACTGGCGCTTGGTAATCTCCATGCCAACACCACACACAGACCTGGCAGCAAGAAAGCATTTCCTAAAGGTGTGTTCATTTTGATTACCAAAACTCTGTCACCAGTAGATAGTACCTGATATTACTTTGTGACAAAATCCATTTGGATTTCATGCCAAGAGCAAGCATCTCTGCAGAGGAACGTGTCTGCTGCCTGCTGCTGGATTAATAACTGCAGAGGCAGCTGGGACCCCTGGCTGCCAAAGATTTCAGACGCAAAGTAGGGATTCTAGCAGGGAGATTGGCACCTCTCAAGTGGCCAGTTACATTTATTTCCCCTGCTCTCTAAGGATGGTTTCTATTCTACCTTCTTCCTTTGTACATGTAAGCAGTTTACAATTTGGGGGGAAGATGGGCCAGTATAAATCCTAAGTGAGTGAATACTCACCTAAACTGCATCGGTTTTTAAATTTTAAAATCCTGACCCTTTTCTGGGCTGGGCACAGTGGCTCACGCCTGTAATCCCAGCACTTTGGGAGGCCGAGGCGGGCAGATCATGAGGTCAGGAGTTATAAGACCAGCCTGGCCAACATAGTGAAACCCCGTCTCTACTAAAAATACAAAAAAATTAGCTAGGCATGGTGGCGGGCGCCTGTAGTCCCAGCTACTTGGGAGGCTGAGGCAGGAGAATCGCTTGAACCCAGGAGGCAGAGGTTGCAGTGAGCCAAGATCATGCCACTGCACTCCAGCCTGGGCAATGCAGTGAGACTCTGTCTCAAAATAATAATAATAATAATAAAATAAATAATAAAATCCTGACCCTTTTCTGTAGATGAATAAGAAAGCATACCAGGGACATCTTAGTCTGGTAAATCATAGATGCATCATCTCAGGATTTTCCATTTCTCTGCCTTAATGGAGGCTAAGTACTCACACTATCCCTACGTTTGTCCAGGAAAGCCAGGACGCCACTCACCTGCCTGTCATCTGGGCTTACTGCCTGCACCTACACCACAAATTCAAGGGAATAGAGCTATTTATCAAAAAGGAAACCAACTTGGTCAATGGTGAGACCATTAACAAAAGCAAACAAGGCCCACTATAACATGGACCAGAATCAAAGTTGGACCTGAGGGATTGAATCGTGACCCAGCAAATGTGACAGTGGCACAAGCCTCTAGATCACTTGGGTTCAAGGAATAACACTCAAATCAGTCCCAGTAGATTGAGTCTGCTAATGGACGGGTGGGGAGCATAGCTTGATTCAACTTGAAATGAGCCATTTAATAAGAATGTTTCACCATCATATGATAAAGACCTCACCTGATGCAGCTGCTTGCAAAGACTTGCCTTTCCCCTGCCCTCTGGCAAGGGGGTGATTAATCAAAGGAAAGCCTGCAGGTCAGAAAAACAGCTTCACACCTCCCTGTCTACCATGGAAACATTCCTGGACACTGCTTGTGGGAAATCTATGCGACAAACTCACTGGTATGTATGGCCAATTCTACAAATGTCTCTTTGGTGAAAACAACTTCTCTCCCTTAACACAAACAAGTAGGTATCCCTCTCCCACCTTGTGCTAGAGAGGGTGGGGGCAAACCAAAAATGCTAGTTGTTAGTCCCCAGTTTCCCTGAATGTTTGCACCATTTTAACTCTTGTTACCTCAGTCTAGATTTGAACACATTTGTCTTGATGAATTTATGCTTTCACACCTCAAAGCATGCTGAGTAATTAATATCCTCTGGACTTGCTAAGCACTGCAGCATTGCAAGTGAACATGAAAATGGCTTTCCTCTTATTCTGATTACTAAATGGATTTAGCTATTGCCACCTGAGCTCCAAATAATTTCATGAATAAATTTAAATCACTCCCAGAGAGGACAACAATGACATGAAGCATTTCAGTCCACAACAGCCACAGCCACCAATCCACCTGCAGTGGCCATAAGAGGTCTGACCCGGTCACTGACAGGGCACCCGGTCACTGACAGGGTGACTCTTCCAGTCACCCACTATGGAAAGGAAAACATGATAAATAAGGGGTCACTGAGATGCAAGCGCCATGTCTAAAAGTCTTAAAGTGCTTTTACTTATTCCCGGGAAGTATCTAAGCGTCCGTATGTAGCAGGTTGCTTAATTTAAATGCAGGGGAAGGATTTTTTTTCTTTTTTAACAAATTGTATAAGTCACTTCGTTGATGAGTTTGTAATTGAAAGGCCAATTTCAATCTTCCTTTTCACACAGAAACGTAAATGTCTACAACGGTTGTTCACAAGGAAATCCCAAATGTGCCTCAGATGCCTGCAAGGATAACCTTTTCCAAGAAGTCAGAGCTGAGAGCTAGGGAACTACTTAGCAAAAGAAAAATGGAGTGGGTGCCAGGGGCTAGGGAGTGAAGGGAATGAAGACTGACTGCTAGAGGCTAAAGGGCATGGGGTTTCTTTTTCAGGTTGTGAAATGTTTTCTAGAACTAGATAGTGGTGATAGTTGCACAACATAATGAGTATATTAAACACAGAGTCGTGGGCTTTAAAATGGTGAATTTTATGTTTTGTGAATGATGCCTCAGTTTTTTAAAAATGGTGTTAGTGTGTCTCCATATACTGTCCCTGGCATTCCACTCTGTGGGGGAGTGCCCTGGGACCTCAGAGATCAGATGTCCTTTTTATGGGTGGGAGCCCAAGAGCCACAGTGGTTAATCATTAGGTAGCAGACATAGAAACTGCCCCAAAGCCAGAAGATGCAAGGTCTCGTCCCAGACTGCCACTCACTGACTGGGGGTCCTAGAGCAATCACTTGATCCCATAGGAGTGACCTGTTCCCCATGTGTAAAATGAAAGTGTCATACCTGATTACTCCTCCTCCCATGGTATAAGGTGGATGGCATGATAGAAATAAAACTAGCAAAGACAAATAAGGTGCTGTCATGATGTGTCACAAGGCTTAGGGTCCCATGATAACCCTATGACAAGTGGCACATTGCTCTCAGGGCCACAGTGTCTGTGAAGCAGTGCAAGATACTAAGTGCTTTGTTAGCTGGGCGCAGTGGCTCACGCCTGTAATCCTAGCACTTTGGGAGACTGAGGCAGGCAGATTACCTGAGCTCAGGAGTTCGAGACCAGCCTGGGCAACATGGCGAAACCCCGTCTCTACTAAAAATACAAAAAATGAGCCAGGCATGGTGGCATATGCCCGTAATCCCAGCTACTTGGGAGGCTAAGGCAGGAGAATCGCTTGAACCCGGAAGGCGGAGGTTGCAGTGAGCCAAGATTGTGCCACTGCACTCCAGCCTAGGCGACAGTGCGAGACTCTATCTCAAAAAAGAAAAAATAATAAAAATAACTTAAAAATAAAAATAAAAGATACTACATGTTTGTCAAAGGTGACACTGCTGGTGTCACACACACAATTGGGGCCAAGGTTTCCAAACTCTGGTCAAAGGCTGTTCCAGGGCAACACATGAGGATATCGGCACTGGTGACCAGCTTTGGAGCCAAACAGGCAGGATGCAGACACCAGCTCTGCCACTTAGCAGGAGAGACACCTTGCGCAAGGGACTTAACAGCGCTATACCTCAGTTTCCTCATCTATAAAATGGAGATAACAAGAGACCCTACTGCAGTGAGTTAATGTGAGGATTAAATAATCATTATATATAAAGCATTTAGCACAATATGTGACATAGGAATCCCTCAAATGTTAGCTAATATTATTATTAAATTTGGTATTAAGTAGAATCCACTAGTAAGTAGAAGGCCTTCAATAAATATGCATGAGTAAATGGCTTATAAGAGAATCATTAAAATGTTCAAAAGCTTAATGGATGAAGAGAGAAAAAAGCCACACTCTAATCTAAACTCACCCAGTGCTTGATAAGCCTTTAGATTCTACTGATACGACATAAGTTTGGGAAACTGAGGCACAAGAATGTAAGTGATTTGGACAAGGCCACCCCAAATCAGTCTGTTGACTAATAACAAATGCACATGGTATTTCCTTCCCCTGAAGGCAGCATAAACACCAATGGATCCTGTGTACTTTCTTAAGTCAGGTAAGAATCTATGTCTAGTTGGTGTTGCATGTATGAACATTTCCAAATCAGAGCCAGGCAGAGTGGAACAGGACCTCAGAAATCATCAAGATTTTCAGCCTTGCCATCTGGCCAGGCCAATGCAGAGGGAGAAAGGCGCTGAGCACGAGGCACCTCCTACCCTGTATCCCCAACCCAGACCTTTGTCCTCAATTCCAATCCTGCAGGTCCTGCTACCCAGGGGAGATTTCCATAGCACCTCCAAGGAAGCATGTCCTGAATTGGACTCTGTCTTCCCTTGTGCTAGTAATCCTGGTCCAGCTATCCTTGTGCTAGTAATACCCAGTCTTAACTACTGTTGTGTTGTAGTAAGTTTTGAAATGGGGAAGTGTGAGTCTACCAACTTTGTGCCTGTTTTTCAAGCTTGTTTGGCTATTTTGGGTCCCTTGGATTTCTGTATGAATTTTAGGATCAGCTTGTCAATTTCTGCAAAAAGACAGCTGGGATTCTGATAGGGATTGTGTTGAATCTGTAGTTCAATTTGGGAAGTATCATTCCATCTATTTTTAAACATGCTCAAATCTCTCCCATTTTAACTAGAAAACCCTCTTTTGACTGTACATCCCCATCTTGATACTGCTTTCTCTCCCACCCCTTCATAACCAAACTCATAAAATGACTATCTATCCTTGCTGTATCTGCTTGCTCCCTCTCAAATCACTCCTCAGTATCTCACAGCCAGCTCCCACTCAGAATCCACAAAACTAAATGCCAAGCCCTGGCTCTCCAACCTAGACCCTTTTCCTGAGTTCCCTGTTTGTTTCACTGAATGGCACAGCCACCCACTGCATTGTCCAAGCCAGAAAGCTGTACACTGTCCCGACATCTTCTCCTTCATTCTCCATAGCCACCCTGTCACCAAGAACTGTCAATTCCACCCCCAGCACATGCACAAAGCCCACCACTTTTCCACTGCCACTACCAAGCCAGGCAGCGATCATCTTTCCCCTGGACAGCCACAAGCACCATCCTCCTGCTCCTTCCAGGTCTATGCTCCATCCAATCCATTCTCCACACAGCAGGCAGGGAGTCCTCCTTTTTCCTTTTTAAACAAACTTCAAGGCACATCACTTCCCTGCTCAAAACTCCCAAAGGCCTCCTCACTACACTGAATATAAGCTCCATATGCCTAACTATGGCCTGCAGGCCCCCCCCCCCTTGTACTATACCTCTCACAGTATTACATAAATTATATTATTTGTTTTCAAATAATGTGTGTCCACTGTGAAAATCTTAGAAAATGCAGAAAAGAAGAAATAAAATAACGGCAAGTGGTTAACAATATGGGTGAACCTTGAAAACATTATGCTAAGTGTAATAAGTCAATCACAAGAAGGCAAATACTATATTCCCATTTTATGAGGTCCCTAGAGTAGTCAAATTCACAGAGATAGATGGTAGAATGATGACTGCCAGGGGCTGGGGAGAGTGGGAGATGGGAAATTGCTTAATGATTAGAGGTTCAGTTTTGCAAGATAAAAAAGTTATGGAGATTGGTTGTACAACAATGTGAACACCCTTAACACCACTAACAATACACTTAGAAATCATCTAAGATGGTAAGTATTATGTGGGTTCTTTTTCCACAATTTAAAAAAAAAAAAAAAAACAGCAAGTGATGCTTTTTAAAAATCAAAATTCAGAAAGACAAAGCCAATTATCTCAAGGCATGTTAACTTTGGACAGAATCTGAAATATCATCTAATTGACCATCCCTAAAATGCAGCAAAGTAATCTCCAGTGTATAATAGAGGTTCTCAGCCAGGGAGGATGAGCTGACCAACCTCAGAAACCTCCTCCCCCTCAGAATTCACTGGGCTGGGGACCCAGGCATGTGCTTTGGAAGTACATTCATTCGTTGGAAGAGTCACGTTTTTGGAAAGTTTTTTGTGTTGACCCCAAAACTGGCCAGTAGATTACCCTGGCACTACAAAGAATAAGTTTGTCCCCTGCTGTCGTATGCTCCTTTAGACATGTGGATCCCGTGCTAAGGGTCACTGGCTACCCGCACCAGGAGATCCTGTCTCCCCACCACAACCTCCACTTCAACCACTTCCTCCCTTTGACTTGTGCAACTTTTCTCCATGAACTTGTCCATGTGCGTCATACTGCCGGGAAACAGCTTGCTCAAATTCCCTTCCCAAATATACCTAATGGCAGACTGTGGCCTCTATCAACAATCACACTCAAATTCAACACCTGTGTACACAGTTAGGCGATGAAGCCCCAACAGCCGTTGGCACTTCTGTGGTGCTTTGTAAACACTGACTAAGCAATCTGGTGAGCAGCGTCAAAAACAGAATGAGGCCAGGCACGGTGGCTCATGACTGTAATCTCAGCACATTGGGAGGCCAAGGCAGGATGATTGCTTGAGCCCAGGAGTTTGAGACCAGCCTGAGCAACATAGTGAGACCCTGTCCCTATAAAATTTTTAAAAAATTAAAAATTAGCTGGGTATGGTAGTACATGCCTGTAGTCCCAGCTACTTGGGAGGCTGAGGCAGGAGGATTACTTGAGCCAGCCAGGGTGACAGGGTGAGACTCCATCTCTACAAAAAGTTTTTTAAAATTAGCCAAGTGTGGTGGCATACACCTGTAGTCCCAGCTACTCAGCAGGCTGAGGTGGGAGGATTGCTTGAGCCCAGGAGGTTGAGGCTGCAGTGAGCCATGACCGCACCACTGCGCTCCAGCCTGGGAGACAGAGGTAGACTCTGTCTCAAATTGAAACTATACAAAACAAAACACAGAATGAGCTAGCCCTTGTATATCAGTACATCCTGCTCCATAACCTTCTGAAGCCAGCTTGTCATGGAAGCAGGCAATCAGTCTGGCTCATTCCACACCACAAATCTTCCAAGTGAGTAAGAACCCACTGATTCCTGCATCTGTAGAAAATGGGAGATAGGATGTATGACAACTTCAAGGAACATTACTAGGCCCACATCTGCTTGATCTGGCCAACTAAATCCCTAAGCCAGTTCTATATAATATAAATTAAATAAGCATTTAATACTACGCAAAATAAAATTACAGCTATTCAGCTGACCTTTCCCCTTTTCCACTCTGTATTTGTGCCTGTTTACAAGCCCAGTGGGGAAGGTATGCCAAGAATAGAGATGTTCTGAGGACACAACAAGCCAATTAAAACAACAAAACAAAACAAAAAACTAGAAATGACAAATATCCTGCAAGTCTAGATTGTTGAACATGCCTGATCAGGTTGGAGAGGGAAGCAGGAGGAGCCCAAAGAAAGTCTCCTGTATGTCCTAAAGTGGAATCTAGCTTGCCTACTTTCTAAGCCACATTCCAGCCCACATGTGTCCCTTAAGACATGAACCAAGCCAGGCTTGGCAGCAGGCACCTCACCATTAAGGCCAGCTCAGCAGTGGCCATGCTCACCACTCAGAGCCCAGCAACTTAGTAGACCACGTTTATCCCCCAGTTTCACAGAACACATGCCCCTGACAGGGATCCCAAATTTCCCATCCCTACCTAGAACATGTAGGCACCAGCGGACGTGCACATAGAAACAAATATTACACCAGAGGGCTACCCATGTTGCAACAAAGTGATTCTCACAGAGATAAATGTTGCAACAAAGTGATAGAAACACAGTACAACAAAGTGATACTCCATAGAAACAAATGTTGCAACAAAGGATGATCTTATTTGTGTGAAGGACTAATATTTCCTATTCCATTTTATCTCATTCAATATGCTAGTTGCAACTCAACTACTTGCACAGGCCACTGATGGGTTGAGCCCCAGGTGCAACAACATTGTACAGATGCTGCCTAAGAAGTGAGGTGTTTCTTGTATCACAGCCAATCCAGGACTGAAGAAACTCTCTAACCAGGAGTACTTTTTTTTCTTTCTTTTTTTTTTGTTTTTTGAGATGAAGTCTCGCTCTGTCACCCAGACAGAAGTGCAGTGGCACGATCTCAGCTCACCGCAACCTCTGCCTCCCGGGTTCAAGTGATTCTCCTGCCTCAGCCTCCCAAGAAGCTGGGATTACAGGCACGTGCCACGGCACGCGGCTAATTTTTTGTATTTTTAGTAGAGACAGGGTTTCACCATGTTGGCCAGGCTAGTCTTGAACTCCTGACCTCAGGTAATCTGCCTGCCTCGGCCTCCCAAAGTGCTAGGATTATAGGTGTGAGCCACCGCACCCAGCCTACCATGAGTATTTTCTAACCAAATGTGAAAGCCCTCCCCTCCAAGTCAAGACATCTGAATCCTTCACTTGATTCTGTGCCTTCGAACTTGGGCAAATTGCTCCCATCTTCTTCCTCCCTTTTCCCATTCTGTAGAAGGAAGGGATGGGATTAGATAATATAGGACAACATCCACTTATTGAGGACCTAGCAAGGAGCAGCTGCCATGTCAGACACATGGCATCAACACTTCAGTGGTTTGTGAGCTGGCATGGTGCCGATGAGCAGCCTCTTTCACCAATGAGGAGCTGAGGCTCAGATAGATGCAGCAGCACGGGGTCATGCAGCTGGACAGGTCTGATTCCCCCACACATGCCTGCCCCTAAGGTGCTCTAAAAGTAAAGTGCTATGATGAGACAGCTGTATTTTCTATTGGTGCTATAACAAATTCCCACATAGTGGCTCAAAACAGGACAATTTTATGACCTTGCAGTTCCAGAGATCAGAAGTCTAAAATGGGTGGCCCTGGGTTAAAACCGGGGCACCAGCAGGCTGTGTTCCTTCTGAAGCTTCCAATCCATTTCCTTGCCTTTGCCAGCTTCTGGAGGTCACCTGCATTCCTTACTTAGCTCATGGCTCTTTCTCCATTTTCAAAGTATATCACTCCAAACCCTGCTTCTATAATCACATCTACCTCCCTCTTTGACATATCAGGCCCCCTTTGATCACATTGGGCCCACTTGGATAATCCAGGACAATTTCCCATCTTAAGATCCATAACTTAGCCCTATTTGAAAGTCCCGTTTGCCATGTAACGTCACATATTCACAGGTCCCAGAGATTAGGATGTGGACCTCTGAGCAGGGAGGGAACATTAGTCTACTGACCACAACAGCCAATAACCATCATCTGTTTTACTGTTTCAAGCATTTAAATTGTTCACTACTGCTTGGATGAAAGAACTCTTCTCCACATCATTACTCCAGAGTGAAAATCCACTTTATGCTGGGTAGTTAAGGAAGGTGTGCCAGGGTGGTGAACTTACACTAAAAGGGGCCAACTCTGGAGTTGCAGAAGTGCATTTGGCCAAAACAACATTTTTAGAAGTTCGCTCTGTTGTGTGGAGACTTGTTTGTAGGAGGCCAGTTGGGGAGCTGTGGTTGTTTTCCAAACCTGTAAGGACAATGGCTGAGCACAGGATGACAGCTCCCCATCACACCCTGGACCTCTGGACTTCACTTGGTTGCTAAACTTCAGCAGGCTCTATCCCACCTCAGGGCCCTCAGGGGTCCCTCTGCCCGGAAGACTCCTCCCATCTCTTCCCTTCACTAAATTCTGCTTGGGCACCTCAGACTCCTTTTTGAACAGCTTTGTTGAAAGTGTGAAATTCAGTGATTTCTAGTATATTCACAATGTTGTGTAACCATCACCTATCATTTTCCACATTTCCATCACCCCAAAGGGAAAACCCGGACTCATTAAACAGTCCATCCTCCTCATCATCCCTCCCCCAGCCCCCAGCAACCACTAATCTCCTTTCTGTCTCTATAGATTTGCCTGCTCTGGTCACCTCAGATGAATGGAATCATCCAGTACATGCTCTTTCATGACTGGCTTCTTTCACTCAGCATGTCTTCAAGCTTCATCCATGTTGGAGCATAGATCCGAATTTCCTTCCTTCTTATGGCTGAAAAAAGTCCACTGAATGAGTAGACTATATTTTGTTCATCCATTCATCAGTTGATGGTCATTTGGGGTTTTCTTTCACTTTTTGCTATAATTATAAGTAGTGCTCTGTGAACATGTACAGCCGGGTTTTCAGTTTTCTTGGGTCTATATGTAGGAGTGGAATGACTACTTTGACAGTAAAATACAATAAGCAATCACCACGGAAGTTTCTGAAATCCATTCATGCTGCACGATCCTGCTGCTTATCACTGACCCCTCTTGACTCCCAGTCCTCAGGGAGGTATACAGGGGACTACTACCCCACCATTCACAGCCACTTTAGGCCGTGTCACCCAGACTTGCACCTTCAGACAGACACAAGAACACACGTAAGTGCACCTAGACATACTCCAGCAAGTGAAATGATACGTGTATAGGATGAAGCCAAGAAATGGAAAAGTTTTACCCACACATATTTGGAAATTATTTAGGAAGAAGAGCTCTGAACACTGTAACCTGCTCTGACATCCATGCTGTGTGGTGGTGGGGCAGCAAAGAGCACACATGCTAAAATCAGATCATCTGGGTGACAGTCCTGCCTCAAACCCCCCACCCACCCACTTCACTGCTGGGCACCTCAGTTTCCTTGCCTGTAAAATGAAGATGATAAAACAGTCCCTGCTGCATCGGGCTCTTGTGAGGACTCAGTGAGCTGGCACAGGTAAAGCATAGTGTTCGATAAGCGTGCACAGTCCTCCCCTTCCCCTAGGAGCTTCCAGCAGTCAAGGCCAGTCAGTTCTCCTAGTTTACAGCTCTGCCAAAATAGACCTAGCAAGAAGGGGTCTTCTCAAGGTCACTCAGCTGGTTGGCACAGGTCTGCGACTATAATCTCTTTAATGATAAAAAAGCACAACGAAACTCCCTTGGGAAGACGAACTTCAGAAGTGATAAGCCTTTTCTACAGCACAAGCAGCAATGCAAGCCCCATTTAGCTGAAACAATCCAGTGCACCATGTTCAAACCATTCAAGAGTAATAACAAATCTGTGTTCAGTCCCCCATTTGGCAATCACTGCTATTACCATGAAGGTCCAATCCCAGAGACATACCTGAGAAGGATATGCCTGAGAGATGTTCCAGTATGATATGACAAAAAAGGAGGAGAAAAATCCAAGTAGCAGAGAATGGCTAATGAGCTATGAAGTTACAGTCAGATAGGCAAGATGTACCTCCTTTGGGAGCCCTTCTCTGATGTGTCCCCTCCACACCATCAAAACACCAGGTGTAATATCATCAGCTTGGCTCTTGCAACCCCCACATAACAGGAGCCCATGGGGCAGTGAGGAGACCAGTCCTCTTTCTTGTCCTAGTCCTGAGCCCAGAGCCTGGGCCCAGAGAATGCATACTTCAACTTTCGCTCTACTCGTAAAACAAGCGGCCCACCAAGTGCTTTTCCCAATAGCAAGCCACTCTTGAAATAATTTAATCTGAAATTATCCTGTCTGTTTTACCTGCCTACTCTGTCTGCCTCCACTTTGGGTCATTTAATTATTGCTACCCATAACAAGATGCAAAACTGCTTAGGAATTCCCTGGGTGCTGGTTGGCTGGGGACTTGTTGGCAGCTAACCCACAAAGTCTTTCCTTAGCATAGGCAAAGAATGATGCCTTATACTTTTTGTTATGGGCTGAATTGTGCCCCCTCCCAATTCATACATTGAAATCCTAACTCCTATTAATTTAGAATATGACCATATTTGGAGAGAGGGTCTTAACAGAGGTAATCAAGTTAAAATGAAGTCATTAGGGTGGGCTCTAATTCGTTATGACTGCTATCTTGGGCATTTGAACACAGACGCACACAGAGAGAGAAGACAATGTGAAGAGACACAGAGAGAAGATGGATACTGATAAGCTCAGAAGAGCGGCCTGGAACAGATTCTGTCTCACAACCCTCAGAAGGAACCAACCCTGCCAACACCTTGACCTCAGATTTCCAGCCTCCAGAATCATGAGATTATACATACCTGCTGCAGAGGCCCCCGATTATGTGGCATTTCATGACAGTAGCTCTAGGAAACTAACATAGCCTTCATGGCTCCCTGTGGCTGCCTGCTGCCCCCCCTCCCCCCGGTGGTTCACTGCAGCTGGTACAATAAGGGAGGAAAGGGGACCCATGGAAACAGACAGATGGCCTAAAGAAGACATCTGCCTCTCTGCCAGGAACCTGAGCAATCGTGAGGAAGTGACTTTGCTGCTCTGTGCTCTCCATATGTAAGATGGAAGTAACACCTGCTGCCATGCACAATCACTACTGACTGGTGCATGACTGGTTATTGCTGTGGTTTGTACTGTGTCTCCCAGAAGGAAATGTTCAAATCTGAACACCTGGTACCTGTGAATGTGACTTTATTTGGAAATAGGGTCACTACAGATGTAATGAGTTAAGGTGAGGTCATACTGGAGTGGAGTGGGTCCCATATCCAGTGTGGCTGGTTGTATTAGTCCATTCTTGCCTTGCTATAAAGAACTACCTGAGACTACATAATTTATGAAGAAAAGAGGTTAAATTGATTCACAGTTCCATAGGCTATGCAGGAAGCATGGCTGGGGAGGCCTCAGGAAACTTACAGTCATGGTGGTAGGTAAAGGGGAAGCAGGCACATCTTCACATGGTGGAGCAGGAGAGAGACTGTGAGGGGGGAAGTGCCACACACTTTTAAACCATGAGATCTCGTGATAACTCACTCACTATCATGAGAACAATGAGGGGGAAATCCGTCCCCATGATCAAATCACCTCTTACCAGGTCCCTCCTCCAATGCTGAGGATCACAATGAGACATGAGATTTGACTGAGGACACAAATCCAAACCATATCACTGGTGTCCTTATAAGAAGAGCAAAAGATAGAGGCACACAAGGGAGAACTCCATGTGAACATGGAGGCAGAGATTGAAGTGATGTAGCTGCAGGCCAAGGAACACCAAGGATCGCTACCAGCAGCTAACGGGGGCAAGAAAGGACCCTCCCATACAGCTATCAGAGGGATTGTGCCCTGCTAACACCTTGATCTCTGAATTCTAGGCTCCAGAACTGTGGGAGAATGCATCTTTGTTGTTTTGAATCACATCATTTGTGGTACATTGTAATGGCAGCCCCAGGAAACTCATACAGTCACTTAAATCCAAATTCATGGGCCTGGCACACAAGTCCCTCCCCAGTCTGGCCCTGACCTGCCACTTTTAAATTCTTCCCTATCATTCCCCACTGCACACATTCTGTATGCCCTGGCTGTGGTGATTCCCTGAAGGACAAACCTTGCCCACACTTTGGCATCTGCCATTTCCTGGGTCTGAAGCGTCCTTCTTTGTATTTTATGCCCAAGGATAGTTATTGCCTAAATTGAACATCATATCCTCTAGGAAGCCTCAGCCCACCCCACCAGACAGAGGACAATTTCCTCCTGTGTATCACACCACATTCCTGTGGTGGTTCTTGGCAAACAGAATATTCTAACTTCCATTCATGGCTAACTTCTCTACAGAACGGAGGTCTGAGAGGCTTGAGGCCACAGCACCTAAGGCAAGGCCAGGTGTACCACATGCCGACTGGGCACTCAGCATGCTTGTTACATGAAGTCACCTGGCCCAGCATTTTTCAGTAACACCAAAATGTTCCAGAGGAGGCTTTCCTCATCTGAGAGGAAAAGAAATGAATGATGGACATACAAAATGACATGAATGAATCTCAGAATAATTATGCTGAGTGACAGAAGCCAGGCTAAAATAATAATAATAATAATAATAATAATAATAAAGACTACACGCTGTGTGATCCCATTTCTATAAAACTCTAGAAAACAAACTATAGTGAGAGAAAACAGATCAGACATCAATGTAAAGACACAGAAAACATGAAAATGCAAGGAAGTATGACACGCCAAAGGAATACCATAATTCTCCAAAAAGAAACCCCAATAAAAAAGAAATTCATGAAATCCCAGAAAAAGAATTCAAATCATTGATTCTAAAGAAGTTCAGTGAGATACAAAAGAATTCCAAAAATCAAAACAAAGAAATCAGTAAGACAATTCAGGATATAAATGAGAAATTTACCACAGAGACAGATATAAAAATGAACTAAACAGAAATTCTGGAAGTGAAGAATTCATTGAAAGAATGACAAAATACATTCAAAAGCTTCAACAATAGACTAGCTCAAACAGAAGAAAGAATCTCAGAACTGGAAGACAGGTCTTTTGAGATAACCCAGTTGGACAAAAATAAAGAAAAAAGATAAAAAAAAGAATGAGCAAAGCCTTCATAATATATGGGAAATCATAAAGTGACCAAATTTACAAATTATCATTATCTCAGAAGGCGAAGAGAGAATGTAAGGGGTTGAAAAACTAATAAAATAATAGATGAAAACTTCCCATGCCTAGCAGGGAATATAGACATCCAGATCCAGGAGGTCCAGTGATCCCCAAACAAATATGATGCAAAAAGGTCTTTTCAATGGCACATTATAATCAGAATGTCTGAGGTCAAATTTAAAGAGCAACCCATAAAAACAGCAAGAGAAAAGCATCTAATCACCTATAAAGGAACCCCCATCAGACTAACAGCAGTAAAATTACAGGCCAGGAGAGAATGGCACGATATGTTCAAAATGCTGAAAGAAAAAAAAAAATCTGCCATCCAAGGATACTATCCATCAAAATCATTCTTCATAAAATGAAGGAGAAATAAAGTCCTTCCCAGAGAAGCAAAAGCAGAGGGTATTCATCGACACGAGACTGGTCTAATAAGAAATGCTCAAGGGAGTCCTAAACCTGAAAGTGAAAGGACAACATTTACAATCATGAAAACGTACAAAAGTAGAAAACTCAATGGTAAAGCAAACACACAAATGAGAAAGACAAAGGACTCAAATGGTACCACTACAGATAGCCACCAAACCACAATGGCAAACAATAAGAGAAGAAAAGGACAAACAACATACAAAACAACTAGAAAGCAATTAAAAATCTGACAGAGATGAAACCTCAGATATCAATAATAACCTTGAATGTAAATAGATTAAATTCTCCACTTTAAAAAATATAGACTGGCTGATGGATTAAAAAACATGATCCAACTATGTGCTGCCTATAAGAAGTGCACTTTACCTGTAAAGATACATATAGACTGAAAGTAAAGGGGTGGAAAAAGATATTCCATGCAAATGGAATCCAAAAGTAAGCAGAAGTAGCTATAGTTACATGAGGTAAACTTATATCAGTTAAATGGACTTTAAGGCAAAAATAATTTTAAAAAGACAAAGAAGGTCATTGTATAATGATAAAGGGATTAATTCAGCAAGAAGAAATAACAATTCTAAATATATATGCATATAACACTGGAGCACCCAGATTCAAAAAGCAAATATTACTACCTCTAAAGAGAGGGACAGACAGAGAGAGACTCAAATACGATAATGGTGGAGGACTTCAACACTCCACTCTCAGTGTTAGATCATCTAGACAGAAAATCAACAAAATAAAAATTGGATTTAAACTGGACTTTAGATCAGATGGACCTAATAGACATTTACAGAAGACTTTATCTAACAACAGCAGAATGCACATTCTTCTCATCAGCATGTGGAACATTCTGCAAGGCAGACCACAAAACAAGTCAGTGAATCTTTTTAAAATTAAATCATATCAAATATCTTCTCAGACCACAATGGAATAAAACTAGAAATCAATAACAAGAAGAACTTTGGAAACTATGCCAATGCCTGCAAATTAAACAATATGCTCCTGACTAACCAATGGGTCAATGAAGAAGTTAAGAGAGAAATCAAAAAACTCTTGAAACAAATGAAAATTGAAACACAACATACCAAAACCTGTGGAATACAGCAAAAGCAGTATTAAAAGGGACATTTATGGCAATAAACACCTACATCAAAAAGTAGAAAGATTTCAAATAATTAGTCTAACAATACACCTCAAGGAACTAGAAAAGAATAATCCAAACCCAAAATTAGTAGAAGGAAAGAAAGAAAGATCAGAGCAGAACTAAATGAAACAGAGATTAAAATACAAAGAATCAATGAAACAAAAAGTTGGTTCCTTAAAAAGAAACAAAATTGATAAACCAATTTTGCTAGGCTAACCAAAATAGCTAGGCTAACCAAGAAGAAGAGAGAAGACCCAAGTAAACAAAATCAGAACTGAAAAAGGGGACATTACAATTGATGCCACAGAAATACAAAAGATTATCAGAGACTATTATGAACAACTATACACTAACAAACTGGAAAACCTAGAGGAAATGGATAAATTTCTAGAAACTACAACCTACCAAGATTGAATCAGGAAGAAATAGAAAATCTGGACAGACCAATAACGAGTAATGAGAGTAAATCAATAATAAAAAGTCTCAGCCAGGTGCGGTGGCTCACGCCTGTAATCCCAGCACTTTGGGAGGCCGAGGCAGGTGGATCATGAGGTCAGGAGTTTGAGACCAGCCTGGCCAAGATGGTGAAACCCCGTCTCTACTAAAAATATAAAAATTAGCCAGGCATGGTGGCACGCAGCTATAATCCCAACTACTCGGGAGGCTGAGGCAGGGGAATCGCTTGAACCCGAGAGGGGGAGATTGCAGTGAGCCGAGATCGCGCCATTGCACTCCAGCCCAGGCAACAACAGCGAAACTCTGTCTCTTTTTTTTTTTTTTTGAGATGGACTTTTGCTCTTGTTGCCCGGGCTGGAATGCAGTGACGTGATCTCAGCTCACTACAATCTCCGCCTTCCAGGTTTAGGCTATTCTCCTGCCTCAGCCTCCCAAGTAGCTGGGATTACAGGCACCTGCCACCACGCCCAGCTAATTTTTTGTATTTTTAGTACAGACGGGGTTTCACCATGTTGGCCAGGCTGGTCTTGAACTCCTGACCTCAGGTGATCCACCTGCCTCAGCCTCCCAAAGTGCTGGGATTACAGGTGTAAGCCACCGCGCCCGGCAGCAAAACTCTGTCTTAAATAATAATAATAAAATAATAAAAAGTCTCCCAACAGAGAAAAGCCCAGGACAGGATAGATTCACTACAGAATTCTAAAAGACATATAAAAAAGAACTAACAGTAATCCTCCACAAACTATTCCAAAAAATTGAGGAGAAGGAAATTCTCCCTAACTTATTCTATGAGGCCAGCACTACCCTGATACCAAAATCAGTAAAGGACACAATACAAAAAGAAAACTACAGGCCAATATCCCTGATGAACAAAGATACAAAATCCTCAACAAAATAATAGCAAACTGAATTAAATAGCACATCAAAAAAATAATACACCACGATCAAGTGGAATTTATACCAGGGACACAAGGATTGTTTAACACACACAAGTCAATAAATGTGATACATCAACAAAATGAAGAACAAAAACCACACGATCATTTCAATAGACATAGAAAAAGCATTTATTAAATGCAATATCCCTTCATGGGTAAAAACTCAAACTAGGCATAGAAGAAACATACGTTCAAAATACTAACAGCCATATTGACAAACCCACAGCTAACATCATATTGAACGAGGAAAGGCTGAAAGCATTTCCTCTAAGAACTGGAACAAGACAAAGGTGGCCACTTTTACCACTTCTATTCAACATAGTACTGGAAGTTCTAGTCAGAAAAATCAGGCTACAGAAAGAAATAAAAGGCATCTATATTGGAAAAGAGAAAGCCAAATTGTTCCTCTTTGCAGATGACATATCTTACATTTAGAAACACTGAAAAACTTTACCAAAACAACTTTTAAAGCTGATATATTCAGTAAAGTCTCAAGATACAAAAATCAACACACAAAAATCAGTAGCATTTCTATACACAAATAATGAAACAACCAAAAAAGAAATCAAGAAGGTAATTCTATTTGCAATAGTTACCAAAAAAAGTAAAATAAATTTAACCAAGGAGGTGAAAGATCTCTAAAAGAAAAACTACAAAACACTGATGAAAGAAACTGAAGAGTACACAAACAAATGGAAAGACATTCCATGCTCATGGACTGAAAAAATGAATATCATTGGCCAGGCGCGGTGGCTCATGCCTGTAATCCCAGCACTTTGGGAGGCGGGTGGATCACGAGGTCAGGAGATCAAGACCATCCTGGCCAACACGGTGAAACCCTGTCTCTACTATAAAACACAAAAAATTAGCCGGGTGTGGTGGCAGGCACCTGTAGTCCCAGCTACTCGGGAGGCTGAGGGAGGAGAATGGCGTGAACCCAGGAGGCGGAGATTGCAGTGAGCCGAGACCGCACCACTGCATTCCAGCCTGGGTGACAGAGTGAGACTCTGTCTCAAAAAAAAAAAAAAAAAAGAGTATCATTAAGATGACCATACTGCCTAAAGCAATATACAGATTCAATGTAATTGCTATCAAAATACCAATGCCATTTTTCACAGAAATAGAAAAAACAATCCGAAAATTTGTATGAAACCAACAAGGAGCCCAAATAGCCAAAGCAATCCTGAGCAAAAAGAATAAAGCTGGAGATATTACACTATCTGACTTCAAAATATATTACAAGGCTATGGTAACCAAAACAGCATGGTATTGGTGTAAAAACAGACACGTAGACCAATGGAACAGAATAGATACACAGAAATAAATCCACATATTTACAGCCAGCTGATTTTTGATGAAGGCACCAAGAACATGGACTGGGGAAAGGATAGTCTCTTTAATAAATGGTGCTGGGTAATAAAAAATGATAAAGGGGATATCACCACTGATCTCACAGAAATACAAACTACCATCAGAGAATACTATAAACACCTAGCTGGGCGCAGTGGCTCACGCCTGTAATCCCAGCACTTTGGGAGGCTGAGGCAGGCGAATCACAAGGTCAGGAGTTCGAGACCAGCCTGGCCAACATGGTGAAACCCCGTCTCTACTAAAAAAAAATACAAAAAATTAGCTGGGCGTAGTGGCGGGCGCCTGTAATCTCAGCTACTCGGGAGGCTGAGGCAGGAGAATAGCTTGAACCTGGGATGCAGAGGTTTCAGTGAGCTGAGATCACTCCACTGTACTCCAGCCTGGGCAACAGAGCGAGACTCTTTCTCAAAAAAAAAAAAAGAGAGAGAGAGAGAGAGAGTACTATAAACACCTCTACGCAAATAAACTAGAAAATCTAGAAGAAATGGATAAATTCCTGGACACATACACCCTCCTAAGACTAAACCAGGAAGAAGCTGAATCCCAATAACAAGTTTTGAAATTGAGCAATAATGGTAGTTGTCCATAGATGAGGTCTATTTTCTTATTTCCTGAGAACTTATTATGTTTATATTTAAAAGCAATAAAACTATCTTTAAAAGCACTGTGATATAATACAAAGGTAATAGCATCCAATACCCCTGTGGTAGGCAGAATTTCTCAAGGACATTCCCATTCTAACCCCCAGAGCCTGTGACTCTTGTCACTTTATGTGGCAAAAGTGACTGCCAGATGTGATTAAGGATCCTGAGATGGAGAGATTACTCTGGATTACCTGGGTGGGCCCAAGGTAATCACAAGGGTCCCTATAAGTAAAACAGGGATGAGGGAGGGCCAGAGTCAGTGTCATCAGAGTAATGTGGGTCCAAGCCAAGGAACGCAGGCAGTCTCCAGGTCTCCAGACACTGGAAAATGCAAGGAATGGATTCACTCTCAGAGCCTCCAAAAGGAGCACAGCCATGCTGACACCTTGAGTTTAGCCAGTGAGACCCTTGTCAGCCTTTTAACCTCCAGAATGCAAGCGAATATATGGGTGTTGCTTTAAGCCTGTATGTGATTTGTTATAGCAGCCCTAGGAGACTGCTGGTCCCTTTCTTCTATGTATGTGTTAATCTGTTCTGTCAACAAGCCTTTGCTGAGCTCTACTATATGCCAGCCACCATCCTGGGCCTGGGGAATAGCATGAACATTACATCCCCTGCCCCAGAGAAATGGACACAGCAGTTGTCATCTATTTAAAAGAAACCAGGTGCGAAAGAAAGAAGGAAAGAAAGAGAAAGAGAGAGAGAGAGAGAGACAGAGAGAGAAAGAAAGAAAGAAAAAGAAAGAAAGAAAAGAAAAGAAAAAGAAATCCACCAACCAGGTGCCCAACTTTGTTCTTAACAGATTTGCAGTATCCATTTGGAATTCATTCTATATCCTGTTCTGCTAAACCTTTAACGTCACATTTTCAACAATCACTTATTCTTAAAAGAGTGACCCTACTTACAATTACGTATATTCTAATTGGGCAATATGACAGACAAAGGCCTTAATTATGGCCCACAATTCACACCTTAGTATGTTATTATGCCTTTGCTACAAGTTGGCATTTATGAACATTACACCATGGTTCTGTTCTTATTGTTCTTGCAGGGCATTTGTGTGAGGTAAGGTGACAAACAATGGCAGTCCAACCACCAGAGCCTTTTATTTACCTGAGGAAAACATCTTTTGGTCACTGGAACCCAAACCATAGGGAGGGGCTTCCAGTAGGGATCAACTCTGTCCACAAGGAACTTAATTTGCTATTCTTGTAAATTATTGCACTAGTCATGTAAAGGTAGGATGATCACACTCCTATTTTCAGATGAGAAGACTAAAGCACAAAGCAATCAAAGGCAGCAACTCAAGGAACAAGAATTCATTTGCCATCTGTTCCACTTTCCATGTGGATCTTGTAGCAATGGCTCCAAGAGGAGCAGCCACATAAACTTCCAGGCTGGCTCATGATTGGGGCATGAGCAGCCTTTCTTTTGGTGTTTTTTTGTTTGTTTGTTTGCTTGTTTGTTTGTATGTATGATTCTACTTGCTGCAGTGAAATCTGCCTGTATCACTGTACTGGGTTGAATAGTGTCCTCCCAAATTCATACCCAACCAAAATCTATGAATGTGATCTTATTTGGATGAATGATCTTTGCAGATATAGTCAAGTTAAGCTGAGGTTATAATGGATAAGTGGGCCCTAATCCAACAAGAGGTGTTCTTATAAGAAGACACAAACTTGGAAACAGACTCAGGAGAGAATTCCATGTGAAGATGGAGACACAGAGATTAGAGTGATGCAGCTGCAAGCTGAGGGATGCCAGGGACTGATGGCCACCACCAGCAGCAGGGAGAGACAAGATTCTTCTACTTAGAGCCTTCAGGGAGAGAATGGCCCTCCCAACACCTTGATCTCAGACTTCTAGCCTCCAGAGTTGGGAGACAATACATTTCTGTTGTTTTCAGCCACCCAGTTTGTGATACTTTGTTACAGCAGCCCTAGGAAAGCTGTACAAGCACACATTACCTAAGTATTCTAGAATAATCAAGAGTAAGGAGTAGAGTAGGTAAGTTAATCTGACAGGCTTCCTGGAAGCTAGGAGCTTGAGAGAAGGTTCTTAAAGGAGGAAGAACACAGCTTGGGAAGGAGGATGGCAGGTAACAAATGACATCTTCATCTGACCAAACTAAAGATTCCCTCCCAGGCCAGAAGATAACAAGGCATCCACACGTGCACAAAGCACCGTGCATGACACTGCAGATATGCAACCTTTATCACAGCTGCTTAGCACGAGATACTTTTCACATCTACCATGAAGGCAAAAATTCAAAAGATGAATGGATTTGGGAAGGATGTGGAAATATGGAAGCCCATGGGCCCTATTGGTGGGAGTATGAACCAGCAGTCATCCTAGAAGCCACCTGGCAGCACTTGGGGTGTGCCCCATGATGTGATATTCTGCTCCTGGGCACATGGAGAAGGATGCTTGCTGCTGCACTGACTGTGGAACAGGGAACTGGAGACACTTTGGGTGTCACACCCTAGGACAATTGGAAGCAACAAAGCAGATATAGCAACACGAAGAGATCTTGAAAACACGGTTCTGAGTGCAGACAGTAGGAAACAGATCAGCACAATACTATTCATAAAAAGCACACATGCACTCTACATATTTCACAAGGATATGTGCATATTTAATGACATATAAAGAACAGGTGCTTCACAACCATGTGAATGTACTTAATACCATGGAATTGTAGACTTAAAAACTTAAGATAGCAAATTTACCTGCCTGGGCAACATGAAACCCCATCCCTGTAAAAAATATAAAAATTAGCTGGATGTGGTGGTGCACACCTGTGGTCCCAGCTACTGGAAAAGCAGAGGCAGGAGAATCGCTTGAGCCCAGGAGGCAGAGGCTGCATTTGGTCAAGATCATGCTACTGTACTTCCAGCCTGGGAGACAGAGCGAGACCCTGTCTCAAAAAAAAAAAAAAAATTAAATTTTACATATGTGTATTTCACCACAGGAGAAAATTGGGAGGAAAAAAAGAGTGGTGCTTAATGAGGAGAGGGGGGGAAAGTATAGATGGAGGATAAAGGGGAATATAATGTAATACAAGCCAAAGTAAGGCCAGGCATGGTGGTACATGCCTATAATCGTAACACTTTGGGAGGCCCAGGAGGGAGGATCTCTTGAGGCCAAGAGTTTGAGACCGGCCTGGGCAACATAGTGAGATTCCATCTCTATAAAAATTTAAAAATTAGCCAGGCATGGCAGGGTGGGGGTATGCCTGTAATTCTAGCTACTCGAGAGGCTCAGACAGGAGGACTGCTTGAGCCCAGGAGTTCAAGGCTGCAGTGAGCTATGACTGATTGACTGACAAATTAGATAGACTACACAGATGGATAAATAGATAGATAAATAAATAATGTTTAAAATAAGAGAGGGGTCTTGCACACCTTCCATGGTGACCTGAGATGTGAGATGAACTCCACTTTCTGCATCAGAGAGCCAAGAGGGTTAGACTAGGATGCCAAACAGGGCCTGGCCCATCACAGTGACTGCACAGGAGGCCTTCAGGAAGTGGTGACTCTCCCCATCCCCAGCAACAACACACTTTTCCATGGACCTACTTGGAAATGGAATCATTGAGTCACCTTAAACTCCATCAGATGCAATAGCAACAGGAAAAAGAAGATGAAAACTAAACTGAAGTTTGGGTAGTGGTATTTTTAAAAACCTAATTTAGGGGGCCAGGTGTGGTGGCTCCCACCTGTCATCCCAACACTTTGGGAGGCCGAGATGGGAGGATTGCTTGAGCCCAGAAGTTCGAGACCAGCCTGGCCAACGTAGTGAAAACCCATCTCTACAATAAATACAAAAATTGGCTGGGCGTGGTGATGCACTCCTGTAGTCCGTGCTACTCTGGAGGCTGAAGTGGGAGAATCGCTTAAGCCCAGGGGTGGTGGAGGCTGTGGTGAGCCGTGATTGTGCCACTGCACTCCAGCCTGGGCAACAGAGTGAGACCCTGTCTCAAAAAACAAAACAAAATAAAAAACCAATTTTAGGAATCCTTCAACTATCAGCCTGCAGAGAACCCAAAGACATGGGGAACTGTGCTCTTGGAATTCTTGACCATTCAGCCCAGCAATTCTCAGATGCAAAATGCCCAGGTAGGGGATGGGATCCTGGAACAACAACAAAAAAAAACACACCAGGAAAAAACTAAGGAATTCTGAATAAAACATGGACTTTAATAACAGTGTATCAATACTGATTTATTGATTGTGATAAATGTACTATACTAATTTGCAATGTCAATAATAAGAGAGGGATAAAGAGGTCAGATAATGGGTACAAAAACGCTGGGTGCAGTGGCTCATGCCTGTAATCTCAATACTTTGGGAGGCCAAGGCAGAAGGATTGCTTGAGGACAGGAGTTCAAGAACAGCCTAAGCAAAATAACAAGACCCTGTCTCTATTAAAAAAAAAAATTAAACTTTAAAATGAGTGCAAAAATATAGTTAGAAAGATTAAGTTCTACTATTATATAACACAGTAGAGTGACTCTAGTTAACAAGAATTTATTGTATATTTCAAAATAGCTAGATGAGAAGAATTATAATGTGCTCAACACAAAGAAATGATAAATGTATGAGGTGGTGGCTATTCTAATTACCTTGATTTGATCATTACACATGATATACATGTATCAGAGTATCACAGGTACCCCTACAATATGTACAATGATACATCAATTTTTATACAGGTTTTTGAACAGGGGAAACTGGGTGTGTAGCACATGAGAAGACTCTGCTATTTTCACAATTTTTCTATAAATCCAAAATGTTCTAAAATTTAAAAATCAAAAGAAAAAAAAAACAGGTAGCTCCTGGGACCTATTTCATCCTACTCATCAGCCTGTTTTTTTTGTTTTCTAGTTTTTCCAAATGTGCAAAAACTTTCCTAATTACTGTATGTTTACTGAAGACATTCCTTTTTTACTTTTATTTTTTAATTGACAAATAATAGTTGTACATGGCTGGAGGTGGTGGCTCACACCTGTAATTCCAGCACTTTGGGAGGATGGGGCAGGCAGATCACTCGAGTCCAGGAGTTCAAGACTAGCTTGGGCTACGTGGCAAAACCCTGTCTGTACCAAAAATACAAAAATTAGCCAGGTGTGGGGGGA
This sequence comes from Homo sapiens, assembly GCF_000001405.40. Classification (NCBI taxonomy): domain Eukaryota; kingdom Metazoa; phylum Chordata; class Mammalia; order Primates; family Hominidae; genus Homo; species Homo sapiens. The sequence continues at coordinate 150,867,280 of NC_000023.11, forward strand.
CACGCCTGTAGTTTCAGCTACTTGGGAGGCTGAGGCAGGAGGATCACTTGAGCTTGGGAAGCAAAGGTTGTAGTGAGCTGAGATCTCCCCTACTGCGCTCCAGCTTGGGCAACAGACTGAGACCTTGTCTCAAAATAATTAACTGTAGTACATATTCATGAGGCATATAGTGATGTACTGATACATATAATAACATAATGTGGGCCAGGTGCGGTGGCTCACGCCTGTAATCCCAGCACTTTGGGAGGCCAAGGAGGGCGGATCACCTGAGGTCAGGAGTTCGAGACCAGCCTGGCCAACATGGTGAAACCCTGTCTCTAATAAAACTACATGGCTGGGCACGGTGGCTCACGCCTTTAATCCCAGCACTTTGGGAGGCCGAGACGGGGGGATCACAAGGTCAGGAGATCAAGACCATCCTGGCTAACACGGTGAAACCCCGTCTCTACTAAAAATACAAAAAACTAGCTGGGCGTGGTGGCATGTGCCTATAATCCCAGCTACTCGGGAGGCTGAGGCAGGAGAATCGCTTGAACCCGGGAGGTGGAGGTTGTAGTGAGCCGAGATCGTGCCACTGCACTCCAGCCTGGGCGACAGAGTGAGACTCTGTCTCAAAAAAAAAAAAAAAAAAAAAAAAAAAAAACCTACAAAAATTAGCTGGGCGTGGTAGCACATGCCTGTAATCCCAGCTACTTGGGAGGCTGAGGCAGGAAAACAGCTTGAGCCAGGGAGGCGGAGCTTGCAGTCAGCAGAGATTGTGCCATTGCACTCCAGCCTAGGCGACAGAGTGAGACTCCATCTCAAAAATAATAATAATAATAATAATAATAATAATAATAATAATAATATATTGTATGGTGCCCACATTAGTGTAATTAGCGTATCCATCATTTCAAACATTTATCATTTCTTCATGTTGGTAACATTCAATATCCTCCTTCTGGCTATTTAAAACCATATATTCTTGGCTGGGTACAGTGGCTCACGCCTATAATCCCAACAGTTTGAGAGGCCAAGGCGGGCAGATCACTTGAGATCAGGAGCTCGAGACCAGCCTGGCCAACATGGTGAAACCCCACCTCTACTAAAACTACAAAAATTAGCTGGGCATGGTGGCACATGCCTGTAATCCCAGCTACTCGGGAGGTTGAAGCAGAAGAATCGCTTAGCCTGGGAGGCAGAGGTTGCAGTGAGCCAAGATCTCTGTACTCCAGCCTGGGTGACACAGTGAGACTCTTGTCACACACATACACAAGAAACATATATTCTTGTTAACTGTAGTCATCCTAATAGTATAGAACACTAGACTTATTCTTCCTATCTAGCTGTAATTTTGTATCCTTTACAAAATCTCTTCCTAACTGCCCCCTTCCCCCTAGCCTTCCCAGCCTCTAGTATCCTCGAATCCACTTTTTACTTCTATGAGATTAACTTTATTTAGCTTCCATATATGAGTGAGAACATGTGGTGTTTCACTTTCTGTTGCTATCAGCCTGGGTTTTAAGAGGACAGAGGCTCAGGGATGTAGGTGGTTTCCTGTGAAGACTCCAATCCTTTGAATAGAATCCATGGAAGCATACTTGTGATGGCCTCGTGGCAGAAGATGATTAAAACTGAGTTACACACATGAGGATCAATAAACAAAGATGACTATGATGCTGGATCAGATTTCTGTGATGTTCTCTTTTGCAATCTGCCAAATTCTCTGCTCTTCAATAGTTTCTCTCATGGTCAAGGCAAGTGAATGAGACTTTCCTGGATAATAAGTTTAGTATTTTCTGAAAATGAGCTTGTCCCGATGATGGTCCCTGTGAAATGCCTCTCCTTGTGAGTCTGTTCTCTCATCACTAGTAGGAATGTCTAGGTTCTGTATCCAGCCTAAGAACCTCCAAAGGAACCTCCTGGAAATCTCACCTTGTAAGTTAACTTCTCAGCATCTAACTCCCATGTGTGCAGGGAGACCTGTACAAACCATTGCCATCTGAGGAAATGGCACCACTGCTCCTCAAGCCAGAAACTTGGGCATTACCCATGACAACTCCTTCCCCTCACCACCCACATCCGACCCATCAATGAGGCCAGTCAATTCGACCTAACAAATCCCTCTTGCATCCAGTCATTTCCTTCAGGCCCACTGCCATCACCCTGGTCCCTCCACTAAGCACTTTGGACATACCTTACTCTAGTTCATTTCCACTTTGTTTCTATCTCATATTTGTATGTAATTCTAATGTTTTCGGTATGTGTGTGATTGTGTCTTCTCCAGATTTCTTCTGGATCTTCCCAAGGTGCTCTACTGATCTGACAGAAAACACCCTTCAGAGTGCCCTGAGTGGCTGCCAGTCCACAGCTAGCCAGTCAGGAGAGGACGGCATGTGCTTGTGTCACTGTTGCCAGCCAAGGCGTCTGCTCAGGCCCTCTCTTTGCCTTCCTCAATAAAGAGCTATTTTACAACCTTTGTACTAAAGAGAGAAGAAAATAATCAGACTCCCTCTTTGAGAAGTGTTCTTTGAAAATGACTATCCATATAAGCAAGTAGTTTTAAAAAAAAACTCTTTCAAACATGTTTGTATCTTTGGCCTTTTGGAGGAAGATGGGGAGGGGAGACTGGGGAGGGAAGACTGGGGAGGGAATAGCTGACTGGCAAGGTTGTTCTCATCCCCACTGCTGGTGAGGCATTTGATTTCATAAGTATTAATCAGAATCACTCTTGATTATAGCAAAAACAACCTTTGCTATAATTTTAATGCAATTAACTAGAATATATGGTAATTCTGAGCAATCTTGCTCTTGAGATTAAAGAACAGCCTGCCAGGAAACATACGAATAAAGCTTTAAGATCAAAATTTGCATAATTAGGTTTCTTCCCTGCTCTGCCCACCCCAACCCCACCCTCTCTGGCTATGCTAAATTCTGCTTAAAGGAGATATTAAAAGTCAGCAAGCCTACTGCCTGGGCTTCCCTCCCAGGCTGGCATGTTCCTCTGTGAAAGCATGTTTATGTTCCGTGCAACACAGCTCTGATGGACTAACAGACAGCCAAAGACAGGCGGACGAATTACAGAGTGCACAGATTTTAAGCCATACTTCCAGAGGCTGGAGTAAACAAGTCACAATGCCTTCATGGTACTAAACTGCCAGGAAGCAGTCCGTACAAAAATGAGCCGGGCATTGTGGCATGTGCCTGTAATCCCAGCTTCTCAGGAGGCTGAAGCAGAAGAATTGCTTAGCCAGTGAGGCAGAGGTTGCAAATTTGTCATCCTGCTCTGTGGAGGTATCATACTAATCAATGCATCAAACCCCAGAACTACAGGTTTCATATTCAATGTTTTAATGCCTGGTCACAAAGGATGTCCTCATCACATATTCCTCCCTCCTCCCAGGCTCAGGAACTGCTGCCACCAGAAAGGCTCCACCTCCTACACCCCTCCTTTAACAGGGGCTGGGACAGCCAGAGCCACTGTCTCACCCCACTGCACTGCACCCCCCCATCCTAGCAGCCCCAGAATCCCTAACTCTCTTGGGAGAGTCCGCCTTGCTCCAGGAGGGAAGAAAAGGCAGCAAGCAGTTATTTTCCTGTATAAGGGACAAGCAGAACTGTGCACATACACTCCTGAGAAGAGGGGGAATGCGAGGAGTGACGGGAGCACTCGCACCCATCTGGCACGCTGGCTGAGGGCTGAGCATCTACAGGAACTAGCGAAACAATCCCTATGCCTCCCACACACAAAAGGATTTTTAACATTTAAAATTGTGGGAAATGTCGACAGTCCCATTTCCTTTTAAATAACTTATTCTTGGATGTGCAGTAAGGCTTGGGCCAAAAGGTTAATATTCCTTTATCAGAAGGCTTAGAAGACACAGAAATCATTTTTGCTATTTGCTGCTTTGAAAATGCAGAAAGGAGGAAAATGACAAGACAGGGGAACAGTTGGTCCTTTTTTTTACCTTCAACCTCAAGCTGTAACCCCACACCAGAGATTACTCACATAACTAAAAACAGGCTCTGACCTCTTGCTCAAGCACTCATATTTATATCCTCTATCTCTCAAAACCCCTGGAAAATATCAGAAAAGCAGCCTACAAGCAAATACATTCATGAAAGCACTAGAAACACGAGGCAGGTAGGGAGGGCATCCACAGATTCAGACTGAAGGTTGATAAGATTGGAATGACAGAAAAATCAAAGCTGGAGGAGCCGAACACCAGCAAATATTGGATATGGTGCAGAGGAACTGGAACTCATATACTGCTGGTAGGAGTAGAAAATGGTACAACCACTTTGGAAAACTCTAACTGTTTCTTAGAAAAAGTTAAACATCTTCACACCCCATGAGTCAGCAATCTCACTCCTAGGTTCCATCCAAGAGAAATGAAAACATATCCCCAAAAAGCCTTGGACACAAATATTCGCAGCAGCTTGATTTGTAATAGCTCTAAAGTGAAAATAACCCAAGTGTCCATCAATAGGAGAATAGATAAATAGAATAGATGCACATAATGGAAAACTGTTCAGCAGTGAAAAGGAATGCTGACACATACAGTACGGCTGAATCTTGAAAACATTATGCTGCATGAAAGAGCTAGAAACAAAAAAGGAAATAATCTATAGTTTCAATTCTATGAAATTCTAGAAGAGATAAAATTAACCTATGGTATAAAAATCAGATCAGGCTGGGCACAACGGCTCACCTGTCATCCCAGCACTTCAGGAGGCTGAGATAAGAGAATCACTTGAGCCCAGGAGTTCAAGACAAGCCTGGGCAATGTAGGGAGACCCTGTCTCTACAAAAAAGTTAAAAATCAGCCAGTCATGGTGGTACATGCCTATGGTCCCAGCTACTTGGGAGTCTGAGGTGGAAGGATTGCTGGAGCCCGGGAGGTCAAGGCTGCAGTGAGCTGTGATTGTGCCACTGTACTCTAGCCTGGGTGACAGAGTGAGACCCTGTCTCAAACAAAAACAAACAAAAAAACACTCATAAACAGATCAGTGGTTGCTGGGGGCAAGGTGGGGAAGTGCTATGAGGGAACATTCTGGGGGTGACAGAAAATGTTCTGTCTTGATATGCACTCATTGAAACTGACTGAACTTAAAGATCTTAATATGTTAGCATTTTACTGTATGTGAATTATACCTCATTAAAAAAATGTTTAGGAAACATACCAGAACTGAGCAACAAAATTTTAAAACACTACCAAAGATGACTACTGAAGATCTTAATATCAGAAAGTTTTCCTGTGTGTAAATTATACCTCAATATGTTAAAAAAAAAAAAAAACTTAAGAACTATACTAGATACGAGTGGAAAAATATTTAAAACACTACTGAAGGCTACTCTGGGCACACTGCCTATAAGGCAGCCCTGCTCTGCAAGGAGCAGTTAAAAAAAAAAAAATCCCCCACTACTGAAGAACACAAAAGAAGACTTGAGCAAATGAAAAGACACACTAGGTTGAGGATAAGGGGACCCAATATCAAAAAGACATCAATTCTCCCTCTGTTAATTTCTAAATAGGACAGTGTTTAAAATGCAAATAGGAACAAGGAAAGGTATGGGAAGGAGCAAAGCTCAGCAAACAGTAGAGGATGGGCCAGTGGCCTGAGCAGGCCTGGCACCAAGAAGCAGTCCCTGTTCAGTTGGCCCCAACCTGGTCACTCACCACCTACAGCTCCAGCATGCAGCCTTCCCCCTCCACCTGTGTCCACTCCCATCCTCCCAGCCAGCTCTCCATTGAGGAATATCACCGAGCATTACCAGACACTGGGAAAAAACCAGCAGCCTCTACTCATTTATCCAACAGCTGGTTACCGACGAGCATGAACAGGTGCCCAGCTCTCATTTCAGCCCTGAGAAACATCCTCGAATGAGGTGGCTGCAGCTGACGACCTCACAGAGCAGAGTTCTAGTGGGAGAGGTACATCCATGTAGTGGAATATAATCCAGCCACAAAAAGGAACAAAGACGCATTGATCCATGCTACAACCTGGATAAGCCTTGAAAACATGATGCTAAGTGAAACGAGTCAGTTGCAAAAAGCCACATACGGTATGAGTCCACTTACAAGAAATGTCCAGAATAGGCAAATCCATACAGACTAGAAGTAAATTCGTGGTTGCCCAGGGTTGTGAGGTGGGACAAATATGGAGTGACTGCTTAATAGATACAGGGTCTCTTTTTGCAGTGATGAAAGTGTTTCAGAGCTGGTGAGAGACGCACAGCCTTGTGAACGCACTAAATGCCATTGAATTGCACACTTTAAAATGGTCAATTGTATGGGATGTGAATTATATCTCAATTTTTTTAAAGCCATAAAAAATGAAAAGTCCATTTCAGGATCCTACATTCACAGGGAAGGTAGCATAAAGATGATTCTAGTGAGACACTGCAGGGAATCGGGTTGGAGTCTACCATCTAAAACTGAGGCTGGTCTGCATAACAGGAAGGGAGAAGAGGAATGAGAAGGAGCCAAGCACCCAGAGCATGAGATGGGGAAGAGATGAGTCACATGCCTGGCTCACTATAAATACACCTGGCCTCCAACCAGGGCCTGAGCCTGACTACCCAAACATGAAACAGGATGTACCTTCCAGGGACCAGGGTGCCCTGCTTGAACACAAGTTCTGAACCTGCTGCTGTGATTCAAGTTTCTGCAAATTCAATCCTATTTCCAATGACCTAAGGAGCTTTCATTTCAAAGGAAATCCTGCAGTGAATGCTTTTCATAGGGTTATAGAACCAGGAAGTTAGCATGGGACCATTTAGTCACCATAAACCAAAGACCTATGGAGTACCAGGTACTAGAGGAGACAGAAAGATTAGAAAACCAGAGTTCTTGGCCTCGGTCTAGTGGCAGAGACATTTAAACAAATGGGGCTATGAGAGCCTCACACGTGAGGTGCTACCTGATGCCAGCAGCAGCCACTAGCTCTGCCTGCAGGCTTTTAGGGAGTAGGTAGCATTGGAGCTAGGCTCAGAGACGTGAGCAGCCATTCTCTGGGAGCAGAGGGAGATGGCCTTCAGGCAGAGGAAACCTCCTGAGTCAGGTCTTAGTGGTTTAGTAGCCCATCATTCTCAGAATAGGAAGATGCTAGTGAGGAAGAAGGAATTGGGAGAGTGGGAACAGAGTGTGTGGCAAGGAACAGCCACAGGAAAAGAGGAAGGCAGGTGAGAAAGGCCAGTGGGAAGAGTTCAGAGGGGCTGCAGGAGTAAGAGGGTTCTGAGATGACCTACATGTGTCCCCTAGCCTACAGGCTAGAAGGATGGCACCATCCACCAAATGGGGGGCGGGGGCGGGGGCGGGGGAAGTATCGCAGGAGAGGGAGCCTTCAGGAGAAATGCCACACCCAGGTTTGCACCTGGCAGGCTTGAGGCCTCATTCTTCTGACTCCTCTACTGGCTTTGATGTCACTGGGCAACCTTCCTTGAAACACTTTGTCCTAAACCTCTGCAACATTTTCCTCCTCTGAATCTTGTCCTATCTCACTCATCACTCCTACTTGGTGGCCTTCACTGATCTGGCTCTGTCTAGCTCTTCAATTTCGGTGTTCCCCAGAAAGACAGAAATCTTTCATGTTCCCCCATTCTCCCAGACTGATTCCACCTGTTCCTATGATTTTAGTTTTTATTTTAGCTCCCCTCCACAAACTAGGTCCCCACACTCAGAGTGGCTCCCAAGCTCTGAACCCAGGCCTTCCTGCCAGGCATCTCTCTCTATCTGATCAATTACATTGAGATCTGTTTAAATACTTCAGTGTTTACTGCCACCTCTTTCCTCCCTTGGCCTCCCCTTTTCTGAGTACAACCCTCTTGCTTGGCTGTTTTATACTATTAAGTAGATGTCTCCAGGAGGGTTGCTGAGTGACATGTAATTCCTAAAGCATTATATTATTTAATTGAAATTTTTATTGAGATAATTACAGATTCACAGACAGGTATAAGAAATAATACAAAGAGATCCCTTGTACACTTAGCTCAGTTTACTTTACACAAATATCACACTATGCAAAATTATAGTGCACTATCACAATCAGGATGCTGACATTGATATAACCACACATCGTATTCAGAATTTCCCCAGTTTTACTTGCACTCATTTGTGCGTGTTCATTAAGTTCTATACAACTTTTCACATGAGTGAGTCATGTAACCACCACCATAGTCAAGATAAAGAACAAGTTTAATCCCCATAAGGATCCCCTGTACTGCCCTTTTATAAGAGTACCTACCTCTCTCCCACCTCCTCTTTCCCCCACACCTGTCCCTAACCCCTGAAAACCACTACTCTGTTCTCCATCTCTATAATAGTGTTACTCCAAGAATGTCACATTAGAATCATGCAGTATGTGTTTGATATGGTTTGGCTGTGTCCCCACCCAAATCTCATCTTGAATTCCCATGTGATGTGGGAGGGACCTGGTGGGAGGTAACTGAATCATTGGGGCAGGTCTTTTCTGTGCTGTTCTCATGATGGTGAGTAAGTCTCACAAGATCTGACAGTTTTATGAGAAAGAGTTTCCCTGCACAAGCTCTCTCTTTGCCTGCCACCATCCATGTAAGATGTGACTTGCTCCTCCTTGCCTTCTGCCCTGATGTGAGGCCTCTCCAGCCACGTGGAATTGTAAGTCCATTAAACCTCTTTCTTTTGTAAATTGCCCAGTCTCAGGTATGTCTTTATCAGCAGCATGAAAACAGACTAATACAGAATTCTTCTAAGACTGCCTTTGTTCATGTCGCATGATGCATTTGAGATCCATCCAGGTTGTTGTGGTGTCAATAGTTTGTTCTTTTTTATTACTGAGTTGTATTCCATGGTATGAGACATGTGGGCTGATTCCAGTGTTTGGCAATTAGGAATAAAGCTGTTATGAACATGTGTGTACAGGAAGCCTTACATTTTTCAGAATGCTTTTGTGTTGCCTCTCCATGAGAATGACAACTTAGATCACACACTTTTGCCCTCTAAGTTAGTAGAGGCATTACCCCAATTTCTTCTGGCATCAAATATTGTCACGAAGAAGGGTGAAGTGAACCTGAGTTCTTTTCTTCTAATAGGTGATTTGCTCCTTCTGCCTAGTTTCTTTTAAAAATGTTCACCAAAAGAGATCACCTCACTAACTTAATCAAGGAAAAAAAGGGCTGACATAAATTAGGAATGAGAAAATAGTAACTACTAATACAAAACAAATCAAAATAATGGTAAGACAAAGCTTTATACAGCTCCATTCTCATGAATGGGAAAAATCTAGCTTTATTTATTGATTACCTCTTTCATTTATTTGACAAATATCTACCAACACCTAGCATGTGCCTTATCCTGTTCTAGGTCCTGGGAATATAACAGTGAACAAAACAGATTTTTTAAATCCTGCCTTTATGAAACTTATATTCAACTAGATGAAATGGTTATCATCATAGAAATACACACATTTTCAAAATTTAGTCAGGAAGAAAGACAAAAATCTAAACAGAGAAAATGCCACGGGGAAGAACAGGAAAGTTGTCTTTGAATTACCTCTTTAAAAGAATCAACCTAGGCTCAGTCCACAAAAGAATTATGTCAGTCCTCAAAAGACAGATAATTTCTCTCCTGTTCCAATTTTCCAGAGCAGAGAAATAAGAAAAACTGCCCATTTCTTTTAGTAACAGCTGGAAAAGGTAGTACAGAAAAACTATACTACAGTCTAATCTCACTTTTAAATACTGATATAAAAATCATATCTAGGTCAGGCATGGTGGCTCATGCCTATATTCCCAGTACTTTGGGAGGCCAATGCAGGAGGACTGCTTGAGCCCAAGTGATCGAAACCAGCATGGACAACATAGCGAGACCCTGTCTCTTAATAAAAAAAAAAAAAAAAGAAAGAAAGAAACAAAAAAGTCATAAATATACAGAAAAACTATTGATAGAATTTACTACATTAACAGGTTAAATAGAAGCAGAGAGACCTTGGGAGACACCAAAGGACCACTTGATAAAATTTGGCATCCAATTCTGATTTTTTAAAAAGACAAATCCTTAGTAAAAATAGGAGTCAGGATTTATCCTTAATGTGATAAAAATACATATCACAAACTAAAGTCAAGAACAAGCAAAGAGACTATTAGCACCACTATTATTTAATAGCCAGTAGAATCAGATAAGAGAACCAGATAAGTGATTATAAAGGGAAAAATATTGGAAGAGGAAAGTCATCACTATTTGCAGATAATATGGTTATATACCTGGAAATGCCAACAGAATCAAGAGCAAAACTAGGAAAGGCCAGGCATGGTGGCTCATACCTGTAAGCCCAGCACTTTGAAAGACTGAGGCAGGAGGATTGCTTGAGGCCAGGAGTTTAAGACCAGCTTGGGCATAACAAGAGCCCGTTTCTACATAAAATTTAAAAATTAGCCAGGTGTGGTGGCATGTGCCTGTAGTCCCAGCTACTCAGGAGGCTACGGCAGAAGAACTGCTTGAGGCCAGGAGTTTGAGGCTGCAGTGAGCTGTGATCGCACCACTGCATTCCAGCCTGGGCAACAGTGAGTCCACGTCTCAAAAAAAGAAAACAACACTAAAAATACACAAAACAATAAAACTAGGAGAAATAAAAATAAAAAGATTGTTAGGTAAAGTGGCTAACGAAGAATGCTAGGCACTCCAGGCTGGGTAACAGAGTAAGACCTTATCTCAAACACATACACACACACACACACACACACACACACACACACACACACACACACCAGTAGCTTTCTCAGACACCAACAATCCTCACTTAGAGAACATAGTAGGGGGCCAGGTGCAGTGGCTCACGCTTGTAATCCCAGCACTTTGGGAGGCTGAGGCAGGCAGATCACCTGAGGTCAAGAGTTCAAGACCAGCCTGGCCAACATGGTGAAACCCTGTCTCTACTAAAAATACAAAAATTAGCTGGGCATGGTGGCACATGCCTGTAATCCCAGCTACTCAGGAGGCTGAGACAGGATAATCACTTGAACCCGGGAGGCGGAGGCTGCAGTGAGCCAAGATCATACCACTGCACTCCAGCCTGGGCAACAAGGGCAAAACTCTGTCTAAAAAAAAAAAAAGGGAAAGAAAACACCATGGGGGAAAAATGTCCCATTCACAACAGGAATATATACTACAGAGCACTTGAGAATAAGTCTGACAAGCAATGTGAAAAATAAACTTGAAAAAAGTCATAAAACACAAAGACAACAGAACTAAATATAGAGAGACCTTGAATTTGAATAGGAAAACTTAATACTACTAAAAAAAAAAAAGAAGGAAAGAAAAGAAAAAAAAAAGGAAAAAAATGTTGATTTTCCTAAGACTCTCACCTAGTCAATGCAAGTGCAATCGGAATCCCAACGGACTTTTTTTAAAAACTTGACTCTAAAGTATATGTGAATAAAATGCATGGGAAGATAAATTTCAAAACAAGAGTAATTTTTTAAAGGCCTGCCCCTATCAGATTCTAAAATTTCTGCAATTTATTAATCAAAGCAACATTTAAATACATTTTTTAAATTGCAGTACACATATGACCCAGCTCATCATTAACTGTTTACATTCAATGCTTGACCCCAATATCAATTCAAAGGTCATTGGGGTCCATTATTTGGATATCACTAATGTAGACATTTCCTGCTACCAACTCTAAATAAGCAGTTCTATGCCACATTGCTACCATTGCCTGCTCTCTATCAAGCTAATTTAAGGACTTTCTTATATACATTCTCCCAAATAACAACTCTACAGCAAGGAGTGAGGTCACCCCTTCCTTCCAATTCCACTCATCAGAGAGGTCACTGGTATCAATGATTTGGGACCTGCTACTTCAATAATCAACCTAAAAAATACAGGTACCCTGGTGGCCGTAGAGAAACCTTCCAGTAGACAAGAGGGGAAGATGACAGAAGTCACACTCCAGTTTGACTGAGAATTGAAGGCAGATGAGGTAGAAAGGTAGGGAGTGGAGACCTAAAGGAGAAAGGAGATAAGATACTAGCTTATTAAAAGGGAGGCAGAGGAAAGAGAGATGTTGAAGGATGAAGGAAAACTTTAGCTTTTTAGGTGAGTGGAAAGAATTAAGAAAAGGGAGAAGGTGGCAATTGAAAACATAGAGCAGAAGTGTTGAATTTGACCAATAAGGTCCCTGCTCTCAAGTAGGAAGATGCATTTATAAAGGAATGATATACCATGAAGTACCTGGCAACAGATAAATCTAACAAGAAACATGAAGGACTCACCGTGATTCAGGGTATGGCCAGGGCCTCCTGGTTCCAGGTTTAGTGCCCTTTGCCTTAAACAGAATTTTACTCCAGAACACATGATCTAATGAGCACATAAAAGGATGCCCAAGCCAGGTGTGGTGGCTCACACTTGTAATCCCAGCACTTTGGGGGCCAAGGCAGAAGGATCAATTGAGCCTAGGAGTTCAAGACCAGCCTGGGCAACATGGCGAAACCCTGTCTCTACAAAAACTAAAAAAAAAAAAAAAAAAAAAAAAAAAAGCTCGGCATGGTGGTACACACCTGTAGCCCCAGCTAATCAGGAGGCTAAGGTGGGAAGATTGGTTGAGCCTGGGAGGCAGAGGCTGCAGTGAGCCTTGTTGGTGCCACTGCACTCCAGCCTGGGTGACAGAGCAACACCCTGTCTCCAAAAAAAAAAAAAAAAAAAAAAAGACACCCAACTTCATTAGTCACTAGGGAAATGCAAATCAAACCCAAACCCATCATGAGTTACCACTTCACACTTACCAGGATGACTAAAATAAAAATGAAACAGAAAATAACAAGTGTTGGCAAGGACATAGAGAAACTGGAACCTTCCTACACTGCTGGTGGGATTGTAAAATGACACAGCAACTTTGTAAAATAGTCTGACAGTTCCTTACAAAGTTAAACATAGCATTACCATATGACTTCACAACTCCACCCAAGAGAATTAAAAACATAAGTCCACACAAACACCTGTACATAACTGTTCACAGCAGCACCATTCATAGCAGCTGCAAAGCAGAAACAACCTGAATGTTCATCAGCTGGGGAACAGATAAACACCATGTGGTCTACCCATAAAATGGAATACTATTTGACCATAAAAAGGAATGAATATCTGATCCATGCTACAACGTGGATGGACCTTGACAATATCACGCTAAGTAAAAGAAGCCAGACACAAAAGGCCAGATATTATATCATTCCATTTATATGAATGCCCAGAATAGGGAAATCCATAGAGGCTGAAAGCAGATTAGTAGCTGCTGAGGGCCAGGGGGAAGGTGGGAAATGGGAGGGGCTGGTAAGGGGTTTCTTTTTAGGGTAATAAAATGTTCTAAAATTAGATAATGAGAGTGATGGTTGCACAGTTTTGAATACACTAGAAACCACCGAGCTGTGTATTTTAACAGGTAAATCGTATGGTGTGTGAAAGAAAATGGAACTGTTTTAACATGTGGGAGGAGAAAGGAAATTAATCCTCTACACAAAAAAGCCTTCTGTAGTTTAGAGGCAGTGGATATAAAGGACGCATCTGTGACTTGGGGCAAGTCTCTTTGTGACTTTCTACCACTATTTTCTCTTCTAAAAAGAAGATTGGGGCCTTCCAAGAAACCCACCCTCACTCTCTAGTTACCTCTCTGAATTTCCTGTCTCCTAGGTTCTGTCATGGTTGTTCTTAGAATCTTGTCAGTACTTCAATGTACTTCAATGCTTGAGGGCTGCAGTCACCTGGCTGTTGACCTGCTTCCTGAGGCTGTCCTCTCCTGACTTCCAGTACCCTTCCTCCTAGCGAGAGGGAGCTAGAGCGAGTGAGAGGGAGCTGCCTGGCTGTGGCTGGGTTCTCTCTTCACCCCAAGTCATCCTGCCCTTGGTCCCTTGACCTCCTTCCTCCTCTCCAGTGTCCTTCATGCTCTCATTTCACTTCATCCCACACTGGACAAGAAACTGTCCCGCCTTGGAAATCCCACTCTGTGGCCTTGGCTCTATCTTCCCACTCGTGGCCCAACCTATACCCCAGCAGGCCTGCAGAGCCTGCCAGGCCACCCTCAGGAATCCTTTCTGGTCCTCCTCAAACCTTCAATGGGCTCTACCTCCTTTGCCACCTGGCACAGTCCCAGCTAGGTCATCGCAGAGATTGTAGCCAGAGCCAGCAATACCTGTCACAATGCTCTGCCCCTGCCCTGCCAATCCTCAACTTTGAAAAGAGAACCCACTCTCCCAACCCCACTGGACCAGGAGCTCCTTGAAACACAGTCAGTGCCCGCATCACCATTGGTCCAGCACCAAGCAAGATGCCTGGTGCATACACAGCACTCAATTAACAGTTCTTGGAGGGAACTGACCAGGAATGGTGATCTCGCCACCAGCCAGCCTTGCTGTATTCTGGGGTGGTGCCACATTGCAGGAGAAAGTCTTGTATCACTGTCCTGATTAGCACCGGCACAGGTGCCAGCTCAGGGTGTTTGAGTCAAGCCAGGCCCTTGGGGTACCTTGGCAATCCACATTTCCTTAATTGGCTCCCTTTGTACCTGACAGTACTCTTTCCAATTTTTTTTTTTTTTTTTTTTGAGACGGCGTCTCGCTCTGTTGCCCAGGCTGGAGTGCAATGGCATGATCTCAGCTCACTGCAACCTCCGCCTCCCGGGTTCAAGCGATTCTCCTGCCTCAGCCTCCTGAGTAGCTGGGACTACAGGCGCCCGCCAACACGCCCAGCTAATTTTTATACTTTTAATAGAGACGGGGTTTCACCATGTTGGCCAGGATGGTCTCGATCTCTTGACCTTGTGATCCGCCCGCCTCGGTCTCCCAAAGTGCTGGGATTACAGGCGTGAGCCACCGCGCCCGGACTACTCTTTCCAATCTTAACTCTCTACCTGGCTCCTCATATACTCAGCACAAGACCTTGTTTCCTCCTCCAGGGAAAAGACCAAGGCCATTAGGCAGGATGGCTCCACGTGCCCTTCAGCCATCCCATGTGTACGTGTAATAAGAGTGACAAGAGTTAACATTAACTGAGCACCAAGGTTTAGACTCTCTCTCTCCTGCCTCTCCCTCCCACCCTGTAACTAGAAATAATGTTCATCCAAATATTATGTACAAAGATATTTAATGAAATGTCATTTATAACAGCAAAGACCTAGAGTCAACCTAAATATTCATCAAAAATTATATTCAGGCTGGACGCAGTGGCTCACGCCTGTAATCCTAGCACTTTGGGAGGCCAAGGGAGGCTGATCACTTGAGGTCAGGAGTTCGAGACCAGCCTGGCCAACATGGTGAAACCCCATCTCTACTAAAAATACTAAAAATTAGCCAGAAATCACTTGAACCCGGGAGGCGGAAGTTGCAGTCAGCCAAGACTATGGCACTGCACTCCAGACTGGGCAACAAGAGCCAGACTCCACCTCAAAAAATAAAAAAAAATTATATTCAAAACATGTTTTAACTATAATACATAAGATACTCTCACAATATAATTTGTGCTTCTAGTAATGGCAAAATAGATTATTTGGACCAATCTTCCCATTACAAACAACTAAAATGGTTGATTCTAAAATATCATTTTAAAACATTTAGAAGTGTTGAAGAACTGACAAGTTGGTAAAAAAAACAACCATGAGAGGCCGGGCATGGTGGCTCATGCCTGTAATCCTAGCACTTTGGGAGGCTGAGGTGGGCGGATCACCTGAGGTCAGGAGTTCGAGACCAGCCTGACCAACATGGCGAAACCCGTCCCTACTAAAAATACAAAATTAGCTGGGCGTGGTGGTGCATGCCTGTAATCCCAGCTACTCGGGAGGCTGAGGCAGGAAAATCACTTGAAGCCGGGAGAATCGCTTGAAGCCGGGAGGCGGAGGTTGCAGTGAACCAAGATCACGCCATTGCACTCCAGCCTGGGCAACAAGAGCAAAACTCCATCTCAAAAACAAAAACAAAAACAAAACAAACAAACAAAAAAAACCATGACAACCCATAAAAGACAGTGGAAAATCCAGGGAGGTAGGAGTCCATGCACATGCAGCCACAGGCTCTGAGGACATCTGCCAATCTGGACAAATTTTGACTTTGGTTTTGACAATCTTCCAAGGCAGGCAAAGGGGGCTGAAGAGCAGGCCCATGACCATTAAAGGAATGTAACAGAAAATTCTTCTCATATTAAGCTGGGACCCCAACGTGTTACACCCTTGGGGCAAGGGCGACTCAGAAACAAATATGCCCCTCCCAAATTCCACCCCCAGAGGATTGCAAGAAAGGCTGCCTTGATGATGGCAAAACAAAGCGAAAATGGTAGAAACTTTAAGGTAGTCCCAGACTAATCACACAAGGCACCTGACAA
This sequence comes from Homo sapiens, assembly GCF_000001405.40. Classification (NCBI taxonomy): domain Eukaryota; kingdom Metazoa; phylum Chordata; class Mammalia; order Primates; family Hominidae; genus Homo; species Homo sapiens. The sequence goes on from NC_000023.11 coordinate 150,883,605, forward strand.
AAACCAAACATAAATTCTTCTCTGGAAGAAGGCAAATTTACCCTAGACTTCAAAGATTCCCCAGATATATATTTCAGTTACAATAAGCAGTACACAGCCAAAAAAATAAATAAATAAGTAAACCACCAAGCACACGAGGAAATAAAGAATCATGAGTGAGTATTAGTAGAAAAAGAATAAACAGGAAAATGAGCCAAAGACAACCAGGCAATTCATAAAAGAGGAAACCAAACTGGAAGATAAACATAGGAAAAGATGTTCAACCTCATTAGTAACCAGAAAGATGCAAACGAAACCATTACAATATTATAAAAAGCCCCAGTAGGCTAAATATCATAGTCAAGTCTGACAATACCAAGCGCTGGTGAGGCTGGCACAACAACTTTTTTACACTGCTGGTAGGAATATAAATTGGTACAACCATTTTGGAAGACAGTTTAGTACCACCTCATAAAACTCAAGTTCCAAATACTGCATAACTCAGGAAATTCACTTCTAGGTATAACCCTAGAGAAGCAATTTTCAAACTTTTTGGCCTGAAAGATTTTAAATATACTCAAAATTATTGAGGACCTCAAAGAGCTTTTATTTGTATCAGTGACTGCTATTGATATTTATCATATTAGAAATTAAAACAGGCATTTTTAAACCATATGACACAAGCACACACTCCATTAGCCATCAGGGTGATGATACTGCATGTCACATAGCCTCTAAAAAACGCCACTGCATACTCGTGAGAGGAGAATGGGAAAGGCAGTTAACATCCTAGGATTAATATATAAGTAGTTGGGCTGGGCACAATGTCTGACACCTGTAATCCCTGCAGTTTGGGAAGCTGAGGTGGGTGGATTGCTTGAGCTTGGGGTTCAAGACTAGCCTGGGTAACATGGTGTAACCCCATCTCTACCAAAAATACAAAAAATTAGCCAGGCATGCTGGCATGCACCTGTGGTCCCAGTGACTGGGGAGGCTGAGGGGGGAGGATCAATCACTTGAGCCCGGGAAGTGGAGGTTGCAGTGAGCTGAGAATGCACCACTGCACTCCAGCCTGGGCAGCAGAGTGAGATCCCATCTCAATCAACCAATTAATCAATCAATAAATGTAGGTGGACCTTGTAGACCCCCTGAAGAAGTCTCATAGGCCCCCACAAGGGTCCTCAGAGCACAGTGTGAGAACCTCTGCCCTAGAGAAACTTTTGCACATCTGCCTAAGAATGCTCCTGGCAGCACTACTTAAAATGGCCCCAAACTGGAAATTATCCAAATGTTCATTAATAAGAGAATGAATTAAAAAACAACTTGTGATATAGTCAAACAGTGGAATAACATATAGCAACGAAAACAAATGAACTACAGTGACACACAACAGATCGACAATAATGTTGGGGGAAAGACAAAACAGATTACACATGGTGTGATCCCATTTCTACAAGGTTAGAAGACAGGTAAAACAAAACTATATGATTTATGGCTGCATACATAGGTGGCAGAGTATAAAGTAAAGGGAGAAAATGACCGCACAAAAGTCGGTAGTGTCTACCTCTACAGGGAGGGAGGGGGCTGTGACTGGGAGGGGCACACAGGGGTCTGTACAAGTGTTGTCAACATTCTATTTCTCGACCTGGTCGGTGGTGACACAGGTTTTCATTTTATACATTTTTGTTAAACTTTACATATATGGCTGAGACAGGAATATTGCTTGAGGCCAGGAATTCAGACAAGCCTGGGAAACACAGTGAGACTCCACTTCTACAAAAAAACAACAACAACAAAAAAACAACAACAACAACAACAAAAACTTTACATATAGGCTTTTCATGTTTTTCTATATCTGTTATATTTCACAATACAGGTGAAAACTATATACAGTTTGATGCCAATAATGTGAAATACATATTTCAGCATGGAAAAAATTATTGGCATACTGTATTCTAACATGCTAACAGTGGTTATCCCTAGGTAACGAGGTTTGTGTCTTCTCTACACTTCTCCACATTTCCCACGTTTACTACGAAGAGTATGTATTACTCTTGTAATTGTGTACACATTTGGTATGTCAGACTTTATTACAATTTTTAGTCTACCGGAGGGTATATAATGTTATCTTATTATAGTTTAATTTGCATCTCTCCGATTACTAATGAGGCTGATCATCTTTTTATATGTTTATTGTGCAATTTGATTTCTACCTATATGAATTGCCTGGTCAAATTTTTGGCTCATTTTGCTGTTTATTCTTTTTCACTGGTTCGCAGAAAATCATTAAATGCATTAAAAAAGACAAGGTCACCATCTAAAATGGAAACTAATAAGGGTGAACATAAAAGAGATGAGACGAGCCATCTGTGGAAATCTATGCAGAAAATAACTAACTACACAGATTGGTGATGCATATGGTCTCACTAGGGTGACCTGAAAGCTCATCAAGGAGTCTAAGGTATGTTCCTAGAGTTGCCTGAGCTTAGAACTTGCCCTGTAGAGAAGAAAAAAATAGAACTGTCTGAGCTGATACCAATGCACAAGACTGGCTGAGACCTGACTTATTCCAACATGTCTGTCCTGGGCAATGTGACGATGGCAGAAAACTTTAGTGACTCGTGAACAATACTGAAAACAGAGCGATATTTCAAAGAATATATAGTCATGTGGCCACATAGCAATATATTTCAGCCAAATGATGGGCTGCATATACGATGGTGGTACCATAAGATTGTAACTGGGACCCTAGTTATTCTTATCACTTAGTGACATGGTAGCCATCATAACATGGTAGCACAACACATTACCTTTTCTATGTTTAGATGCATGAATGCTTGCCTTTGTATTACAACTGCCTACAGTATTCAGTACAGTCACATTGCTGTACAGGTTTGTAGCCTAGGGGCATGTAGTAGGCTATACCATCTATGCTTACGTAAGTACACTCCATGACGTTCACACAATGAGATCACATGACATTTCTCAGAACATCTCTCCATTGTTAAGCAAGGCATGGCTGTATCCGTCTTTACAGTCGTGGTTCTCAACAAGGGGTGATTCGCCACCCCCCACCCCCTAGGGGACACTCGGCAATGTCTGGAGTTATTTTTGGTTGACAAGACTAGGGAGGGGTGTACTACCCGCATCTAGTGGGCAGAAGCCAAGGATGCTGCTAAACATCCTCCAACACACAGGACACCCACCCGCCTTATCCCTTGCAGAACAATTATCTGGTCCAAAGGTCAGCAGTGCCATGGTTGAAAAACTCTGCTCAATAGTCTATCTAGGAGAGTGCTCAGGCCAAGCACCATGGCTCATGCTTGTAATCCCAACACTTTGAGAGGCTGAGGCGGGAGGATCACTTGAGCCCAGGAGTTTGAGATTCTGTCTCTACAAATAAATTAAAAAATTAGTTGGGTATGGTATCACATGTTTGTGGTCCCAGCTATGTGGGAGGCTGACGTGGGAAGATCCCCTGAGCCCAGGGCTTGAGGCAGCATTGAGCCATGATGGTGCCACCGCACTCTAACTTAGGTGACAGAGTGAGACTCTGTCAAAAAAAAAAAAAAACAATGAAGGCCAGGTGTGGTGGCTCACGCCTGTGATCCCACCACTTTGGGAGGCCAAGGTGGGTGGATCAACTGAGGTCAGGAGTTGGAGATCAGCCTGGCCAATATGGTGAAACCGTGTCTCTACTATTAATACAAAAATTAGCCAGGCATGGTGGCGCATGCCTGTAATCGCAGCTACTCAGGAGGCTGAGGCAGGAGAATTGCTTGAGCCCGGGAGGCGGAGGTTGCAGCGAGCTGAGAGTGCGCCACTGCACTTCAGCCTGGGTGACAAGAGCAAAACTCCGTCTCCAGAAATAAATAAATAAATAAATAAATAAATAAATAAATAAAATAAAAAAATAAAGCTCAACCCCCAGGGACTCTTCTTCCAGGTGAAGAAGGGCAAATCCCCAGGCTGCCCCACCTTGAGGGTTAATCCAAACTCCTTGAGACCTACACTCAGCAAGCTCCTCCAAGGCTACACAGTAGGCACTGTGCTGTCAGAAGGAGGCCTCCCTCACGGAGAAAGCCTGTACAAATAAGATCACTTGGAGCCCACAGAACATCAGTGCTGAAGGGCTCTCAGAATCAGCTGATCCATCCCCCGCTCAGAGAGAGAGAACCCGACCGCTGAGGACAGCAGCATGGCGTCACAGGAAGGAACAGAAAATGAAGAGGCACACACGGAGCTAGGCTACTAACTGGACACTAACAAATATACCTCATGGTGATTATTTCATAAAGAACTAGAGAGGTGAGAGAAGTCGCCATCACAATAGAGCTACAAGTAGTTACTCCCAGCTAGGAGAACTGGGATACGCTCCAGGGAGGGAGCAATATTTCAGCAGGACCCAGAAATGTGAGATTTGTGCGGCAGTTTTAAATGATGGCTAAGAATTCTTTGACACTCTTCCCTTAAGAGGTAGGATATATGTTCTCACTTTGAATCCAGACTACCCTCAACTGACTCATAACCTATGGAATTCAATGAAAGTCACGCTGGTAACTTCTGGGGCCAAGTCATAAAAGACCATGATCTAGGCATATATCCCAAAGAACTGAAAACAGTTGTTCAAACAAAGACTTGTGCACAAATGTCCACAGCAGCACTACTCACAATAGCCAAAGGGTGGAAACAACCCAAATGTCCATCAGCTGATGGCTGGACAAGCAAAACATGGTCTACCCGTACAATAGAATACTATTCAACCATAAGAAGAAATGGAGTACTGATCCACGCTACAACAGGCAGGAACTCAGAAAATATCATGCTAAGTGAAATAAGCCAGTCACAAAAGGACAAATACTACCTGATTCCGTTGCTATGAAATGTCCAGAATGGGCAAATCCAGATAGGAAGCAGATGAGCCAGTGCCAGGGGTTAGGGGAGGGGGAATGATGATGATCACACAAAAAAAGTATTTAATGCCACTGAACTGTGTGCCTTAAAATGGTTAAAATGGTAAATGTTATGTGTATTTTACCACAATTTTTAAAAGGTTTCTAAGCCCATCTGTTTTCTACCTTGTCTACTGGAATGTTCATGCTTAGAACCTGAAGGGGCTATGTAAGAAGTTCAAATACAGTTGCCTTGCTATAAGGAAGCTCAAACCAGAGAGGCCACATTTGGGTGTTCCAGTGGACAGCCCCAGCTAAGCCCATCCTTTATGACATGTGAGTAAAAAAAAACCTCCAGATGATTCTAGCCCCCAGCCATTTGAGTCCTCCTAGCTGAGGTCCTAGATACAGTAGAGCAGAGACAGCCATCCTTGCTGCATTATCCTAATTCCCAACCTATGGAGTCTAAGAGCATAGTAAACAGTTGTTTCAAGCCACTAATGTGTGGAGGTTCATTATGCAGCAATAGGCGACAGCAACGGCCTTCAACCTGGGAGAAAGGGGGCAAGTGTCCTCTTGGCAGATAGCACTACAGCAATAATGGAATCCTTGTGTGTCTTTTAAGATACATGTGACTATGTATAGTTGCTTCCAGGTCTGTCTGGACTTTAATCTCCTTGAGGGCAGGTGCATGTTTTACCCTGCTCTGTTTCACCCACAGTGCCCCCACACGGGTCCTGGCTGCTCATTCAGGATAAGGCCTGCTGCCTGCCATCTGCCCTTCAGATCCACTCTCTGTGTCCCAGGCCACTGACCGGTATGAGCTTCATCAAAGGGCTTCTTTGTCCTCTGGCCTCCCTGGGGTTAGCCCATGGGTTTCCTTAGTATCTCAAGTGCCATTCACATCTCAGTTTTTTTTCCCCCACATTGCCCTTAGGCTGAAAGAAATACCCAATATAGTTCCACCATCCCAGGCTAGTTGAAGCAGCAATAAAAAAAAAAAAACAAAAGTAGAAGGTCAAAATGAGCCCCGGCTGTGCCTGGGCACTATTTTGGTGGAAATAAATTCCACACTGCAGTAATACTTCCTGTGGAGAGTATCACCTCTAATTTAGAAAATAATCCCAAATACAACCACCTAACAATGACAGCTAGATGTTTTCTAGCTTCTCCTCTACACAGATGTTCACTGAACAGGGGTGTCATATCTATAGGATTCAACTACAGCAGTTTTCAAAGATATTTCTGCTGTAAAGCAGCAGAACGTTCTGACATCTTGTGAGAAGCCCGAGGTAGAAAACTAATAAAAACAAAGCTCAAAACTGGTTGAAGTGGAGTTGTTCTGCCTATGGAGTAGCCATTCTTTCATTCTTTTACTTTCTTAATAAACTTGCTAGCCGGGCGCGGTGGCTCACGCCTGTAATCCCAGCACTTTGGGAGGCCGAGGCGGGCGGATCACAAGGTCAGGAGATCGAGACCATCCTGGCTAACACGGTGAAACCCCGTCTCTACTAAAAATACAAAAAAATTAGCTGGGCGTGGAGGTGGGCGCCTGTAGTCCCAGCTACTCGGGAGGCTGAGGCAGGAGAATGGCATGAACCCGGGAGGCGGAGTTTGCAGTGAGCCGAGATCGCACCACTGCACTCCAGACTGGGCGAGAGCGAGACTCCGTCTCAAAATAAATAAATAAATAAATAAATAAATAAATAAACTTGCTTTCAGGCTGGGCACAGTGGCTCACGCCTGTAATCCCAGCACTTTGTGAGGCCATGACAGGTGGATCACCTGAGGTCAGGAGTTCAAGACCAGCCTGGCCAACATGGTGAAACCCCGTCTCTACTGAAAATACAAAAATTAGCTGGGCGAGGTGGCAGGCGCCTGTAATCCCGGCTCCTCAGGAGGCTGAGGCAGGAGAATCATTTGAACCCGGGAGGCGGAGGTTGCAGTGAGTCGAGATTGCGCCATTGCACTCCAGCCTGGGTGACAAGAGCAAAACTCTGTCTCAAAAAATAATAATATAAATAAAATAAAAATAAACTTGCTTTCAAAAAACAAACCAACAAACAAAAAACAACACTGGTTGAAGTGGGAGTGGGGGATTCAGGTGCACCCATTCCTGTCTGGTCCTCTCCCCACACCCCCGCCCCCACCTTGAGAGAGAGGGAATGGACACAATTAGCTGAAGCCACAGCACTGGTAAGGGCAGCCAGGAGAAAGGCAGGCTGGCAGCACACTCCTCCTCGTCCTCAGCGAAGGGGCAAGTGCGGCCTGCACAAATCAGAAACCCTCTGTCTGCTGGCCCCAGGCTGCATCCTGCTTCAAGTGCGGCCATCAGGACTGGAGGAGAAGGGTGGGAAAGGCCTCTGGAGACAGCCAGTGGCCCCCACTGCAGGTGGCCTGCAACATGGGCCATGCTCCAAAGCAGAAGTGCAGGCTCCCATCCCCTTGTAAAGCAGTTTGGAATCAAATGCAAGCGCCAGAAATCCAGCTACCTTCCTGGGCCCTCAGATATGCTTCTAAACATTCATTGCTGCACCAAAAACATCATTACAACCCAATTTTCTGCACATTTATTTTAAAATGCTGAACTTAGAGCATTCTAGGGATTGATTTTAAAATGGTAAAACTGAAACAATGTAAGGAAATATCACATACTAGTTTTCCAAACAAGGAAGAGGATGCTAGTATCTAACTCTTAGCTTCTTACTAGCATCCTGTTTTGGCTATAACAAAATATACTGTATTCAACAGTTTAAAACAATACCCATTTATTATCTCACAGTTCTAGAGATAAAAGTCCAACCCAGGTCTCATTGGGCTAAACTCAAGGTGTGGGCAGGGCTGTGTTCCTTCTGGAGGCTTTAGAGAAAAATCTGTTCCCTGTCTTTTCCAGCTTCTAGAGGCTGTGTGGTCCTTGGTTCCTGGCCCCTTGCTCCATCTTCAAAGCCAGCAATGGCCAGGCGAGTCCTTCCCATATGACATGGCTCTAATCCCCGACTCTTCTACCTCCCTCTTCTGTATTTAAAGGACCCGGGTGATTACATTGGGTCCACCTGGATAATCCAGGATAATAATATTTTAAGGTCAGCAGATTGGCGGCCTGAATTCCATCGGCTACCTTACTGAATTTCCCTTGCCATGGAGCCTAACATATTCACAGGTTCCAGAGATCAGGACGTGGATGTCTTTGGGGGCTCATTATTATTCTTTCTACCACAGCCTCCCACCCCACTCCATGTGGAACATGTGCCTACATGAAAGATTTTCCAGCCCGTTCTTGATAGGTGTCTACGATGACGTTAAGCTTTTGCATGCAAACCAACATTCACCAGTCATGGACCTAGCCTCAGGGAGGGTCCAGTCTGGATTGGGGGACAGGAACCCCTTGAGCCAGTCCTCCCAGGCACCCAAGAGCAGAAGAGGAATAACATGCAAAGTACAAAACCTAAGAGTGAGCCAGGCGTGGTGGCTCACTTTGGGAGCTGGGTAATCCCAGCACTTTGGGAGGCTGAGGCAGGTGGATCACCTGAGGTCGAGAGTTGGAGACCAGCCTGACCAACATGGAGAAACCCCATCTCTACTAAAAATACAAAAAATTAGCCGGGTGTGGTGGCACATGCCTGTAGTTCCAGCTACTCGGGAGGCTGAGGCAGGAGAATTGCTTGAACCCAGGAGGCAGAGGTTGCAGTGAGCCAAGATCGCGCCATTGCACTCCAGCCTGGGCAACAAGACTGAAACTCCATCTCGAAGGAAAAAAATAATAAAAATAAATAAATAAATAAACCCACCTAAGAGTGAACACACAGCAGAAAAAGCAAAACACCAGGTGGGGAAAAGAACAGAACAGGAGGCCGGGCACGGTGGCTCACGCCTGTAATCCCAGCACTTTGGGAGGCCGAGGCAGGCGGATCACGAGGTCAGGAGATTGAGACCATCCTGGCTAACACGGTGAAACCTCGCCTCTACTACAAATACAAAAAATTAGCCAGGTGTGGTGACAGGCACCTGTAGTCCCAGCTACTAGGGAGGCTGAGGCAGGAGAATGGCGTGAACCCGGGAGGCGGAGCTTGCAGTGAGCCGAGATCGCGCCACTGCACTCCAACCTGGGCGACAGAGCGAGACTCTGTCTCAAAAAAAAAAAAAAAAAAAAAAAAAAGAACAGAACAGGAAAGTCGACGTATCTGGAAGGTATCTCTCCTAAACTCACAAGAATGAAACCCAGCTCCTCCCAACACTCCCTTCTGAGCAGACAAAATGGGCCTAATCAGCATCATCTCCACTGAAGGCAACTTCAGGCCCTTCCTCAATGCCTACTGATGCTGACTCCTGGATGGTTTCTGTGCACGTGTTTAAAAACAAACACAAGCTGGGCGCGGTGGTTCACGCCTGTAATCCCAGCACTTTGGGAGGCCAAGGCAGGTGGAACACCCGAGGTCAGGAGTTTGAGACCAGCCTGGCCAACATGGCGAAACCCCGTCTCTACTAAAAATACAAAAAAATTAGCCGGGTGTGATGGCGGACTCCTGTAATCCCAGCTACTCAGTAGGCTGAGGCAGGAGAATCGCTTGAACCTGGGAGGTGGAGGTTGCAGTGAGATCGCACTATTGCACTCCCATCTCAAAAAAAAACAAAGAAACAAACAACACATTTGAGATACCCTGTGTCCAAAATAATGGAAGGGATAGGGATGTGACCTATGACAGCAAGGAAAAGGCTGAAAACCAGTCAAAGCAGGTAAGACTAACAGGCAGAGTCCCCAGACTTTCTGTCAGACGAGCGCAGCAACTGACTAGTGCCCATAAGGGCAACCCTGGAGCCATCTAGGAAAGGGAAGTTCTCCCTCTCCCTATCATGCCACTGTTCCAGGGACCACTCCTGAACTCGGGCAGGCAGGGTTAAGCATCTCTGGGCCAACTCTGCAGATGCTTTGTGGCCCATCTGGCTCAGCCCAATACCCCAAGTCAGCCCATGAGGCTTCTGCTTGGATCCCAGCCTGGCATCTCAGCACTGCCAGCACACGGGGCCCACTCTGCTCTTACGCCCCCCGAACCAAGTTCAAGGACCTTGAAAACAACCCCAATCCAGGGGTAACATGTTGCCACTTCTCACACTTATTCTGCTTGGACTATACAGTGAATTTTTTTTAATGGCAATGTAATTCCTATACAATTCACCCTTTTAAAGTGTACAAGTCAGTACATAGTGAATTTTTAAATGAAGATGCAGTTCCCATACAACTCAGCCCTTTTTTTTGTTTTGAGACAGAGTCTCGCTCTGTCGCCCAGACTGGAGTGCAGTGGCATGATCTAAGCTTACTGCAGCCTCTGCCTCCCGGATTCAAGAGATTCTCATGCTTTAGCCTCCCGAGTAGCTGGGACTACAAGCGTGTACCACCATGCCCAGCTAATTTTTGTATTTTTAGTAGAGACGGGGTTTCACCATGTTGGCCAGGCTGGTATCAAACTCCTGACCTCAGCTGATCCACCCGCCTCAGCCTCCCAACGAGCTGGGTTTACAGGCATGAGCCACTGCGCCTGGCCACAATTCAGCCTTTTTAAAGTGTACAATTCATGGTTTTTAGTACATTCACATATTTTGCAATCATAAACTCTATCTAGTTCCAGAACATTGTCATCATCCCAAACAGAAACCCCTTGCCCATTAAGCAGACACTCCCCATCCCCCTTCATCCCAGCTGCTGGCAACCACTAATCTACTTTCTGTCTCTATGGATTTGCCAACTCTGGACATTTTGTATAAATGATGCCTTTCAAGGTTTGCATCACATATTTTTAAAATGTGGCTTGGAATGTCTTGCTCACTTGGAGCCAGGTGCCGTGCTAAATGCTTTATACGTTTCTACTCATTTAATCCTAATAACCACCCCATGAGGTAGATAGTGTTGTTATCCCTATTTCACAGATGAGGAAACCGTAGCACCGAGCAGTTAGGCAAATGGGACAGAGTCATAGCAGCACTGGGCAGGTACGCTTTAAAGCCTACACTCCATGTGTAAGCTGGACCTCTCTTTAAGGGAGCAGGCACTTGGTGGCTTGCCAACATGCTCATCAAGTTTATTCTTTTATTCTTTTGTTTTGTGTGTGTGTGTGTGTGTGTGTGTGTGTGTTTTAAGACAGGGTCTCACTCTGTCACCCAGGCTGAAGTGCAGTGGTGCGATCTTGGCTCATTGCAACCTCTGCCTCCCAGGCTCAAGCAATCCTCCCACCTCAGCCTCCCGAGTAGCTGGGACTACAGGCGCATGCCACCACGCCTGGCTAATTTTTGTATTTTTTGTAGAGATGGGGCTCTTGTTATGTTACCCAGGCTGGTCTCGAACTCCTGAGCTCAAGTAATCTGGCCACCTCAGCCTCCCAAAGTGCTGAGATTACAGGCATGAGCCACTGCGCCCGGCCCCCTCATCATGCTTATTCTTGACCACTTCTCACATTCCTATTACCTGCATGATCCCTGAAGGTATCTGTGTTCATGCCTTCTGCTCTGGTTATGCAGGTAAACCTGAGTTCAAATCCAATTCAGCTAAGTGTTAAGTTCCTAAACCTCTCTGGGCCCCATATTTTTCATCTGAGAAGTGGGTTACCAAACAGTTACCTGTAAGACTCTATGTAAAAGGGCCACTATGGACATCAGGAGGTGATATGGGTCACAGTGCCAACAGGTCGGGGTAATGTGGCGAGGCAGAGGGCCTGGCATATAGGTGTTCCAGAAATGAAGCTCCTGTTAAGATTACTACCCATCCACATCACTGACAGTCTTCTCCTTGCTGCTCAAAAGAACAGCTTCCCATTTCTGGAGGCACATACAGGCAGCATACCTGTCCTCAGAGGACTTTTTGGAACTAGTAAAATACACAGCAGACTGAAAAGCCCTCTGTAATTAGAACAAAGATAACTTGTTAACCGCCCTTTAAACTCCTGGGAGCCTAAAGCCAGCCTCTACTTGCTACTTGCTAGAGCCTGGAAGGATTTCTCAGATTATGCAGAGTTGCTTCTGTGTGCTTTCTGAGGTCTGCCAGGGTTACTCAGCCACATCCCACTACTGAGGACCAGGACCAAGAATAAAGTGGCTCTCAGCAGGCCTACCCAAAATGCCACTCCAGGGCCCAAGAAGAGCCAACTGGTGCCTAACTGAGGCACTTGCTTTGTGTTTGTCATTTTGACGCAGCAGCTCTGAGACTACCAGGATCCCAGAGAAGACCACCAATGCAAAAATCGTATTATCTTATTTTGGACAAAAGATCCAGAAAACTGTTGGCTGGGCACGGTGGCTCACACCTGTAATCCCAGCACTTTGGGAGGCCGAGGCAGGTGGATCATGAGGTCACGGGATAGAGACCATCCTGGCTAACATGGTGAAACTCTGTCTGTACTAAAAATACAAAAAGTTAGCCGGTGTGGTGGCTGGCGCCTGTAGTCCCAGCTACTCAGGAGGTTGACGCAGGAGAATGGCGTGAACCCAGGAGGTGGAGCTTGTAGTGAGCCGAGATCGCGCCACTGCACTCTAGTCTGGGCGACATAGCAAGACTCTGTTTCCAAAAAAAAAAAAAAAAAAAAGATCCAGAAAACTGGGCCCTTATCTTGAAACCAAAGCTGCTTCTGGTTTCAGTTAATTAATTTAAACAATAAGCTGGGCGTGGTGGCTCACGCCTGTAATCCCAGAACTTTGGGAGGCCGAGGCGGGCGGATCACGAGGTCAGGAGTTCGAGACCAGCCTGGCCAACACAGTGAAACCCCATCTCTACTAAAAATACAAAAATTAGCCGGGCATGGTGGCGCATGCCTGTAGTCCCAGCTACTTGGGAGCCTGAGGCAGGAGAATTGCTTGAACCCAGGAGGCGAAGGTTGCGGTGAGCCGAGATCAGGCCACTGCACTCCAGCCTGAGCAACAGAGCTAGACTCCGTCTCAAAAAAATTAATTAATTAATTAAAAATAATTTAAACAATAAAAGATAACTGGGTAGCAGTCTTATCTGGGTTGAATCCTGGCTCTATGTCTTCTGAGCTATATGACCAGGGCCCCCTCATCTGAAAGCCAGTGATAATATCTAGCCTGCAAAATTGTCGAGGCAATTTAAAGCAATATATGTGAAGTGCCTGGCACACAGGAAGAACTCAGGAGATGGTAGCTGGTAGCAAGGCTGTAGATCTAAGCCTGGTCCCCTCAAAACACCTTTGTGATTGTCAGGCATCATATGGATGATCAAACAAGTTCGGGGAACTCATTTTCCCATGGTCCCTAAGTAGTCGAAGTGGGGTACCTCCAGGTGCAAGGGCATATGCCTAGGGCTTAAAGGCAGTGACTGCGCAGTCAGACAAGCCTTGCATCAAATCATAATTCTGGCAATCGCTGTGTGACCTAAGGCAAGTTACTTCACCTCTCTGTGCCTCTGTTTCCTCATCTATAAAACAGATGTACTGTTTCTGTCTCCTCTACCACCTCTTAAATCAACAATTGTAACGTGCAAATCTGAGACCCAATCATTTCTATTCCCCACCTTCTCAACGGGCACACCATGTTGAAGACTTTCAGAAGACAGCTTTGAAGGGAGTATCATTTTTCTAACTTTTTTTGTGCTTCTACTTTCAAGATTTCCATGTCATTAGATGCAAGTCAATCAAATGATCATACATTTTCCTACAAATGCATTGTAAACAAAATAAAAATTTTATCCCAAAGGGAAAATGAAAAAGAAAATTCAACAACTCTTTACCCCTGTAACTTCCTTTATTTTTCTCCATAGCACTGACAATATATATAGATTTCAATGTTGGGCTTGTTTTCTGCCCGGACCAGGATGTAAGCTCCATGAAGACAGTCTCAATTTTGTTCACTACCGCATCATCAGTTCCTAGAACAGAGCCTGGCACCTCTGCAGAATGTTAAATGGCTCTTCGTGAATCAACTCCAGGTGGGTTGCCCACATGAAAAACATTTCTGCATCTTTTGCAAAAGTGGCTTGGCTAGTACCATCCACTGTTTTCCAGTGTTCCTTTATGTGACATAAATCTTACTAGAACTCAGTACTAGGACAAAGTGTGTGTGTGTGTGTGTGTGTGTGTGTGTTTCCTGAGCTCACATATTTTCCACCAGCTGGGTTCGCTTCTATTGTCAGGAAGCTTGGAGCATAATTCACGTTCAATTACAGTGTTTCCCTTAATCCCTTTTTCTGATGGGGACATAGGATATAAATAAGTGTAAGAAGATTCTGTTGGTACATGTTTAAGACCCTATTTTTAACCACAGACTGCATTTATTCTACTAAGATGCTTCTCAAACTTGAATGTGCCAGAGAATCACCCGCGGATCTAGTTGAAATGCAGAATCAGACTCAGTAGGTCGGGGGCGGGGCGTGAGATGCTGCAGTTCTTACAAGCTCCCAGGTGATGCCTATGCGGCTGGGCCCTGGACCACATTTTGAGTAGCAGAGGGTCTAAGAAACGTGCTTCCTTGATTCAGCGGGATTTCTCTCTCCTGCTCCTTGGCAAAACATGACCAAAGTCTCAAAAACTGAAGCGGACGGCAGAAGCACCTAGAGAGCTGGTTAGACCTACGCCTCGCTGACCCCCCCCCCCCCCCCCCACAGCCCATGCCCGCTGTGATCCCGATGAAAGGGGCTAGGAATCCACCTAGGAAGTTCCCCAGGTGCTTCTGCTGTCGGTGGCCTCGCAGCAAATTTCGAAAATGACTGCTCTCTTCAAGGTTTTCTCAAAGGTAAACTCTTGGGGACAGCTGTTGTCACCAGTGGTACACCTGCTCGTTCAGGATTTTAGGGGGCCCATCCCGCTGTTTCCAGCCCAGCGTCAGGAGGGGACCCACCCCTCCTCTCCGGCTACTCCGACCGCGGCGGAGTCAACCCCCACGGGCCCGGGGCTCGGACCCCCGCCGCTCCGCCTCGCACAGCCGGGCCGGCCGGTGGCAGCCACCGCAGGCCCGAGAGGCGGGGACCGTGCCGCTCATGCGCAGAGCGACCCCTGGGCCCACAAGGCGGGGTCCCCGCGCGGTCCCCGCGCGCCCCCCGCCCGCCTTACCTCGCTGGACCAGGGTGGCCAAGGAGAAAGCGAGGCAGACAAGGAACGCCGAGCGCCAGGCCACCATGGCTGGGAGCAGGCGGAGGGCCCCGGAGGAGCACAGTTAGCGCGAGAGCGCCCGAAGGGGAGGCCGAGGAGGAGCGGGAGGAGGAGCCCCGCCGCCTCTGCAGGGTCCCGCCCAAAGCCCGCGCGCGCGCGCGGCGCGGCCCCGGGAAGATGGAGGTCGGGCGCGCTAGAGAGCCGGCGCCTGAGGGCGCCTGGGCTGGGGTTAGGCCGGGGGGCGGGGCGAGGCTGCAGTATCGGGGGCGGGGCCGCGTTCTGGAGGCGGGGCTCCGGGCGAGGGGCGTGGCCTGCGGGCACCCGGTGGGTGGGGAGGCCTGGGTTGGGTTGGGCTGGGTCCAGCGGCAGCGCGCGGTCCGCAGACCCTGTCCCACCTCGGTCCTCGAGACCGAAGTCTCGGAGGTGGCCCCGCGGACCTGGAGCAGTGAGTCACCAGTGCCGGGGAGCGGGAGGCGGCAGCGCCGGTGGGCGCCGATTTCCTCCCGGGTGACCTTGAGAAGGGCTCTTCCCCTTCTGGCCTTGGTGTTCTCCCGGTGAAGGGTTGTTCCCTTGGGGCCCCTCCAGACACCGTCCAGCACGGAGCCCCGCACTCTGTCCCCACCCGCTGTTCCCTGCAGGAGTGAAACCCTGGCCGGAGACTGAAGAAAAGGACCGTTTTCGTGACTGGCTGCGGTCAACAAGCAGTGACACGTCTCGAGAAAACGAGGCCGGGGGCGCCCGGGTGGGCGACAGGGGAGGATGGGGGCGTCCCGGAGCCGAAGCGCCGCGGGCTCGGGAGACTGGGGGTAGGGACTGGGTCAGCTCTCCCGAGGCTTTGATGAATGCGCTGAAAGTGCAAGTTCATATCTGCAGAGTCGATCTCAAAAACGTGCTTAATGACCGACAAACGCGCTGCAGTCCTTTCCCATGAACCCCCGCAAACGGAGTCCGTCTCCCAGACCCGAAGAAATCAGATTCCGATACGATACTGTGCCGACCAGCAAAATGCCCGCTGCAGCAGTTGATGGGAACGCTCCCTAGAAGAGCCCCAGCTGCAACCGGCTCTCGAAGACAAAGAGGAAGCGCTACTGCTCTCCGGAGTGGTAGCGTGAGCCTGTCCCTGCCATTATGCGGCACCGGCTGCCCAGGGCCACATCCTCCTTAGAGGGCGGCTACTACCACCTCCCCTCAATATCCATTCGGCAGCTTTCCTGTGCCCCCAACCCAGCCCTCGCTGCCATAGGCACCCCCCTCAGTGGCTCCCACCAACCCCTAAGGAACAGTGGGGTGTGGGGTCTCCCTGAGATGGAGCCGAAATCTCCCGTGTGGCTTACATCCATTGCCCTGAATCTTAGGGCTGCAGAAACAAAACAGCATATGAGGAGTGGATCTTCCCAGGCTCAGGGCATTAATTACTCTATGAATGGAACATTATTCCATTCTAGCTGTAGAATTAACAGAAATAGCTGGTAGTTATTGAACACACACTATACACATGGCATATTCCAGGCATTTTACCCTTAATTTTTATTCCTCACAATGCCTTATGTATCATCACCTATTAACGAGGGAAAAGCAGCAAAATGGAGGTTCCTTGAGGTTGGGGAGTTAGCCAGGTCTAGTCTCATGTGTCAAAGGGGGAGGGTACCACTAGGAACCCCAGCTGGTGAATGGCTAAGAATGTGTGCTGTAGAGCCAGACCGGGTACAAATCCTGGCTAAACCCAACAAGGTTGTGCTAAGGATTAAATGAGGTGGTGAAAAGTGGACAGCCTGCACACAGTGACAGAGGGCAGGGACCATTACTGGTTAATCTAGTAACGGCTAAGGAAATAGTGGCCACTGTGAGGTCAGGAGGTTACTGTCTATTCCAGGCTGTGGACATGCCCCCACCTTTGCTACTAAGTGCCCTGAGCCATTCCATAGGCCCTGGTGGTACCATCTGTACCTGGAGGGCAGTAGATTTTCTGGTCTTTAGGAGTCTTCCAGGATCTGATGGGTAAACCCTGATGCATACACACTCATCTACACTGAGGAGGTGAGAAGCATGTAACCTCTTAAGTTTGAGGCCATGTCAATCAATATGCAGTGGACAGTCACACTCAACTGGAACTCTAGCTGCTAAAGGTGCTACAATGCCATATGCAATAAGACTGTCTTCTAGCTCAAGAATAGTTCTCAAACTACACCCCGTGGGCTAAATCCTACTCCCACCTGTTTGTTCAGCCTTCCAGCTAAAAGTAGTGGTTGCATTTTTAAATGGTTGAAAAAAATCAAAAGAATGTTATGACATGAGAAAGTGATACAACATTCAAATTTCAGGGTTCATGAAGTTTATGAGAACACAGCCACGCCCATTGATTTTTGTATTCCCTATGGTGGCTTTTGTGCTGCCACAGTGGAGTTGAACAGTTGTGATAGAGACCATGGGGCACACAAAGCCTAAAATATTTACTGTCTAACCCTTACAGAAAAAGTTTACTGACCTCCGTTCTAGCAGATTGAACCATGGCAAGGATGAACATTAGCAGGTGATGATATGGGACCTTAAGAGTGTGCTCCTCTAAAGCGCAAAATGAACATAGATGACCTGCTCTGACACAGGAATAAGAACCAAAAGAAAAGGACAATGTTTATCATTGTGGCCAAAAGATACTCACAAATAGTTCCTTAATCAAAATATTGCAAATGTCCGAGATGGATTATCCTACCAGATACCTCTCCCTTTGTAAAATAGCTTATCTTGGGCCTGGTTTGTCTCTCAGTCTCTTGTAAGTTAGGTTAATGTGAGTTAGAGAGGGCTGATTTGCCTGCCAGACTGAAGACCTGCTGGGAACTTAGTGAGCCTCTCAGTCAGGTACTGCTATCCTGCTGAATTGCAATTAAACATGCAGTTGATTTACATACAGGAAATTGTACACTTAAAAACTATGATCTGGGAGCACCTCCCCAACTTAGTTTGGAAGTGTATTTCCCAGGAGAAAAAAAATTATTATTAAAAAAATTTTTTCAAAGCCATTATCTGTGCTCCCCGCCCCCACACATCATCTATACTCCCCACTGCCAATGCACATGGGTTCAGGGACCCACTCTTGCCCAAGCCTGCCTCGTCTACACACCACTCCCTTGTTCCCACCCTCTTGCTACACCTAGTTCCTCCCTGAACTTCTCATACCCTGAAAACTGCCATCAATTGGAAAACCATTTGGCCTGACAAGATTCTCTCCTAAAAATGTCCACCTTTCCCAAGCTGTGGCCAGTGTGGCATGGATAAACAGCCACCAGGGTGGCCTGGGAAAACAGGAGAGGCACACATATAGGGCTGGGTGGGTTTACACCAATCTCAGGTAAATAGGATTATGTGGGCCAGCTAGGTATCCATGGGTCATGGGTTTGCATACAGGAAATTGTGCACTTAAAAACCATGATCTGGGAGCACCTCCCCAACTTAGTTTGGAAGTGTATTTCCCAGGAGAAAAAAAATATTATTATTAAAAAAAAATTTTTCAAAGCCATTATCCGTGCTCCCCGCCCCCACACATGGTATATACTTTGGGGACAAAGACTATACTTTCAGGAATTGTTTCTGTAGTACATTACTAGAGAATGTCCTCTGAATGTGCAGAGCACAGAAAAATACAAAATAATAATAAATTCCAAATCAGCTATCTGAGTACCTGGGTGGCCTCCCTCACCCATGATCAAAATCAGCTGTGGAAGGGCCTTGCCACCACCCCCACCACTGCTGAAGATGCCCATCAGGAGAGCACCACTGTCCATGCTGACAGCACCCCTTCCTGAATACCCACCCCGCCATTGATCCTTAGGGACCAGAGCCGAGAGGGAGTCCACATGGGAATGAGGGCAGGGACCAAAGGCTTTGCCCCAACTCAAGGTCACCTTCTGTGCCCTGGGACCCAAAGCAGCTCTGCTGGTGCTCAGGGCTTCGTCTACCCTCCCACAGCCTTGGAGCTTAATCCCTCTAACCAAACCTGTTGGAGGGCCCTGGCTGGGTACAAAGGGACAGCACACCCTCCCTTCCCACCTCACTCCCCACTGTGCGGGGCAATTAAGAGACAAAGACTCACTTGCATCTCAATGGGCATGCAAACAGCCCTGGCTGGCTGGGGGGAGGGGCGCATGGGGCTCTACAGCAATTTTCCCAAATGCCTGACTTCACAGTCAAGTTTCACCAGTCCCAGGAGAAATACAAAAAAATGAGGTTGTCGTGGCAAGTTTCCCCCCATAAAGCTAGAGTATTGACCTTTATCTTGAAATCATGAACTTGTTTTGGTATACAAAAGTCCTTTTATTTCATGAAAAGATGGTAGTGTTTTGTTTAATATGCTTACTTTGCAAAATAAGAAGTTGGCAACCCTACCCGTCCCCAAACTGAAAAAAGAAAAGAAATCTACTCATTGGTGAAGTTCACAAGTCTGGGAACCGCTGGCTATCCCAATAATATTCAGCCCACCGAGGCCCAGATACATAGGAATTTTTGGAACACACCCCATATGTAAACAGAAGCCCTGAAAATGCATTCTAAAACAATGTTTCCTCTGATATTTTTTGAGTCGTAAGCACATTATCCCTTAGTCTCCTCCGCCTCTCCACAGCCTTCTTATTCTCTCCTCTCTTGGATTTTACAGTATGGCAAGGACAGGCAGGGCTTTGAATGCCATGCTAATGAGCAAAGATTTGGTTCTGAAAACAGAGGAGGAGCCACTGAACGCTTTTAAGCATGAAGCAGCAGCGACAGGGAACTGGTCTACAGGAGTGCTACTGGCATCATGTAGGGAGAGAGGCTGGGGACTGTGGGGCTGGAGAGAGGAGTTTGGATTCCTGGTGTGGACGTGGTGGAGGTAGCAATTGCCATAGAAAAGAGGGCCTGGGTATGTAGGCCTGGCCCAATTCTCAGGGCTGGGAAGAAAAGGAAGTCCAAGGGCGGAGACAGATGATAGGCAATTATTACTCTGTGTGATGCAGGTGGTTAAAGAGTTGAGCACACAGTGTGATGGGAACACGGAGGTGCAGCCCCTCTCCCAGTGCATGGTCAGTGTAGAGCTGACTCAAAGAAATAATGGTTTGGCCTGCAGACGGCAGGGTGTTCTGAGAGAACCGCTGAAATGAGAGGAAGGGCAACACGTCGAATCGAATTGGCTGGAACCAGGTCACACAGGACTTGCAGACCGGGTGAAGATCGGACTGTACTCAAAGGCAACCATGAACCCCCAGGAGTGTTAAGTGGGGATGGGGTGGTACTGCCGGGTGATAAGATCAGATTGACGTTCCATGATTTCATTTATCCATGGAGTCTCAGGACTCTGTTGTACAGAACCCAGAAAATGCTGCTCTAGGTGACAGGAGCCATTAGAGTGAAAAGCTGGGGAGAGTGGAGAAGAGACAGAGGTGGGGAAGGAGAGGGAGGAGGCAGTGCAGAAGTCCCGGGAATGCTTTGGCTGGGCTCAGGAGGAAGGGCGAGGTGGCGTGGAGACTCTCCTGCTCTGCCTGCTTGTCCCAGAAACAGCCCAGTGTGGTGGGTCAGGAGCAGCGGCTTCACAGACAGCAGGGTCATCTTCCATTGCCATGTTTCTGCAGAGCAGCACCCCCTACCACCACCACCACCACCAATCACTCCTGTCTTACATGCAGCAGAGTTGCTCACTCCCAAAGGGGACCCTCTGTAATGTAATGCAACAAATTTCAATGAGATAGGAATCATCTCATCTTTTTTGATTCCTGTTAGGATTCCCATTGGTGGTTTGAGGAATTTTCTTAACACACCAACGACCACACGATAGTGATGATATTGGCAATTATGGCCATGGTGACTATGATCCCAAAAGAAAAGAAGACGATGCCAAAGGCCGGTGGGTCACGACTTCGTTTTAAGGCTCATTATCACGGGAAGGCGTCCTCTTCCTTGGAAATCTAAATGCAGAACACCCAGCCATCTTCAGGAAGCCTGTGTGTGCCAAGTCAGGCAGGGCAAAACCTTATACCTGCATGTTTTCCTAATGTGAGAGACTGCTCTGTAAATTTCTTTCTAGTGCTCAGTCGAGTTAATATGGAATTTGCATAAGCACTTGGCAAGAAATAACGTATGTCTCTGTAATATTTCCGAGGCAGTATTTTCTCCTCCAAACCCTGACCTCTGTAGGAACGGGACTTAACATTTGCCTCCCAAATGCAGAGTAGGGCTGTATTTAACTTACCCAGTGAAGTCTCCCCTAAGCACTCAGGGGACTCAAACCACAGAAACCAACATTTGGTCTCTTTGAATTAAGTCTTTTCATATAATTGAAGCAGCCCAAGAAACCTCCCAGAAAATGTTTCGGAACACAAATGTGGAATGGGGCATCCAATTAACAGCAATAACATTTTGTTCAAAAATAACTTTTGCAGACATATTGCGATGTCCAAAACAGAACTGCCCATTGCTGGCCTCCAAACCACTCTGCTCCTCCCACAAGTGTTCTCCTATCTTAGTAAATGGCACCACCAATCTCCCAGTTGCTAGGGCCTAAACCTTGGAGGCAGAAGTTCCCCCCTCCCCTGGTCTCACTCACTCCATTACCAAATCCTGAGAACTGTGTCTCCTAAAGTCTTGAATGTGTACACTCATCCCTGCCCTGAATAACTGCACAACAGCCTCCTCCAGCCCGTTTTTTTTACCCAGCAACCACGGGAAGCTTCTTAAAAAGTAAATCAGATCATGTTGTTCCCTTGCTTAAAACCCTCTAGTCTCATGTCCCAGGCCTTCCATCTCACTCACAGTAAATCCAAATTTCTGTTCATGGTCTACACAGCCCCACATGATCTGATCAGGCCCCTGCCTCCCTATTTAATTCTTCAACTCATTCCAGCTTCCCTTCTACACTGCCTCCCGCCCCACAACCGTCACCTCCCTGACCCCACCACTCCACCTGTCTGGAATAACTTCCCTTCCTTCCTTCACCTGGCCGTTCCCAGTTTATCCCTCATGCCATAAAAGAACATACTGTTCCCAGCCTAGGAAAGGCTCAGGACCCATGCCTTCTACCCTCACAGACCCTATGCTGAGTCCACCTTAACACTGAGCTTTGAATCCAGATGTGAGTTCAACTTGCTTTGCAATTTGCTGTCTCCTCACACTGGTCCTGTTTCTCAACCCTAGCAGCATGACAGAATCTTTGAGGAAGCTTTTTTTTTTTTTTTTTTCATTTAAATTGAGGTAAAATTCATATAATATAAAATTAACCTTTAAATGTGTACAATTTAGTGGCATTTACTACATTTGCAATATTGTGCAACTATCACCTCCATCTAGTTCTAGAACATTCCCATCACCCCAAAAGGAAATCCCAGACGCATTAAGCAGTCACTCCCCATTAGCCCTCCCCCAGCCCCGGGCAACCACTAATCTTTCTGTCTTTATGGATTTTGCCTATTGTGGACATTTTGTATAAATGGAACCATACACTATGTGGCCTTTTGTGTCTGGCTTCTTTTGCTGAGCGTAATGTTTTTGAGGCTCGTTCATGTTCTACTATGTATCAGAATTTCATGTCTTTTATGGCTGAATACTATTCAATTGTATAATAATACCACATTTTGTTGATCCATTCATCAGTAGACAGATATTTGGGTTGTTTCCAATTTGGGGCTATTGTGAGCAATGCTGCTATGAACACGGATGTACATACAAGCTTTTTGGTGGACATGTGTTTTTATTTCTCTCGGGTATACACATGAATTGCTGGGTATCAGGGAAGCTTTGAAAACCACGTTTGCCAGGGCTCTACTCTCCAAGTTTTCAATGTACTTGGCCTGAGGTAGGATAAGGCATTCCTATCCATCTAAAAGCTGAGACCATGGCTGGGCAAACTAAGGCCAGTGGGCCAAGTCCCGCCCACTGCCTGTTTTCATGTGACCCCTAAACAAAGAACGGTTGAGAAAAATAAAAACGAAGAATATTTTGTGACACATGAAAATGATGTGACATTTACTTTTTAGTATTTAAGTTGAGAGGCCAAGGTGGGAGGATCACTTGAGCCCAAGAATTCCACACCAGCCTAGGCAACATAGCAAGATCTCATCTCTACAAAAAATAAAAAGTTAGCCAGGCATGGTGGTGTGCACCTGTAGCCCCAGCTACTTGGGAGGCTGAGGCAGGAGAATGACTTGAGCCCCGGAGGTCAAGACTGCAGGGAGCCACGATCACGCCACTACACTCCAGGCTGGACAGCAGAGTGAGACCCTGTAACCAAAAAACAAAAAAACAAAACAAAAAAGTTTCAGTATCCGTAGAGTGTTATTGGCACGCAGTCACACCCACTTGTTTACATACTGTCTATAACTGCTTGTGTGCTACCAGGTCAGAGTCGAGGAGAGGCAACAGATTGTATGGCCCTCAAAGCTGAATATTCACTATCTGGTCCTTTACAGAAAAAGTTTGCTGGCCCCTACCTTTGTCCACTCTCAGTCCTCTTGTTACTAGATCTTTCAGCAGTGGTGGGCATGGTTGATCACTCTCTACTGCCTGAAATACTTTCTTCAACTTGACTGCTGGAAACCCACTCTTTTCCAGGGCTGCCTCTCTGGAGCTTGGGGAAGTACTACTGGGGGTGGATCTGTGGGTTCCAGTGTTCAGCAGCTAAGGCACTTTCCCTCTCTCATTTGGATGTCAGTGGGACAGGGGAGGTATTAGTAGATCACTTCGTGGCTGTGGGCAAGTCACTCTTCTTCCCTGGGGCTTGTTTTTTTTTAAATTCTGTAAACTGAGTTGGTTGGATAAGACTATCTCTAAGGTTTCAAGCTCTCTGATGATCACAGTATCGAGCACTGCCACCTGCATTACCTTGTCAAATCCTCCCGGCAACCCACGGAGGATGGCACCATTTCTATCATTACTGCAATCTTACAGATGCAGTAATATTCAGAGAAGGAAACTGACTTTAGCCAGGTCACCTGGCAAGTCAGCGGCCAACCCCGGGCTCAAACTAATGTCCAGCCAACCCCACTCTCTCTAATAGAAAGACAGATGTGCCAGGCACCTGCTGTTTAAGCCAACAAGACCTCAGAGAACTTGTGGGGCTGGGGAGGGCACACTGGCAGGTGATGGCTGGGTCTGCTTTGTGTCATGGATGTAGGCAGCAGTGAGTGAGACCCGAGAAGCCCTGGGCAATGTGCCCAACACTGTGATAAACACTTGACAAATCTCATACTTAATAATTTCAATACTTCGGCCAGGCATAGTGGCTCACGCCTGTAATCTCAGTATTTTGGGCGGCTGAGGTGGGTGGATCATCTGAGATCAGGAGTTCGAGACCAGCCTGACCAACATGGCGAAACCCTGTCTCTACTAATAATACAAAAATTAGCCAGGCATGGTGGTGGGCGCCTGTAATCCCAATTACTCAGGAGGCTGAGGCAGGAGAATCGCTTGAATCCAGGAGGCGGAGGTTGCAGTGAGCCTAGATCGCGCCATTGCACTCCAGCCTGGGTGACAGAGTGAGACGCTGTCTCAAAAATAATAATAATAATAATTGCAATACTTCATGAGGGCGTATATTAGTTTCCTATGGTTGCTGCAACAAATTACCACAAATGTGGAGGCTTAAAACAACAGAAATTTATTCTCTCACAGTTTTGGAGGCTGAAAGTCCAAAATCAAAGTGTCACCAGGACCATGCTTCCTCTAGGGTAGAATCCTTCCTTGCCTCCTCCAGCTTCTGCTGTCAGGCAGTCCTTGGCATGTCCACCCTTGTAGCTGCATCACTCCAATCTCTGCCTCTGTCTTCACTTGGCCTTCTTATAAAGTCACCAGGACCCATGCTAAATCGAGTATGATCTCATTTCAAGATTTTTAATTACATCAGCAAAGATCCTGTCTCCAAATAAGGTCACATTCTGAGGTTCCTGATGGACATGAATTTTAGGGGACACTATTCAACCCACTCCAGGGGGCAATACTATTCCCAGTCTACAGATGAAAAAGCTGAGGCCCACTCTCATGCCATGAGACCAGTGTCCCCCTTAACTAGTTCTTTAGTGACTTTGGAACCAATGCCTAGTACTGGATCATTTCAACCCCTTACTTCTCATAAGACAGAAAAAAAAAAAAAAGAGGATGTACAAAAAACCCACATTAACCTTATCTTACACTGTATACAAAATGGAATTCAAAATAGATCAAAGACCTGAACTTAAGAGCTAAAACCATAAAACTCTTAGAATAAAATATTGAGGAAAATCTTTATGACATTGGATTTAACAACAAGCTTATAGATATGACACTAAAAAAGTACAAGCAAGAAAGGAAAAAAAAATAGATAAATTAGATTTCATCAAAATTGAAAATTTTTGTACATCAAAGATACTGTTGTTAGGTGTGGTGGCTTGTACCTATAATCCCAGCTACTTAAGAGGCTGAGGCAGGAGGGTTGCTTGAGGCCAGAAGTTCAAGATGAGCCTGGACAACATAGCGAGACTCCATTCCTAAAAATAATTTAAAAAATTAGTTGAGTGTTGCAGTGTGCACCTGTAGTCTCAGTGTATTATGCTGTTCTTGTATTACTATAAAGGAATACCTGAGACTGGGTAATTTATAAAGACAAGAACTTTAATTGGTTCATGGCTCTGCAGGCTGTACAAGCATGGCACCGACATCTGCTTGGCTTCTTCTGAGGGCCTCAGGAAGCTTACAGTCATGGCATAAGGCAGAGCAGGAGCAGGCATCTCACAGGATGAGAAGGAGGTGAGGGGGAGGTACCAGACTTTTCAACAACCAGATTTTGTGTGAACTGAGCAAGAGCTCACTTATCACCAAGGGGATAGTGCTAAGTCATCTATGAGGATCTGTCCCCACGATCAAATCACCTTCCACCAGGACCCACCTTCAACATTGGGCGTCACATTTCAGTATGAGATTTGGAAGGAACAAACATCTAAAGCATATCACCTAGCTACTCAGGAGGCTGAGATAGGAGGATAGCCTGAGCCCAGGAGTTCAAGGCTGTAGTGAGCCATGATTGCACCACTGCAATCCAGCCTGGGCAACAAAGCGAGACCCTGTTTTTATTTTTTATCTCTAAAAAATAAAAATTAAATTAAATTTAATTTAATTTAAAAGGGTGCTATCAAGGATGTTATCAACAGAGTGAAAAGGCAACAAACTACAGAATGGGAGAAAATATTTGCAAATCATATATTTGATAAGGGATTAATATGAAGAACTTCTATAACTCAACAATGAAAAATTCCAATTAAAAAATGGACAGGCTGGGCACAGTGGCTCATGCCTGTAATCTCAGCACTTTGGGAGGCCAAAGTGGGAGGATTACTTGAGGCCAGGAGTTCAAGACCAGCCTGGGCAACATAGTGAGACCCTGTCTCCACAAAAAAATTTAAAAAGGGACAAAGGACTGGAATAGACATTTCTTCCAAGAAGACATATAAATGGCCAACAAGCACATGAAAAGATGGTCAACATAACTAATCATGAGGGAAGTGCAAATCAAAACCACAGTCAGATACTACTTCACACCTACTGGAATGGCTATGATTTTTTTTTCTTTTATCATTTTTTTGAGACAGAGTCTTGCTGTTCTCACCCAGGCTAGAGTGTAGTGGCACAATCTCGGCTCACTGCAACGTCTGCCTCCCAGGTTCAAGGGGTTCTCCTGCCTCAGCCTCCCAAGTAGCTGGGATTATAGGAGCCCACTACCACGCCCAGCTTTTTTTTTTTTTTAAGTAGAAATGGAGTTTCACCATGTTGGTCAGGCTGGTCTCGAACCCCTGACCTCAGGGAATCCAAACCCCCTTGGCCTCCCAAAGTTCTGGGATTACAAGCGTGAGCCACCATGCCCGGCCGTGGGATGGCTATAATTTTAAAAGAAATGGAAAATAACAAGAGTTGGCAAGAATGTGGAGGAGTTTGAACCCTCATGCATTTCTGGTGGGAATGTAAAGTGGTACAGCTGCTATAGAAAACAACATGGTGGTTTATCAAAGAATTAAACAATTACTAGCAATGCCTCTTCTGTGTATATAACCAAAATAATTGAAAGCAGGGCATGTTCATAGCAGCATTATTTACAATAGCCAAAAGGTGAAAACAACTCCAGTATCCATTGACAGGTGAATGGATAAACAAAATGTGGTATATACACACAATAAAATATTATTCAGCCATGAAAAGGAAAGAAATTTTGATATATGCTACAACATAAATGAACCCTGAAAACATGCTTAGTGAAATAAGCCAGACACTTAAGGACAAGTATTGTATGATTCCACTTATACGAGATACTCAGAATGGGCAAATTCTTAGAGACAGAAAGTAGAATAAAGGTTATTGTGAGATGGGAGGAAGGGGGAAGAACTTATTATTTAATGAGTATAAGGTTTATGTTGGGGATGATAATAAAAGTTTTGGATAAAGATAGTGGTTATGAGTATACAACATTGAGGATTTAATTAATGCCACTGAACTGTATACTTACGGATGATTAAAATGATAAATATTATGCTATGTATATTTTACCACATTAAAAAAAAAACTGTTAAAAAATGTTACCTCCTAAGGCATGCATTTTAGAAAAGAAAATGGAAGGCTGCCCTCCCCAGATTCAGGGCAGTCGGGTAGAATCTTCGTTTTCACCACTTGCTTGGCCCATAGCACATCTCCTGTGCCTCGCCCTGCCTCTGGTGAATGCCTCTGGAATGCACTGGAAGGACTTTGGGGGCCAGCCTCACTGGTGACAGGCTCCCTGAAACCTCTCTTCACAGTCTCCCTTGAATCTGGCTTTCACACTTTTCTTTATGCATAGGCAGAGTCCTAAAGAGAAAGAGATTCCCGCACACCTGTCCATCTCCGTTTATTTCTTCTCATTCATTCACTCATATATTTATTTATTTATTGAGACAGGATCTTGCTGTGGTCCAGGCTGGACTGCAGTGGTGTGGTCATGGCCCACTGCAGCCTTGACCTCCTGGGCTCAATTGATTTTCCTACCTCAGCCTCCAGGGTAGCTGGGACTAGAGGCACACGCCACCAAGCCCAGCTATGTTGCCCAGGCTGGTCTCAAACTATTGGGCTCAAGTGATCCTCCTGCCTCGCCGTCCCCAAGTGCTGGGATTACAGGCATGAGCTACCATGTCCAGCCTATTTATTATTATTATTATTATTATTATTATTATTATTATTATTATTATTATTTTTAGAGACAGGGTCTTGCTCTGTCATCCAGGCTGGAGTGCAGTGGCATGATCATAGCTCACTGCAGCCTCAAACTCCTAGGCTCAAGCTATCCTTGTGTCTAAGCCTCCTGAGTAGCTGGTAGTAAGGCGCGTGCCACCACGCCTGGCTCTTCTAGCTCTATCGTCCTCTATATCCAGCCCATTTCTGATCTCAGGTCTCCACTTCCTGACACTTCTTTTTGGCCCCCGTCCAGATATAACAAGACCTTGAGGGTGACATTTGCCATCTTGTACGTTCGTGCACTCTGTGGCTGGTCTCTGTTAGAGCCCCAGAATTGCTCACTTGCGTGTCTGTCATCAGAAGGCAGATTGATTTCCCCTGCTGGCTCAGTGGTACCTCGCCCTTTAGAGTGTCCATCACCTTGATCCTTTCCTTTTTTGATATAATATCCCCTATCTCCCCATTGCCTACAGGATCAGGCAACATGCCTTGGCCTGGCATTCAATGCCGAGCTTTTCCTACCTCAGTACATCTGGCCTAATAGGTGACCTCACTGTTTTCTGAGTGGGCTTCATGCCTTTCTGCCTTCTTGCCTTTGCTATGTGGTTTCCATTGCCTGTTGCACTGTCTCTTAAGCCTTTGCATTCTGGCACCCAAATGCGAATGTCCCCTGAGCCCTGGATCAAGATGCACCTCTTTCTTGAAGCCTTTGGAGGACAAATGTAGTAAGGAATCATCTGTGATCTCCTTGTGTGAGCATTTCTATTTTCTATTATTTTTCAAATATACCTTGATGTTGAATTTATCTCAAGAGGAAGATTCTGGAAGTCAGGGACACATCGTACCTTGCGTTTCTCTCTGGGAGCCATGCATATGATTGGTGCAAAATAAACATTGTCCAAGTTGGCTTCGTGGAGAGGAGAATATTTGGTGCTCCTGGCACAGGGATCTCTCTTTCCTCTGTCACCTCCACTCTTTCCATCAGAGTCCAGCATGCCGGGTGGCCCTGGGCCCAGAGTAAGGGGGAGTGAGCAGTGCCCTGTCCCTCACCCCCTGTCCTCATCACCTGTGGGGATTTTCCTTTAGAAACTCTGACTTTTCAATTTTTCCAAGACTATCTTTCTGCAGTGAAAGATTGGGAGAGAACTAAGTGAAAGTATTCCACTTGGGGATCTGCTCACTGTCTGCTTACTGTGTCTTTTTGGGCCCTCCCTGCTTCATTGCCGCCACCACCTCCACCTGGCTCCTGCTGTCTCCATCTCGAATGGGAATTACTGGACCCTTGTCCAGCTGCTCCCTGGTCCCACTGCCTTCATTGCTGCACCCACCAACCCAGGCTCCACATGGCAATCAGAATGGTCATCCTAAAATAGATTTCTTCTTTTCACGCCCCAGCTCATAAATGGCAACTCATCTTCAAAATAAAACCAAGCTACTGAGTGTTGGCATCCAGGCACCCCAAGTCTCAGCCTTTGGCATGCCTCCTACACCTCTGATACTGCATTTATGGTACAAACTTGTTCATTTCCAAAATGCAGCGGGTGCATTGATGTCTCTAACACTCAATCTGGGCAATTCTCCCCTCCTGGACACCTCCCCCGCCCCTATCTCTGACCACTCACAACAAATCCTGAAAGATTTGTCTCCTCTCCAAAGCCTTGTCTCCCCAGGTCTCTCTCACTTTTGGACCCAGCCCCAGTATGAAACCAGTAAATACTCTCTAAAGTGAAGCAATTAGTTCACAATGAGATCCCACTTCACAGCCACCAGGGAGGCTGTAATCAAAAAGGCAGATACTAACCAGCATTGGTGAGGATGTGGAAAATCATACAGTGCTGATAGGAGTGTAAAATGGTGCAACTACCATGGAAAACAATTTGGGAGTTCTTCAACAAGTTAACTATAGAGTTACCATATGACTCAGCAATTCCACGGCTAAGTATATACCCAAGAGAATTGAAAGCACATGTTCAGGCCGGGGGCAGTGGCTCACGCCTGTAATCCTAGCACTTTTTTTTTCTTTTTTTTGAGACAGAGTCTTGCTCTGTTGCCCAAGCTGGAGTGCAGTGGCGCCATCTCAGCTCACTGCAACCTCGGCCTCCGGGGTTCAAGCGATTCTCCAGCCTCAGCCTCATGAGTAGCTGGGATTACAGCGTGCACCACAACGCCCAGCTAATTTTTTGTATTTTTAGTAGAGAGGGGGTTTTGCCATTTTGGCCAGACTGGTCTTGAACTTCTGACCTCAAGTGGTCTGCCCACCTTGGCCTCCCAAACTGCTGGGATTACAGGTGTGAGTCACCACACTCGGCCTAATCCTAGCATTTTGAGAGGCCAAGGCAGGTGGATTGCTTGAGCCTAGGAGTTCAAGACCAGCCTGGGTAACATGGCAACATCCTGTCTCTACAAAACATATGAAAAATTAGCTGAGTGTGGTGGTGTGCGCCTGTGGTCCTAGCTACTTGGGAGGCTGAGGTAGGAGGATCACCTGAGCCTGGGAGGTTGAGGCTACAGTGAGGGGTGACAAAGTAAAACCCTGTCTAAAAAAAAAAAAGGAAAGAAAGAAAGAAAAAAGCAAGCACATATCCACACAATGACTTGTACATGAATGTTCACAGCAACTTTATTCTTAATAGCCAAAGTGGAAATAACTCAAATATCCATCAATGGATGAATAATCAAAATATGGTCTACTCATAAAATGCAATATTATTCAACCGTAAAAAAATAAAGTATGGATACATGCTATAAAATCAATTAACATTGAAAACATGATGCTAAGTGAAAGAAGCCAGACAGAAAAGACCACATATTATATGATTCTGTTTATACAAAATGTCCGGAATAGACAAATCCATAGAGACAGAAAGTAGATAAGTGGTTGCCTAGGGCTAGCGGGAGGAGGTTGGTAGTTGATGGCAAAGAGGAGCAGGATTTCTTTGGCGAGTGAAGAAAATGTTTTGGAATTAGATGGTGATGGTTGTACAACCTTGTAAATATACTGAAAACCACTGAATTGTATATTTTAAAAGAGTGAATGGCCGGGTATGGTGGCACACACCTGTAATCCCAGCACTTTGGGAGGCCAAGGCAGGAGACCTGCTTGAGGCTAAGGAGTTCAAGACCAGCCTGGGCAACATAGTGAGACCTCCATCTGTACAAAAAAAAAATTAAAAGTTTGCCAGGCATGGTGGCTCATGCCTGTAGTCCCAGCTACTTAGGAAACTGAGGTGGGAGGATTGCTTGAGCCCAGGAGTTTGAGGCTACAGTGAGCCATGATTACACTACTGCAGTGCACCCTGGGCAACAGAGTGAGATCGTGTCTCAAAAAAAAAAAAAATATATATATATATATATATATGTGAATGAATTATATGATATGTGAATTATATCTCAATAAAGCTCAGTACCAGACACTGAGCAAGTATTTTACAGGCATTAGCTCCTCAATTCTCATAAAACCCTATGAGATAGTGTTATGGACTGAATGCTTGTGTCCCCCCACCAAATTCCTATGTTGAAACCCTAACCCCCACCAGGCGTGGTGGCTCACGTCTGTAATCCGAGCACTTTGGGAGGCTGAGTCGGGCAGGTCACGAGGTCAAGAGTTTGAGACCAGCCTGACCAACATGGTGAAACCCTGTCTCTTCTAAAAATACAAAAATTAACTGGGCGTGGTGGCGCAAGCCTATAATCCCAGCTACTCAGGAGGCTGAGGCAGGAGAATCACTTGAACCCAGGAGGCAGATGTTGCAGTGAGCCAAGATCACACCACTGCACTCCAACCTGGGCAACAGAGTGAGACTCCATCTAAAAAAAAACAAAAAAACTAAAAACAAAACAAAACAAAAAACCCCTAACTCCCAATGTGATGGTATTAGGAGGTGGGGCCTCTGAGAGGAAATTAGTTCATGAAGGTGGGGCTCCCTTGATGGGACTGGTGCCCTTATAAGAATAAAAAACACTAGTGTTCTCTCTCTCTTGCTGACATGTGAGGATACAGCAAGAAGATGGCCATCTGCAAGCCAGAAAGAGACCTCTCACCAGAAACCGAATCTGCCACCACCCTGATCTTGGACTTCCCGGCCTCCAAAACTGTGTGAGATCGCTGTTGTTTAAGCAACCCAATCTATGATATCTTATTATAGCAGCCTTAGTGGACTAAGACAGATCGGTGCTATTTTAATATCTATTTTACAGCTGGGGAAACTGAGGCACAGTTAAGTAGCTTGCTCAAGGTCACTCAGCTGGTGAGTGGCAGCACCAGGATGTGAACCCAGGAAGCCTGGCTTACATACCCCTGTTCTTAACTGCCTCTCTGGTAGACAGATGTGTGCTACAGGGCTTACAGTCAGAAAAGGGAGAATGGGTTCCTCATTCACTCTGCTTCAGAAAAAGGGTTCAAGGAGTCCCCAACTCCCAACAGCTGTGTTGTCCTGGGGAGTCCTGGCAGAATGTGTCTAAGGAGCTATTCGCCAGGTCTCTACCATATCTATAAGCAGGCAAAGCTCCCCAGATCCTTTATACAATGGCCAGGTCAGTGGGAAGGGGGTCTTCTGCCTTTATCCAGAGGATCTTTACAGGGTGGGTTTTTGCGTCCTCCACCCTGCCTTAGCCTTGAAATCAAGGCTGGTAGACCAAGCCAACCCAACAGGGCTGCTTATTGTTCTGGGGCTCCATTCAAGAGGACCAGTAGAGAGCCAGGATGAGTATCCCTGACCTTTAGCTTTCCTGATGCCAGGGCAGGACCTCTGCTTCTATGTATTACAGGACCTTGCATTTGTGGACCCAAGGCATAGGGAAGGGGGTTCCTGAAGCCAGTATTGGGGCCTGGTATTGCTTATTGCTAATGACAGACTACGGGCACGCAGTCATTCATTCAGTATATAGAAGGTGTCATCCAGCCATAGATGTAGAGAGCATGGACTCTGGAGCCAGCCAGGCTGTTTAAAGTTGGGCAAGTCACCTTGCCTCTCTGGTCCTCAGTGTCCTGATCTACAAAATGGGCAAAATAATGGCACTTACATCTTAAGGCTTTTGTGTAGAGGAAACACATTGATACACATGGAAAGTGCACAGAACAGTGCCTGGCACATAGTAAGCTCTCAACAAGCGATATCCTTTCGTATTGTTTTGTTTTAACTGTTATTATGTTGGCTAAGTAGGTGGGAAGAGAAGGAGGCACAATAAGAGACATCTGGGTTATTACTATGGTTTCAGGACTTTTACTCTCCAAAACCCGTGTTGAAATATAATCCCCAGTGTGGCAGCATTGAGAGGTGGGGCCTTTAAGAGATGATTGTGTCATGAGGGCTCTGCCCTCATGAGTGGACTAATCCATTCATGGTTTAATGGATTAATGGGTTATCACAGGAGTGGAACTGGTGGCTTTATAAGAAAAGGAAGAGAGACCTGAGTGAGCATGCTCAGCCCCCTCGACATGTGATGTCCTTTGCCACCTCAGTACTCTGCAGAATCCCCGCCGGCAAGAAGTCCCTGACCAGATGCAGCCCCTCAACCTTGGACGTTTCAGCCTCCACAACTGTAAGAAATAAATTCCTTTTCCTTATAAATTACCCAGTTTGGGGTATTCTGTTATAAACAACAGAAAACGGGCTAAGAGAGTTAGAGATGCTTCCTGAATCACAACAGAAAGTTCTGTACATCTTTTATCCCTATACCCTCTGAGGAGCTTATTCTGCTCTAGACGGACAGAGGTGATATCCCACTCATCTCCTGGTCAGCTCACAGTGCCTGGATGCATGTCATGTTCTGGGTACCAGTAGCCTCTCTGAGAGACATTAACAGGCTGGATTTGCTTCAGGAGCCAGTGATCAGGATGTTAAAGGGAAGTTAGAATTTTCTTTTCTTTTCTTTTCTTTCTTTTTCTTTTTTTTTTTTTTTTTGAGATAGAGTCTCTCTCTGTCACCCAGGCCGGACTGCAGTGGTGTGATCTTGGCTCACTGCAACCTCTGCCACCCAGGTTCAAGCGATTTTCCTGCCTCAGCCTCCCGAGTAACTGGGACTACAGGCATGCACCACCACGTCCAGTTAATTTTTGCGTTTTTAGTAGAGATGTGGTTTCATCATGTTGGCCAGGCTGGTCTTGAACTCCTGACCTCTAGCAATCTGCCCGCCTTGGCCTCCCAAAGTGCTAGGATTACAGGTGTGAGCCACTGCACCTGACCTATGGAAGTCGGAATTTTCATACAATGAATAATCTTGGTGAGTGTTTGGACCGGAGAAAAAGATGACTGTAAGGGGTAAAAAGGAAAGGAGTGATGAGGGAGACTCCTGGAGGGAGCTCCTGGGGAATTTGATCTGTATTCTGTGGCCTCAGCTTATGAAAATAAGGATAAAGGGGAAAAGCTACAGGGTGATGGACTCTGGAACTTTCTTGTTTTAAAAGAGACAGAGTCTCACCCTGTCACCCAGGCTGGAGTGTAGTGGTATGATCATAGCTCACTGTAGACACAAACTTTCGGACTCAGGTAATCCTCCTGCCTTAGCCCCCCAAGTAGCTAGAACGATAGATACATGCCACCCCACCCAGCTAATTTTTTTAATTTTTATTTTTGTAGAGATGAGTCTTACTATGTTGCCCAGGCTGGTCTCTAACTGCTGGCCTCAAGTGATCCTCCCCGCCTTGGCCTTCCAAAGTGCTGGGATTAGAGGCATGAGCCACCATGCCTGCCTGGCTGGATTCGGGAACTTCCTAAGGGGCAGAACAACCTCAAGATGGAGGAGCTGCCTCTGTAGGAAGGGAGTTCCCATTCTTCAAGATATCCAGCCTAGTCTCCCTTTGAGGTCCTTTTCAACCTAGAGGCCCCATGACTCTCCTCCCGCATGAGGGTTGAGCCAGGATAATATGGAAAGTCTGGGTTCCAAAACTGCTAGAGAAAAGCAAAAAGAGGTTTGGCAGGTCCTTTGGTTAGCCCCACATTTGAGACACACCTCTGAGGCTCTGCCACGTCCCACCCATGGCTGAACGGAATCATACACAGATTTTTCTGCCCACCTTTCCACACTCACCCTGTGATCCAGAGCTCAGAGAGTGAGACTGAGAGAGCTCATGCCAGGAGCTTTTAGTTGTCAAGAAAAGGAGTCATCGTGTCTTTAGAAACAGGATGAATGCGGAAAGCATACACACTGAAACGATTTCTAAGATTCTATATAGATCAAGGCCAGGGTCTAGCTGCTGAATTGGGGCCTAGCCTATCCTTTCCAGACAACACAATTCTAAAGTGCATTTCTCTCTTTTTTTTTAAAATTTATTATTATTATACTTTAAGTTTTAGGGTACATGTGTAAAGTGCATTTCTCAACACACCCCTTCATCTCTTGAAAATGAAATGCTGCCGGCCGCGGTGGCTCACGCCTGTAATGCCAGCACTTTGGGAGGCTGAGGTGGGCGGATCACGAGGTCAGGAGTTCGAGACCAGTCTGACGAACACAGGGAAACCCCTTCTCTGCTAAAAATACAAAACAAAATTAGCCGGGTTTGGTGGCGGGCACCTGTAATTCCAGCTACTCAAGAGGCTGAGGCAAGAGAATCACTTGAACCCAGGAGGCGGAGGTTGCAGTGAGCTGAGATAGCGCCACTGTACTCAAGCCTGGGCAATAGAGCGAGACTCTGTCTCAAAGAAAAAAAAAAAGAAAAGAAACAAGAAAAAGAAAATGAAATGTAATCCATGTCCTTGCAGGTTCTTCATCAGATCTGCATTGAGAGCTACATGAGAGGCTTTCCAAGCACAGCACAATAGAGCAGGGGCCTCCCTCAGTGTAATCTGCTTCAGCCCCCATGTTTAAAGAGGAAGGGACTGAGGCCCAGAAATGGGGAACAACTTGTCCAAGGTCACACAGGAAGGCAGTGGCAACATAAACCAGGCCTTGTGCCTTCACATGGGCTCAGTGCCATTGCAGCATTGCAGGCAGTGTGACTTACCCTGCTGTGGCTTTTCAGTGGCCCCCTGGGGGCCACACCTGCCACCCTGTTCTCCCTGCTAAAAGGTCTTTTCCTTTGTACCAGGTACTTCTGTCAAGTCCAAATCAAGCAGAATGGGTTCCAACCAGCAGCAGGGTTTTCACTTGTAAGCAAACCACAGAAGGGATCAGCCACCAACCCAACAGATGAACAACTTGACTTGCTTTCCAATGGAGCCCAGCATTTGAAGCTGTGATAATTGTCAGTTTAAATGTTAGTAAGTGAATGCTTGTAATTTACAAGTGAAGCTGCTTCTCTTATCAAGGGTCCCATTTCCTGTGGGCTGTTTGGAAGTATAAACTGTTATCAGAGGATTTGTGCTTATTTGAGGCTTGGCTTGCCCATCTGGTCAGAGAGAGAAAGTCTGGAGAGTATGCTGAGTCTAATTCTGCTGTACCCCATGACGAGCCTGTCCTGTTCAACATTCCACTTGCGGTCCATGAATCAAGCGCTATTCATGGGCACAGAACAGAATGAACCAACCTAAACCATTTCGCTTGCTTGACATTCTCTAAATCCCACTCCCCCCTTTAAACGCACAAGCTCAGGGCCTGTTTCAAAGGGCAAATATTGTGAAAATGAAGAAATTATTACAGATTATACTTGGAAAGAGTTCAAATGTTGTTGAAATACCGTGATCTGTAGGTGGCATGTCTTCAAAGAGATTCATTTGAATAGATCAGGCTGAGGAACAGTCAATAGCAAAATAGTTATTTGTGTATCAAGTATGGACAAATTCTCACATACCAGGAGGCTGCGAGACAGCACTTTCACAAGCTGATTTTAGATTTTGGCCCAACAGCTCTAAAGGCAAAGGCTTTCTAGGCTAAAGGGATGATTAGAAAGATAATAGACAAAGTCAACTCCAGATGTACCAGTTGACCACCCCTCTGCCAACTGAAACCCTACTCTTGGGTTGATTTCACAGCTCAGGAGGGGAGCTCAAACTCAAACTTGTCAATTTTGTGACTCAATAACAGACCCACTTTGGGGTGGGAGAAAAATGGAAGTATGAGCTAAAAAGGAGATTCTTTCAATTGCCTTTGCCCTTCTGTTTTCTAGGCTGTCTATGTCCTCCAACAGCTCAGAGACTCAGAGTTGATGCGCTGGATTCTACTGCAAGTTGCGTCTTGATAAACATAGTTACTATGTGAGCCAGCAAATTCCATTTCTAGATATATACCCAAGAGAAATAAAAACTCATGTTCACAGGAATGCTTGTACACAAATGATCATAGCAGCATCATTCATAATAGCCAAAGTGGGAGCAAACCAAATGTCCATCAAGCAATGGATGGATAAACAAAATGTGATCCAGTCATACAATGGAATATTATTCAGCCATTAAAAGAAATGAAATACTGATCTGTGCTCAAACATGGATGGACCTTGAAAACATTAGGCTAAATGGAAAATGCCAGACACAGAAGATAGGACACATAATCAGACACATGTTGTATGATTCCATTTATATGAAATGTACAGAATGGGCAAATCCACAGAGACAGAAAGCAGATGAATGGTTTCCAGGGGCTGGGGGGAGAGGGATGAAGAATGACTCCTTAATGGGTGCAGGGTTTCTTGTAGGGTGAAGAAAATATTCTAAAATTGATTTTATAATGGTGATTGCCCAACTCTGTGAATGTACTAGAAACCACAGGTAGTACATTTTAAAATGGTTAAGTGGTAAATGTCTTTTTTAAACATTTTATTATCACTATATATATCATAAAAGTTATTATTTTGACCACTATTAAGTATGCAATTCATTGACATTAAGTACATTTACAATATTGTGCAACTGTCACCACCATCCATCTCCAGAACTTTCTCATCATCCTAAACTGCAACTCCATACCCATTAAATACTTGCTATTACTCCCTCCCTTCCCCCAGCCCCTGGAGATTTGTTTTGTTTTGTTTTGTTTTGAGATGGCATCTCAGTCTGTCACCCAGGTTGGAGTGCAGCAGTGCAACCTCAGCTCACTGCAACCTCTGCCTCCAGGGTTCAAGCAATTCTCCTGCCTCAGCCTCCCGAGTAGCTGGGATTACAGGTATGCGCCATCACACCCAGCTAATTTTTGTATTTTTAGTAGAGATGGGTTTTTGCCATGTTGGCCAGGCTGGTCTCGAACTCCTGACCTCAGGCAAGCTGCCCGCCTTGGCCTCCCAAAAAAAAAAAGTGCTGGGATTACAGGCGTGAGTCACCGCCCCCAGACCCCACTGGAGATTTCTAATCTATTTGCTCTCAATGATTTTGACTATTCTAGGTACTTTATATAAGTGGAATCAAACAATATTTGGCCTTTTGTGTCCGGTTTATTTCACTTAGCATAATGTTTTCAAAGTTCATTTGTCGGCCAAGTGTGGTGGGTCACGCCTGTAACCCCAGCACTTTAGGAGGCTGAGGCAAGTGGATCACTTGAGCTCAGGAGTTTGAGACCAGACTGGGCAATATGGCGAAATCTCATCTCTACAAAAACAAACAAATGGACAAAAAATTACCCGGATATGATGGCATGCACCTGTAGTCCCACCTACTTGGGAGGCTGAGATGGGGGGATTGCTTCAACCTGGGACGTCAAGGCTACAGTGAGCAGAGATGGCACCACTGTACTCCAGCATGGGTGACAGAGCAAGACCCTGTCTTTTTTTTTCTTTTTTTAAGAGGGAGTCTCACTCTGTTGCCAGGCTGAAGTGCAGTGGCATGATCTCGGCTCACTGCAACCTCCGCCTCCCGGGTTCAAGCGATTCTCCTGCCTCAGCCTCCCGAGTAGCTGTGACTACAAGTGCACACCACCACACCCAGCTAATT
The DNA here is from genome assembly GCF_000001405.40 of Homo sapiens. NCBI lineage: Eukaryota > Metazoa > Chordata > Mammalia > Primates > Hominidae > Homo > Homo sapiens. The sequence goes on from NC_000023.11 coordinate 150,922,539, forward strand.
TTTGTATTTTTAGTAGAGATGGGGTTTCACCATGTTGGCCAGGATGCTCTCGATCTCTTGACTTCGAGACCTGCCCGCCTCAGCCTCCCACCGTGCTGGGATTACAGGCGTGAGCCACCACACCTGACTCCAAGACCCTGTCTTAAAAACAAAATAAAATAAAAACAAAAACAAAAAACAAAGTTCATTCATGTTGTAGAATGGATTAAAATGTTAAATTTTATATTATGTGAGTTTTATCTCAATTTTAAAATGATTGGCTGGGCACAATGGCTCACGCCTGTAATCACAGCACTTTGAGAGGCTGAGGTGGGCAGATTGCTTAAGCTCAGGAGTTCAAGGCCAGCCTGGGCAACATAGTTAGACCTCATCTCTACAACAACAACAACAAAATACAAAAATTAGCCAGGCATGGTGGTGCCACCGTACTCCAGCCTGGGTGACAGAGACCCAGTCTCAAAAAAAAAAAAATATACACACACACACACACACACACACACACACACACACATATATGCACATACACGTCTATATACATACATATATATATATATATATATATATATATATATATATATATATATATATATATATATATATTGCATCCAGGCTGGGGCTTATGCCTGTAATCCCGGAACTTTGAGAGGTCCAAGCAAGAGGATCACTTGAGCTCAGGAGTTCAACACCAGCCTGGGCAACGTAGCAAGACCCTACCTCTACAAAAAATTAGCTGGGCAGGGTGACACACACCTATAGTCCTAGCTACTCGGGAGACTGAGGGTGGAGGATTGCTTAAGCCTGGGAGGTAGAAGCTGCAGTGAGTAATGATGGCACCACTGCACTCCAGCCTTGGCAACAAAGCAAGACCTTGTCTCAAAAATACATATATATACTGCACCCTGATGTGAGGTTTCCCTGTGTGTTAGGAACAGACACCTCTTAAATAAGCTTGGTGTCAGGGCATAGGGCCCAAACAACTCCCACGGCCCCCTTGGGCTGTATGTAGCCATACATACATGAATTCCTTCGTGAATGCATTTGAAACCTCTGTGCAGTTGCTGGGGTCACAGATGCATACACCACCCAGTCCCAACCCTGAGGGAATGGCATAGGTCAGGCAGGCCTTCAAAGTGAATAACAGATACACAGAAGTGCAAGGACAGACAAGGAAAGAATTGCTTTTGGAGGGGGTGGTGAGGGAAATTGTCCTAGAGGAAGTGGCCCTTGGGAAGCTGCACAGAGAGAAGAATGAACATGAGTTCTGGTGTCAGAGATATTTAAACTCACATTCTTTCTTGGTACTAGTTTCCTTTGGCCATTGTAACAAACTGCTACAAACGTAGTGGCCTAGGATAACACACATTAATTCTCTTCCAGTTCTGAAAGTTAGAAGCCCAGAATTGGTCTCACTGGGCTAAAATCAATGCACGGGCAGGGCTGCAGGCCGCCTAGAGACTCTAGGAGAGAATCTGTTTCTGTGCCTTTTCCAACTTCTAGAGGTTGGCTGCATTCCTTGGCTCATGGCCCCTTCCTTGCAGCACTCCAAGCTCTTGCTTCTATTCTCACATCTTCTCTTTTGTGTCTAATCTCTCTGTGCCCCACTTTTATAAGGGACACTTGTGATTGCATTTAGAGTTGACCTGGATAATCCAAGATACTCTCCCCATCTCAAGACCCTTAACTCAATCACATCTGACAGTTACTTTTGGCATATAAGGTAACACTTACAGGTTCTGGGGCTTAGGACATGGACATCTTTGGGGATCAGTATTGAGCCGACCACAGACTTGATCACTTACTCACTAGGTGGCTGTGAACAAATCTCCTTCCATCTCAGTGCTTTAGTTTTCATATCTGGAGGAAAACAGGACTAGCCTTTCCTACTTTGTAGGGCTGTTGAGATGACTAAAGGAAATACTGTATGTGCTTTAGCCAGCCTGACGCCCAGCAGGCACAAACTATCTCCTCACTGCTCTTGAATAAGTGAAGCCTTGAAAGCTGAGTGCATTTGGAGGATTTCAGAAGAGAATGTAGGCATTCCAGGCTGAGAGACTGCCATCAACGAAGGCACAAAAGGCCGGGCGCAGTGGCTCATGCTTGTTATCCCAGCACTTTGGGAGGCAAAGGCAGGAGGATTGCCTAAGCCCAGGAGTTTGAGACCAGCCTAGGCAACATGGCAAGACCCCATTCTGTATTTAAAACAAACAAAGGCACCAAGGTAGCATGGTTTGTTTCAGGAGACAAAAGTAATCCAGAGAGGAGGGAGTAAAAGCTGTAGGTAGAGAAAGGAGGTATTGTTGAAGATGGGGCTGACCCATCTACAGGGCCTGATCAAGTGGGGACCATAGAACTTGATCCTGCTGTCAGCCATGGGGAGCCACTGAAGGGCTTATCAGGGTGTGATGTAGGGAGACATGGGCATTGGGAAGTTCATTCTGGGGCAGTGAGGGGTCAGGAGGGTTGTCAGGGGGACCAGTTGGCAGGCTGGCATGCCACTATGCCCTTGGAAGAAATTTAGGCATTGAGACAGGGCATTCCTTGGGGTAGCAGATGTGGTTCACTCTGCTGCGTCTGTAATGGGCTCTACCATACATATGAAGGCTGGAAAGTGCCATGATACATCAGTAAGCAAAAGCAGGTGACCTATTAACAAGAAGCAGTAATCAGGGAATATGGTGCTGACCTGAGGTCCAGGTGTCCACAAGACCAGTGGTTGGTGGCTGCTGTTGATCTCAGGAGCGGTGCTCCCTGTTTACCTTAGCACAATGGGAACTGGTGTCATTGTAATTCAGACCAGCAGTAAAAGAGCCTCTTGAGGGATCCTGAAGCCTTTCTCATTGCCATTTGGGGCAGAAGGTTTGGGTTGGTCAATGTAGATTCCAAACCCACAGGCAGACAGTTTCCCCTCTACTCCTGTGAGAAGTTGAATAATGGCCTGCAAAGATGGCCATGTCCTGATTCTCAGAGCTTGTGAATGCGATCTTATATGGCAAAAAAGACTTTGCAGATGGGATTTAGTTAAGGATCTTGACACGGGGAGATTATCTTGGATTATCTGGATGGGCCCTAAATAAAATCACAAGTGTTCTCATAAGAGAGAGACAGAGGGGGCCAGGCTCGGTGGCTCATGCCTGTAATCCCAGCACTTTGAGGCAGAGGTGGGTGGATCACAAGGTCAGGAGTTCCAGACCAGCCTGGCCAACATGGTGAAACCCCATCTCTATTAAAAATACAAAAATTAGCCAGGCTTGGTGGTGCACGCCTGTAATCCCAGCTACTCAGGAGGCTGAGGAAGGAGAATTGCTTGAATTCGGGAGGCGGAGGTTGCAGTGAGCCGAGATCGTGCCACTGCACTCCAGCCTGGGCAACAGAGTGAGACTCCGTCCCCCCGCCCCCCCCCAAAAAGGAGAGAGAGAGAGAGAGAGAGAGAGAGACAGAGGGACATTGCACACAGAGGAGAAGGGCCATGTGACCACTGAAGCATGATGCTCTGCTGCTGGCTTTGCAGATGGAGGAAGGGCCCATGAGCCAAGGAATGCCAAGAATGCAGCCGTAGATGCTGAAAAAACCAGGAAAATGGATTATACTCTAGAGCCTCCTGAGGGTGGGCAGCCCAGCATACACCTTGGTTTGGAGCCAGTGAAACTGATTTGGATTCTGACTTCCAGAAACGTAAGAGAATAAATATGTGTTTTTTTAAGCCACCAAGTTGTTAGTAATCTGTTATAACAACTGTAGGGAACAAATAAAACATTCCTGATGTGATCGGCTTCAAAAAGGCACTGCAATCAGAGGTATGCACTCAGGAACAGGGCATTTGGTGTCCATTTGCTCCTTGCTAAAGACAGTTTCCACTGGTCTGACTGAGCTGTGTTATGTGCAATGCCCTGCCTGCTCTGGAACTTGCTGGAATGTTCCATGGAATAATAGGAGGCATGCAGAGGGCCACACTGTTCAGTCCTGGCAGACCAGTTTGCCCAGTATAGAGGATCCTGCTCCCTTAGCCTAGAGCTGTGGGCAGAGCTTGCCTCTGCCTGGGCATCTGAAAGGGCAGAACATGGTTAAAAGGGGTATATGTTCATTATCTTAACAAATCTACTCTGCAGGGTCTACTCCAAGAAATGATTGAAACTTCCGGATTTAGTGATTTAATTCAAGTACTTATCTGTTCTTCAGTTATTTTCAAACAAGTCCTGCTAATTTAGAGGAACCTCGGAGTGTTGGGTGAAAAATTTAAGTGAGACCTCAAGGGAAGTGGAATCACAAGAAATAAAAAGAATTCCAGGGGAACCCCTTAGCTCTCACCTCTTTCATGTCTGGACCATCTACAGGCTCTGAGAGCTACTAGTGGATCAGAAAGTGAGGAGGGAAGAAACAAAGGCCTATGGGCCTTAGGCATTCTGCCTTGTGGCCAGGAAGACATACATTTTCCCATCTGCTTTGTGATCTCACCTTGGCAGAGGCCTTGCTGGCTCTTCCCCAGGTAGCTTTTGGCTTGCCCAGCAATCATCAGGCCTTTATGAGTTTCTACTCTGTGCCCTCAACTGTGCTTGGCTTAAAGTCTGAGCTATACAGTCATCTTTCTGTATCCACGGAGGATTGGTTCTGGGACCCCCCTGCAGATGCCAGCACCCAACGATACTCAATTCCCATGTATAAAATGGTGGGTTTTTTTGTTTTTGTTTTTTGCAAAGTATTGCTCTGTTGTTCAGGCTGGAGTGCCGTGGTGCGATCTCGGCTCACTACAAGCTCTGCCTCCTGGGCTCAAGCGATCCTCCCACTTCAGCCTCCTGAGTAGCTGGGACTTCAGGTGCATGCCACCACACCTGGCTGATTTCTGTAGAGACGGAGTTTCACCATGTTGCCTAGGCTGGTCTCCAACTCCTGGGCTCAAACAATCTGCCCACCCCAGCCTCCCAAACTGTTGGAATTATAGGTGTGAGCCACCATCCCCAGCCCGGTGTAATATTTGTGTGTAGCCAATGAACATTCTCCTTTATACTTTAAATTATGTCTAGATATAATAACTAATGCAATATAAATGCTATGCAAAAAGCTGTCAGACTGTATTGTTTTTTAAATTTGTAGTATTTTTACTGCTGTGTTGTTATTTTTCATTGTTTTTTTTTTCCCCAAATATTTTCTTTTCTTTTCTTTTCTTTTCTTTTTTTTTTGAGGTGGAGTTTTGTTCTTGTTGCCTAGGCTGGAATGCAATGGCTCGATTTCGGCTCACTGCAACCTCCACCTCCTGGGTTCAAGCGATTCTCTTGCCTCAGCCTCCTGAGGAGCTGGGATTACAGGTGTCTGCCACCACACCTGGCTAATTTTTTGTATTTTTAGTAGAGACGGGGTTTCACCAGGTTAGCCAGGCTGGTCTCGAACTCCTGACCTCAGGTGATCCACCCGCCTCGGCCTCCCAAAGTGCTGGGATTACAGGCATGAGCCACTGCTCCCAGCCTCCCCAAGTATTTTCAAACTGAGGTTGGTTGAATCCAAAGATGCAGAATCCAAGGATATGAAGGGCTGACTGTATTTGCTTATGAGTTTACCAAACAGTCACCAAGGGCCGTACTCCCTCTAAAGTTTCTAGGGAAGGATCTGTTCCAGGCCTCTCTCCTAGCTTCTGGTGGCTTCTGGCAATTCCTGGCATTCCTTAACTTGTAGATGCATCACTTCAATCTCTGTCTTTGTCTTCACATGGCCTTCTCCTCATGTGTCTCTGTCCTTGTGTCTTTACATGGCTTTAAAGTTTTCTTTTTTGATAGAGAGAGTCTTGCTATGTTGCCCAGGCTGATCTTCAATTCCTGGGCTCAAGCAATCCTCCTGCCTTGGCCTCCCAAAGCATTGGGATTACAGGCATGAGCCACTCGGCTACATGGCTTTTTCACAAGGACATCAGACATTGGATTTAGGGCCTACCCTACTCCATTATGACCTTACCTTAACTTGATTATATCTGTAAAGACTCTATTTCCAAATAAGGGCACATTGACAGGCACCAGGGGTTAGGACATTACCATATCTTTTTAGGGGATTTGATTCAACCCAGAACACCTTCCAGTCTTGGCAATATCTTGCAGCTTTGGAGCAAAGCCGACGGTCCCTCCCATCCAGGGTCAATTGTATTTCTTTTCCTTCTCTTAGCTAGGACATCAGGATGAGAAGCAGACATCTTCAGGGCTGGGTGCAGTGGCTCGTACCTGTAATCCCAGCACTTTGGGAGGCCGAGGCAGGAGGATGGCTTGGCCCCAGGAGTTCAAGACCAGCCTGGGCAACATAGTCAGACCCTATGTCTACAAAAAATTTTGAAGAATTAGCCAGGCATGGCATCACGTGCCTGTAGTCTCAGCTACTCAGGAGGCTGAGGTGGGAGGATTGCTTGAGCCCAGGAGTTTGGGGCTGCCATGAGCTGTGACTGAGCCACTACACTCCAGCCTGGGTGACAGAGCAAGATCCTAACTTTAGAAAAAAGATAATAATAAAATGAAATCAAATTGGCTGTGGTAATGGTTGCACAACTCTGTGAATGTACTCAAAACCATTGAATTACTTACTTTAAATTGGTGAATGGTATGGAATGTGAATTATATCTCAATAAAGGTGTCCAAAAATATGTCATGGATTCGTGCTATTCTTACATATATACTCATATAATATATAGTTCCTATTCTACTAAACTTATATGAGGGCCTCACCCTCAGCTATCTTGTTATTACATGGTTGTTTTGTTTAATTACGTTGGGTTAGTTCCACCCATAGTTTTGAATGATCACTGGAATTCAACTGATATGCAACAAGTAAACCTAAGTCTCCAAGTAAACCTAAGTTTCCTAAATAACCTGTACTTTGTTCTTTAGGATAATTGGTATTTACCCATAGTCTGTTTTGTTCTATAATGCTAAGACTGGCCTTTAGCTTAACGGATGTATCAGTTTCCTATTGTTGCTGTAGCTAATTACCACAAACTTAGTGACTTCAAACAACACAAATGTATTGCCCTACAATTCTGGCTATCAGATTTTTTTCTTTTAGACTCCAGCCTGTCTCCCAGGCTGGAGTGCAGTGATGCAATCCCGGCTCACTGCACCCTCCGCCTCCCAGGTTCACGCCATTCTCCTGCCTCAGCCTCCCCAGGCAGCTGGGATTGCAGGCGCCTGCTACCATGTCCAGCTAATTTTGTATTTTTAGTAGAGATGGGGTTTCACCATCTCGGCCAGGCTGGTCTTGAACTCCTGACCTCGTGATCCACCGGCCTCGCCTCCCAAAGTGCTGGGATTACAGGCGTGAGTCAACACGCCCGGCCCAGAAAACTTAAAATGAGGGTGTCAGCAAGGCTGCATTCCTGCTGGAGGCCTAGGGGACAATCTATTTCCTTGCCTTTTTGTAGCTTTCAGAGGCCACCTGCCTTCCTTGGCTCATGGCTCTTTCTTCCATCTTCGAAGCCAGCAGCACATTTTCTTTTCTTTTTTTTGAGACGGAGTCTCGCTCTGTCTCCCAGGCTGGAGTGCAGTGGCATGATCTTGGCTCACTGCAAGCTCCACCTCCCGGGTTCATGCCATTCTCCTGCCTCAGCCTCCCGAGTAGCTGAGACTACAGGCGCCCACCACCACGCCCGGCTAATTTTTTGTATTTTTAGTACAGACAGGGTTTCACTGTGTTAGCCAGAATGGTCTTGATCTCCTGACCTCGTGATCTGCCCGCCTCGGCTTCCCAAAGTGCTGGGATTGCAGGCATGAGCCACCGCGCCCGGCCTAGCACAACATTTTCAAATCTCCAACTCTGACCCCCCGCCCACCTCTTCAAAGGACCCTTGTGATGACATTGGGCCCACCTGGAAAGTCCAAAATAATCTCATCTTGAGATCATTAACTTAATCACATCTACCCCTTTTAGCATGTAAGGTCACATATTCACAGGTTTCAGGAATAAGGACAAGGCCATCTTGGGGGGCTGTTATCCAGCCTACCACAGTGCAGTTCCTTTTTATTTATTTATTTTATTTTTATTTTTATTTTTTTGAGACCAAGTTTCGCTCTTGTTGCCCAGGCTGGAGTGCAATGGTACATTCTCAGTTCGCTGCAACCTCCACCTGGCGGGTTCAAGTGATTCTCCTGCCTCAACCTCCTGAGTAGCTGGGACTACAGGCACCCGCCACCACACCTGGCTAATGTTTTGTATTTTTAGTAGAGACGGGGTTTCACCACGTTGGCCAGGATGGTCTCGAACTCCTGACATCAGGTGATCCACCCATCTCGGCCTCCCAAAGTGCTGGGATTAGAGGCGTGAGCCACCGCGCCCAGCCACAGTTCCTTTTTAGAGATAATATTTAATACAGAGTCTCTCAGAAGACTACCAGTGAGAGCTAAAAGAGAAGGAAGAGGTCCGGGCACCTATAATCTCAGCACTTTGGGAGGCCAAGGTGGGAGGATGGCTTGAGTCCAGGAGTTTGAAACCATGCAGCCTGGGCAGCATGGCGAAACCCCATCTATACAATAAATACAAAAATTAACCAGGCATGGTGGCACGCGCCTGTAGTCCTAACTACTCAGGAGGCTGAGGTGGAAGGGTCATTTGAACCCGGGAGGTTGAGACTGCAGTGAGCCATGATTGCGCCACTGCACTCCATCTTAGGCGACGGAAATGAAATCCTCTCTCAAAAAAGTACAAATAAAAAAAAGAAAGAAGAGACTTCACAACCTAGTTATTCTATGTCTTCTGTAGAGGATCCTCCCATTTGGAGATACCACAAGGAAAAATCTGCTTTCCTGTGTGATGTAGCCTCTCCACCACTTCCAGTCCCAGGGCACTGCTTTGCACGACCAACATGCTTGGTAACCATGGGCCCAAGGCTGACTGGGTCCCTGCCTCAGGAGAGGATGAAGGGCAGTCTAAAAGGGTCCCAGTGGATGGACTGTTTCAAGGCCATCACTAAAGAATCTTTTTAATTAACAATTCCACTCTTCTTGGGGGCTAATTTAAATCTCTCCTACCATGATGGAAGGCCATGTCATTTGCTCTTGTTTGCGTCTCAGGGCAAACAAGAAATGTACAATAGCTTCTGAACAGAACATCCATATCCTGGAAAAGCACCATTAATTTACTCTGAGGCCTTTGCAGTAGGTGAAATCATCTCAGTTCCTTTATTTTTCTTCACAGGGCCTTCTTTCACAGAAACTACCCACACTGCAGCAAATGTTACTCCTGTTCTTCTAAAAGACCCGGAAATTCTCCTATGTCCAATCCTTCACTGCTGACAGATACTCATTGAGTGATCTGCTGTGAACTCACCGTCTTTCCTTCTTGCCCCACTGGTCTGGCTTTCTGTCCCCGGCTGATTTTTGCTTGTTTCATTGTAGGCAGGCATTGTGGCAGAATAGAAGGAACGTGAAATTTGGAATCAGAAAACATGGATTGGAATTCAGCTGTGAACCTGCTGGCTGTGTGATCTTTGGCCAGCCACCTCCCCTCCAGAACCTAGGTTTCTTCATTTGAAAGGGGGAGAAGTGGTTAAAAATCCCTGTGTTGGCTGGGTGCAGTGGCTCACACCTGTAATCCCAGCACTTTGGGAGGCCAAGGTGGGTGGATCACTTGAGGCTAGGAGTTCGAGACTAGCCTGGCCAACACAGCGAAACCCCATCTCTACTAAAAAACAGAAAAATTCAGCTGGGTGTGGTGGCACACACCTGTAATCTCAGCTATTCCGGAGGCTGAGGCATGAAAATCGCTTGAACCTGGGATGCAGAGGTTGCAGTGAGCTGAGATCATGTCACTGCACTCCAGCCTGGGCAACAGAGTGAGACTCTGTTTCAAAAAAAAAAAAAAATCCCTGTGCTCAGTCAAGTTTGATGGCTCATGCCTGTAATCCCAGCACTTTGGGAGGCTGAGGCCAGAGGATCACTTTGGGACCAGCCTGGGCAGCATAGTGAGATGCTGCTTCTACAGAAACATAAAATAGCCAGGCATGGTGGTGTGTGCCTGTAGTGCTAGCTACTTGGGAGGCTGTTGTTGGAGGGTTGTTTGATCCCAGGAGTTTGAGGCTGCAGTGAGCCATAATTGTGTCACTGCACTACAGTCTAGGTGACAGAGCAAGACACTGTCTCAAAAAAAAAAAAAAAAAAAATTGCCCATGCTCAGTCTCTCCCTCCAAAGGTGTGGGGGTGGGGCAGGAGGCTCCTCAGGACCTGCTAATGAAATGTTGCTTTTCCCAAATCTCTTGATGAAGTTGTAGCAAAAGGAGCTCCGACTGAACTTCCTCTTCAGAAGCCCTTGGGGAATTGAGACATTGAGCCCAACAGAATGTAAATCAAAGAAGCCATCCTTGCCATTAACTCAAAATGGATCCAAGACTTAAATACGACAGCTACAACTTTCAAAACTATAAAATTCTTAGAAGAAAACATAGGGGTAAATCTTTGTGACCTTGGCAATGGTTTCCTTCATATGGGAACAAAAATACGAGCAACCAAAGAAAAAAATAAATAAATTGAACTTCATCAAAATTAAAAACATTTCTGGCTGGGTGCAGTGGCTCACACCTGTAATCCCAGCATTTTGGGAGGCTGAGAGGAGTAGCTCACTTGAGGTCAGAAGTTCAAGACCAGCCTGGCCATTATGGTGAAACCCTGTCTCTACTAAAAGTACAAAAATTAGCCGGATGTGATGGCGCACACCTGTAACCCCAGCTACTCGGGTGGCTGAGGCAGGAGAATCACTTGAACCTAGGAGGCGGAGGCTGCAGGGAGCCGAGATTGCACCACTGCACTCCAGCCTGGGTGACAGAGCAAGACTCTGTCTCAAAAAAAAAAAAAAAAAATTAAAAACATTTCTGCTTCAAAGAATATGTCTTGTGGAGAATACTTCTTTGCAGTTATATTGTCTTTATAACCCTGAATAAAAAATTGCATGTGCAGAGTTCTGGCATAAGGATAGACATATAGGTCAATGGATGTCTATTCGATGGAGTAGAATTGAGATTCCAGAAACAAAACCTCACAGCTATGGTCAATTGCTTTTCCACAAGTGTGCCACAACAATTCAATGGGAGAAGGAATAGTCTTTTCAGCAAATGGTACTGGGAAAATTGGACATTCACATGCAAAAGAATGAATTCGGACCTCCTCCTTCACATCATATACAAACATTAACTCAAGGTGGATCACAGACCTTAATGTAAGAGCTAAAACGCTAAAATTGTTAGAAGAAAATGTAGGTGTCAATCTCCATGACCTTGAATTAGGCAATGGTTTCTTAGATATGACACCAAAAGCACAAGTGACTGTGATGGTTAATTGTATGCGTCAACTTGACTGGGCTAAACAATGCCCAGATATCTGGTCAAACATTATTTCTGGCTGTACCTATGAGAATGTTTCCAGAAGAGATTAGCATATGATTTGGTAGACTCAGTAAAGAAAAGCCTCCCTCCCCGCTGTGCGTAGGCATCAGCCAGTCTGTGGAGGGCCCTAAGAGAACAAAAAGGCAGAAGAAAGGTGAATTTGCTCTCCCTGCTTGAGCTGGGACATCCATCTTCGCCTGTCTTCAGACATCAGTGCTCCTCGTTCCTGGCCCTTCAGACTTACACTGAATTACATCATTGACTTTCCTGGTTCTCCAGCCTACACAGACAGCAGCTCAAGGAGATTCTTGGCTGATTCTTCCATATTATGTGTGTGTGTGTGTGTTGCTGTGCTCATATAAGTATGGTTGTGGTGTGGTTGCTATTCTCAGCTGGACGAGAGAAGACTCTTGAGGTGGGCTAGTATCTGTCTTAAATTCCTTAAGGGCTATAAAAGAGAGAAGGAATTCAACTTTCTCTCCAAGTCAGAGCCATAAAAATGGGAACAAAAGAAGGTTGTTACAGGGAAACAGGCTTCAGCTCAAGGTAGCAGGGAATTTCCTACAGGGCTTTACCAGGAGGCAAGGGGCTGCCTCAAGAGGTGGTGAGGAGAGGAGAGGTGTCCAAGCAGAGCCTGGACGAGCCCTTGGTGGTGTCATGCTGCGTGTAGCAGTCTGGGCCAGACAGCCTCCAAGCCTCCAACCTTGAGAAGCTCGGGTTTTGTGGATTACACAGCGAGTCAGGTGATGACTCTGCAGGGAGGCTGCCAGCATTCTCTGTGATGCTCTTGTGAACTGGAGAAAGGCCAATTTGCTTCAGCAAGGAGAAAGGAAGAGGCCGACAGTAAATTCCTGTGATGGCAGGCACCCTTTAGGAAATGGACTGTGTAAGCAGGTGGGGGAGCCTCTCCTCCTGGGCTGTGAAAGAAAACAGGGCTCCCTCTAGCTCCTCCTGAAAATTGGACAGGCAGCTCTCCTTCTCTCTCTCTCCTTTTGGGATGGCAGCTCCACGAGAGACCAGCCTGGGGGATATGTTAAAGGCATAAGAAAGGGTAGGTCTCTGTGGGCACAAGAACTTGAGGCTTTCCCGAGGTGGGAGGACAAGGTTAGGCTGTGGCTGGGTGGGACTGGCTCACACCGAGTGGAGGGCTACCCCTTTCACATCCCACCTGGAAATGCTCCTGCAAAGATGGAGTGAGAGCCTCTCCCTTTTCTGCCCACCTTCCTCTCAATATGGAGGAACCCACCTCCCCGCAAAATGCTGCTCTACAGTCCTTTGGCAATTTTCCTTTTGAAAAGCTGACCAATAAAGTCCACATATCATATACTTCCATTCAAATGAAAGTCCAGACTAGGAAAATCTACACAGACAGAAAGTAGGTTACTGGCTGCTTAGGGTCAGGGGGAGAGAGATGTAGGAGGAAAATAGTTTAAAGGGTATGAGGTTTCTTTGGGGAGTGACAAAAATATCTAAAATTGGCTGGTGATGGTTGCACAGCTCCGTTAATACACTACAAACCATTAAATTGTACACCTCAAATGGGTGACTCTGTGCTATGTGAATTATATTTCAATAAAGCTGTTTAAATGAAAGAAAGCTGATTGTTGGACAGTCCTTCCTTAGCTGCCCCACCTCGCTTTATTTCCAAGGAGCCCTGGAAGAACGTGTGCCGTGGATCCTTCTGCACCTGGCCTGTACCAGGGCCACTCTTGGGAATGTTGTTGCTCGTGCTGGGCGCCACTCTGTGGGGCTGGGCACCTCGTTGTGATTGCAGATGGTTGGCCAATGCACCGTGTGTGTGCAGCAATGAGAACTATGTGGAAGGCATTTAATACAGTGACTCACAGGGTCATGCTTGGAAAATTAATTCAAATTGGCTTGCATCAAGCCAAGGAAAACTGTCTGAAGAGGCTGTAAACAGAAGGTAATGGATTGAGCTGAAGCAGGGCTAGAGGGAAGGCACAGGGGGAGACAGCTGGCAGGAGGGGGTTGGTGTGGGGACCTGGTTGGGGGTGGGGCACAGAGGCTGAAGTCCGGGAACTCCATCTCCTGCCAGTTCCTCTCCCCACTCTGGAGTCCCCGGTACCTGGCCTGCTTCCCCTGGTCACACTGATCCTTGTCACTCCTGGGCATCCCGGGCATTTAGATATTTCTGTTTGCACTTTCTCTCTGTCCCGACTGGGAGCTCCCTGAGGGCAGGAAGGCGGTATCTGTAGACAAAGGAGAGCTATGAGTTCCCCGAGTGTCTGCCCCGCGAGTCCCTGGTGGGCTGCCAAGGGGCCCCAGCTTTTTAAACCCACACCTCACCAGTAAAAATATGAATGCAAACTTTACCTCCAGTGGTTTGCGCTGGGAAAATACAGCTCTCCTTATGGGTTTTCTAAAGAGATGTTATAATTTTTTTTAACAGATTTATTGAGGTATAATGTAGATACCACAAATTGCAAGTGTATAACTCAGTAATGTTTAGAAAATTTATAGAGTTGTGCAATCATCACCACCATCTCTGCTCAGAACATTTCCATCCCTAAATATGTCTTTTAAACTATGCCTTACCCCATATTCTGATGCACACAGGGACGTAAGATGTCCCCTTTCTTCCCCTCCCCAGTTCTGGAAAGTGAAAAGCTCAGTGACCTGGGGTCCTGCCATCTGTGTAGACACCAGCTGGACCCAGTTGTTGGGCTCTAGACTTGCAGGTAGCAGAGCTCTCAGCTTTTGCCCTGCCCTCCTGGCATTGTAAGAGCATCTCTCCCTGCACAGCTGGGAGCTAGGGTAAGGAGGCTTCCAGACGCTTCCTGGGCAGAGTCTTTGGGTCTGGGATTCCTTTCCCAGGCATTCAAACGCCTCTCACCCCAACCCCCAGCAGACACATTTACGATCCCCACAGCTGGTGGTGCGACCACAGCCAAGCAAGACCAGTCTTGGGCAGACAGAACAGAATGTGAACATCCATAGGAAACCCAACTCCTTCAGAGAGGGGCGAGAGGCCTTGCACATTTGTCATGACCCCCTGGCTCAATGCCTCTCCCGGCTGAGTGAATTCAAACAAACTTTTCCTGAGTGCCAACTAGGGGTCAGGGTTCAGGTGAGGAGGCCCTGCAAGGGATGGGGACATGACAAGACATGGTTCAGGCCTTGGGGAGCTCCACATTCTCCAGAGTGGAAGAAACAAGGTGCATTAGTTTCCTGCCACTGCTGTAAGGAATTGCTACAAGTTTAGTGGTTTCAAGACAATGCAAATTTATTACTTTCTTTGGTTTGTTTTTTGAGACAGGGTCTCATTCTGTCTTTCAGGCTAAAGTGCACTGGAGCCATCACAGCTCACTGCAGCCTCGACCTCCCAAGCTCAAGCAATCCTCCCACCTCAGCCTCCCAAGTAGCTGGGACCATACCTAGGTGCATGCCACCACGCCTAGCTAATTATTTTGTTATTTTTGTAGGGCCAGGGCCTTGCTATGTTGTCCAGGCTGGTCCCAAACTCCTGGGCTCAAGCAGTCCTCCTACTTCGGCCTTCCAAAGTTTTGGGATTACAGGTGTGAGTCACTGTGCCTGGCCACCAATTTATTATCTTACAGTTCTAGAAGTCAGGAGTTTCGGATGGGTGTCACTGGACTAAAGTTAAGACAGGGCTGCATTCCTTTTGGAGGCTCTAGGAGAGAATGTGTTTTCTTGCCTTTTATGCCTTCTAGAGGCTGCCTACATCCCTTGGCTTGTGGCCACATCACTTCTCCTTCTGCTTCCATCATCACATCTTCTTCTCTGATTCTCACCTTCCTGCCTCCCTCTTATAAGGACCATTTGTGATTACAGGGGGCTGGCTCAAATAATCCAGGATAATTCTCTCATCTTAAAATCCTTAACTTAATCACATCTGCTAGGTCTCTTTTGCCATTTAAGGTAACACACTCACAGGTTCTAGGAATTAGGACATGGACATCTTTGGGGGCCATTATTCTCTTCACCATGTAAGGCCTGAGTTGGGCAGCCCTGTGGGTGCCACCCAAGTGGGGCAGGTGAGAACGCTCCAGGCAGTGGGGCCTGGCCTTGTGACAGCCTCCACGATAAAGGAGCTTTGGCACTAAGGATGGCTTTCATTTCTAGAAAGTAAAGTTTGAGGAATAAGTTGAGGGATCAAGGATAATATGCAGTTAGAAGGACAACCAAAGTGTGACCGTAAGTCAGTGTGCCTGGGGTTCGTTCATCTAAAGCCAAAAGTAGCCTTGCAAATGTTACCTAAACATGAGATTGTGCTGGCGCACACCTGCATTCCCAGCTACTTGGGAGGCTGAAGCAGGAGAATGGCTTGAACCCAGGAGTTTGAAGCTATACTATATTATGATGGCACCTGTGAATAGACAGTGTACTCCAGCCTGGACAGCCAGGTGTGACTTCAGCTCTAAAATTAATAATAATAATAATAATAATAATTACATATGTGGCCCACATTATAAATAGATAAATAAAACATACAAGTCTATTTCTTGTATGTTTTACAAGAAAGGAAAAGAAAGGAAGTGGTGCAGGAGACCTGAGTTCATACTTTTTAAAAACAAGCTTTAATTTTGAAATGATTTTAAACTTATAGAAAAGTTGTGAGACTAGTACAAAGAACTCATTACTGACTGGGTGTGGTAGCTTATGCCTGCCATTCCAGCACTTTGGCAGGCTGAGGTGGGAGGATCACTTGAGGCCAGGAGTTTGAGACCAGCCTAGGCAACATAATGAGACCACATCTCTACTAAAAATAAAATAAAATAAAAATTAGCCAGCTGTGGTGCCATGTGCCTGTAGCCCCAGCTACTCAGGAGGCTGAGGTGGGAGGATGGCTTGAGCCCAGGAGATAGAGGCTGCAGTGAGTTATGATTGCGCCGCTGCATCCCAGCCTGTGGCAGTGTGAGACACTGTCTCAAAACAAAGCAAAACAAAACAAAACAAAAGGACTCTTTACCTCTTTAACCTTTCTGTGGATTCCCAATTGTTAACATTTTACCATATGTGTCTTATGGTTCTCTCTCTCCTGCTCTGTCTCTCTCACTATTATTTTTACCAAATCATTTGAAAGTAAGTTGCTGACCTGACGCTCCATTACCCCTAAATAGTTGAGTGTGTGTTTTCTAAAATTAAAGACACTGTCCTACAAAACCATAGTACACCAATGAGAATCAGGAAATTAGCATTTGACATTACCTAATCCATAGATTTTACTTAAATTTCCCTGATTGTCCAAATAATTAATGCTCTTTGTAGTGAAAACAACAAACAAACAAACAAAAATCTTTGCCATCATCATCAACATCATCATCATCATCAACAACAACTTTATTTTTCCTGGTTTTCTTTCTCGTCCAGGATCCAATCCCAGACCATATGTTGCATGTAGTTGTGTTGTCTCTTTGGTCTACTGCAATCTGGAATAGTTACTCAGTCTTTCCTTGTTCCTTATGACCTTGACATTTTTGAAGAGTACAGGCCAAGTATTATATAGAATGTCCCTCAGTTTGGATTTGCTTGATATTCCCTCTGGAATACCTTGGGAGTGATGTGTTCTCAGTACACCCTATCAGGTGGCATATAATATGGATTAATGTAATATGGAGTAATGATACGGAATAACGATAATGCTATCATTACTGATAACATTAACTTTGATCACTTGATTAAAGTGTTATTTGTCAGATCTTTCCACTGTAACGTGAATTAGCAGGGCTTTTGTACTTATTAATTTATAAACAATTAATAAGTATCGGGGGAGGTATCTTGCGATTGTATAAATTTCTGTTCCTCATTAAACTTTCACCCACTAGTTTTAGCATCTATTGATACTTCCTGCCTGAATTAGTTGTTATCATTATGGTTGCCAAATTATGATTTTCTCATGCTATCGTTCCTTCTACATTTATTAGCTGGCGTTCTGCTCTAGGAAGGGCCTTCCCTTCTCTCCCATTTGTTTGCCTGTTTGTTTATATCGGCATGGGCTCATGAACTCCTATTCCATGGTTTATATACAATTCGTTGTTTATTTTGATGCTCATATCGTCCCAGACTTGGTCAGTGGCAGCCCCTTTTCTCATGGTCCCATCATTCTTTGAACACATCCTGACTTTCTTGGCAGCACCGGATGTTTCAGGTTCATCTTGAAACTTCACTGTCCCAGGGAATCAACCATTCCTCTTAAGAAACCTGGTTCCTTTCAGTGGACAATATTATTCAGAAACTAAGATCTGGGTGCTGGGTATGCTCATTGCCACCAGGGTGTCATTGCTTCTAGGCCCTCTCAGCGGACAGAACTAGGAAACAGATGGATGTATAATCATGCACATGCACACACGCTACTATAGATTGACTCTGTATGTCCCTTTCCCAAATTCCTGTGCTGAAATTGCCACACACAAGGTGATGGTATTATGAGGTGGGGCCTTGGGGAGGTGATTAGGTCATGAGGATGGGGCCCTCATGAATGGGATTAATGCCTACATAAGAAGAGGCCCCCCGGACAGGTGCCGTGGCTCACACCTGTAATCCCAGCACTTTGGGAGGCCGAGGTGGGTGGATCACGAGGTTAGGAGTTCGAGACCAGCCTGGCAAACTTCGTGAAACGCCATCTCCACTAAAAATACAAAAATTAGCCGGGCATGGTGGTGTGTGCCTGTAATCCCAGCTACTCAGGGGGCTGAGACAGGGGAATTGCTTGAACCTGGGAGGCAGAGGTTGCAGTGAGCCAAGATCATGCCACTGCACTCCAGCCTGGGTGACAGAGCGAGACTCTGTCTCAAAAAAAAAAAAAAAAAAAAAAAAAAAAGAAAAGAAAAAAAAAAAGAAGAGGCCTCAGAGAGCTCCCTTACCCCTTCTGTAATGTGACGACACAGGGGAAAAACAGCTATCTATCTAAAACCGGGAATTCACACCAATTCTTGCCATTTGAATCCAACAATCAGAGTTGATTCTTGCATGCCACTCTTCCATATTTACACTTCCCTCCCCACCCGTGCCAAGAAACCTGATTCTTATAATCCTCAACATATTTTTTTTTTGCTCAATTTCCCCATATGGCCACTAATCTCCTTGTCACAAAGGCCATCTCAGCTATTGCCCTATTGCACCTGCCAGCTGTACCTGCTGAAGCACCCTGTCCTGGCACTGCCAAAGGCTGGCTGTGCCAGTTGAGTTTGCCTGAACCCGACACCACCCTGCTCCATAACCTTGGCCTGCTCCCTCTGTCTAGCCCAGGCAAAGGGAGTGGCAAGGAGAAATTTGTGCCTTTTCTGAGCAATGAGCAGAGCACTGTGTGTGTGGCCATAGTGTCAGGAAAGGGTCGCAAGTGACATGAGATGAGGAGAGAGCCCTGGGCTTTGTTTCCACGCTACCCCCCGCCCCCGGGAGAGTGAGGAGTTTGGACTGGGTCAGTGCTTCTCAGACTGTGGCTCACAGACACCCAGAGGCTGCTGCTGACTACAGGGGAGGCTTGGGCAGATCCTGGAGAAGTAAGGAATCTGGATCAGTACCGGGCCCTGTGGGGACTGGAGCTATGAAGACTGTGAACTGGAGTGAGCAGATCAAATTCGCATTTGATTTAGCGGCTCTAGTGATCAAGTGAGTGTTCAATGGGGAGGTGGGAGCAGACAGAGGAGGGAAAAGACTGGAGGCAGAGACTCGTTAGGAGGAGGCTGTTGCGGGAGGCCAGGGAGGGGGAATGGGTGTAGGAACTATGGCAGGGGCAGAAGAGGAAACAAGCCACAGGATGGCCAAGGTCAGGGAACACCTCTCCATGCTGTGGCACTTAGAGACCAGCTGTCTGAAGTCAGGTTGGAGAGGCCTCAGGCAGAGACTGAGAGAGACTGGGAGAGAGCTGCTGGGGGAGGGGGAAGGCAGAGGGAGCTGAAGGGAGGGGTTTTTTGATGTGGAGGTGACAGTGGGATCTCAAAGAGAAGCCTCTGCACCGGGTAGATAAAGGTCCAGAATTCAGAAGAGGCACTGTACGGGGGAAAACTCATCAAGGTCAGAAGCAGGGAGCTCTCCAAGTGGCAGAGAATGTGGGGCCCCTGGAGGAGACCTGGGTATTAGACAGTTGAGGTGGTGGGAGTGTGGGGCAGAAAAAGGAGGGCCAGGGCAGGAGGCAAAGGGAAGAGGGGGAAGGAAGGAGGGGAGACAAGCAAGAGCATGTCCTGAACAGCGGCTCACCCTGGCAGAGTAGGATCCACGGCTGGTCCTGGCCAGTGACCTGCTGGGATTGCTGGATTGACTGTTGGCTGTAAGCTCCAGCAAATGCTGGAATCACCTGGGAGATCATCCAGCATCTCCAACCTCCCCTACCTGAAGGAAGCCTGAGCTGGTCACCTGCTCATCCATATGGGCCCTATTCAACCCTATGGATGTCTCTAACAGTCTTTAAACACCCTCTCCTCCAGGCAGGCAGCCATGATTTGCAGGAAGCTCTGAGGATTCAGATGTTCCTGAAGGGTCGCATGTAATTCCCATCTCAAACTTTCCTTTCTACCGTTGACAATTTCAACAGGATTACCCACTTTCGTATCACTGGACCCCAGTGGTGCGTGTCCCAATTTTCCTAAAGGGAGCACCCTACAGTGGCCCAGAATCAGTTACTGATGATGCCGCTCTATCTTAACTCCTACCTAGGCAGTGAAGAGAAGATGAGGCCATTCCTGGAAGCAATGTAACAGTGTATGTCGACAGCAACAAGAATAGTCATGTCACCCATGAGCATATGTGACACTCTGTGGCAGGCCCTGACCCAGCCTGGTATGCCTTGGTGTCTTGGCTACTCTTCCAACCCGGTTCCCTCCTCTGTCTAGAGCCTGGAGCTGGCCCCTAACTGCTCTGCCTCCGCCATCCTGTGAAGGCCCAGAACTCTAGTAGAGGTCTGCTTGCCTGCTTGGAGTGCTCATGACAGCTATGGCTGGAGCCTGAGCAGAGGGCTGGCCCCGAGAGCCTGGTCCTCTTTCTGGCTCCTGCATGGCACTATCCTCCAGGCTCCTCATCAGAAGCACCCAAAGCACCATAGGCTTCTTAACCTAGCACATCTGGAGTGAGGCAGGGGACCCAGCACAACAGAGATCACAGGCCAGCCTTGGAAGCAACAGGCTGCCTCGGGTCCTGTTGGATTCATCTGGCTGGCTTCTTCATAAGTGTGTGCTTTATAGACCATTAGCAGTCAGTGATTATTTGTTGCTGACTTTGAAAGCTGTGTCATAACCCACTTAGCTTACTTGGGCAGTCAATTCGTTGATCTGTACAGCGTAGGGGTGGAGCTCAGGGTGTTCCCAGGCCCTGAGGAGAGCTGCAGGGGAGGGCCCAGCAGACAGGGCCAACTCTCACTGCGCCCGTCCTGAAGCCGGTGGTAATTATTGTCAATTTGATTCAACGCACATTTCCCAGCAGGCCCCCAGTGAGAGCCCCTGGACAGGTGCCACGGGGATACAAGGTGAAGCAGCAGCTCTGGCCCTGACCTTGGTTTGCTGTGGTTGCTCTGGTCTTGTATGCAACCTGGAGGCATGCTCACTATTCCAGTTATGCTTCTCTCCACAGTCACTATGGCTGCCCTTGCTGGACTACCTGGCTGTCCTGATAAGCTGGGAAGCAGGCAGATGCAGTGGCCTGGGTGAAGAATATGGTGTTCACAAAGCCATGAGGAAGAAAGGTCGGTCCCCTAGGTTAAAAGGGGAACAGGATGGAGTTAGTTTTTTGTTTTTGTTTTTAAACAAAACACCTAGAGAGTGTTTCAAAAATACACACTCCTTTGACCAAGCCTTTAAATCTCACTGCCAGGTGACAGGAAATACAGGAGCTAGGCACATGTGTCTCTCTAGCAGCAGGGGAACACCTTTCATTCATTCATTCAGTCAGTCAGATACTCTTAAGTATTGACTGAGCATTTACTAAGCACTCAGATGCCAAGAATACATACAACCTTGAACAAGAAAACACAGCCTCAGGCTGGGCGCAGTGGCTCATGCCTGTAATCCCAGCACTTTAGGAGGCCAAGGTGGGCAGATCACGAGGTCAGGAGTTCGAGACCAGCCTGACCAACATGGTGAAACCTCATCTCTACTAAAATTACAAAAATTAGCCTGGCATAGTGGCTGGTGCCTGTAATCCCAGCTACTCAGGAGGCTGAGGCAGGAGAACCACTTGAACCCTGGAGGCAGAGGTTGCAGTGAGCCGAGATTGCACGACTGCACTCCAGCCTGGCAACAGAGCGAGACTCCGTCTCAAAAAAACAAAAACAAAACAAAACAACACAACAACAACAAAAAACAGCCTCTGCCCCGGCAGAACTCACAGTCTAGTGGGAAAGATCTACAAGCAGAGAATGATAATATGGCCCAAGAGCTGCTGGGACAGAGGCACTCAGTGGGCATATAGCGGCAGGTCCCTCTTGGCCAAGGCTGACCCTGGGCAGCAGTAATCCCTACCTGCTCTATAAAGAGGGAGGCAGACATGCAAATCAATGAGCTCAGTGGTTGGCAAACTTGAGTGTGCATCAACATCCCATGGAGGGCTCGTTCAAATGCAGATTCCTGGGTGTCAGACCAGAGTTTCTGATTCAATAGGTCTGGGATGGGGCCAGACCATTCATGTTTCTTACAAGTCCCCATGTGATGCTGATGCTGCTGGTCCGGGAACCACACCTCATCAGCTCCCCAGACTGTCAGGCCCTGGGACAGAAATCTGCACCAGAAGGGAAGCACCCCAAGGGGAAGGAGGACAGCAGGCTTGGGGAAGTAATGGGCTCAGCTGGGAAAGACTTGCACCTATAGAAAAGCAGCTGTATTAGCTCCCTATCACTGGTTGAACAAACTGCTACAAACTTCGTGGCTTTAAGCCACACACATACATTACCTTATAGCTCTGGAGGTCAGAAGTCTGAATGGGTTTCACCGGGCTAAAGTCAAGGCATTAGTCAGCAGGGCTGTGTTTCTTCTGGAGGCTCCAGGGAAGAATCTGTTCCTTTGTCTTTCCAGCTTGTAGAGGCCACTTGCAGTCTTCGGTTCACGGCTGCATTTCTGAACTCTGCTTGCCTGGTGTCACCACATCTTCTCTCTGACCCTCCTGCCTCCCTCTTCCCTATTTAAGTCCATTGTGACTAGTGTGGTCCCACCTGGATAAGACAGGACACTCTCCTCTTGTCAAGATCCTTAATCACATCTGCACAGACCTTTTTGTCATATAAGATCACATATATATTCATGGGTTCTGGGGATTGGGACACGGACATCTTTTAGGAGACAGTATTCAGCTGTCCACAGCAACTGAGGTTAGGACCAAAGAGTAATAGCAGCTAATCTCAATGTGGCATCTAGTACGGGGCAGGCGCTGCCCTGAGGGTGTCACATCCACCCTCCCTGATTTTCACTGCAGCCCCCCGTAGTAGATCTTAGGGGCACCCCAGTTTTATGGCCAAGGAACCAAACTTAGAGAGTTGAAGTGCCATGCCCAAGGTCATATTGCTAGTAAGTGATGGAGCTGGGCCAGTCTCTCTGGCCCCAGAGCCCATGTTTTTGGCCGTTGGTCTGGACTCTACTGCTTCGGTAGTGCAGCTCAGGTTGGTAAGAAACTTCAATCTTCAAGACAAGTCCTTCTGGGCTTTCTTCTCTCCCTACTTCCCACCCTGCCTTCATCCAGACCCCACTCTCTGTATGCAGCACTTGGCTCCTTGCCCCTCAGTCTCCTTTCTGCCAGGGGACCCACTACTGACCATTTTATTGCCCTCAGTTCTTGTAGCCCAGAGGCCTTCACCTCTGCCCAGCTTCCAGATATCCCTCAGCAGGAAGGAGAAAAGACTCTCTGAAACCAGCAAGGGCTTCTGGGAGACTGGTGCCTGTTCTTTCGCTTCAGGGAAAGGGGCAGAGTTGTGAGGATGGGGACTTCTGCTTCACTTCCACCTCCCCAGTCAACTCTAGCTGGTGATGTCTTGATGGGGGAAGGATGGTTAGCTAGTCTGCTTGGCCTGTTTGTTTTCTGGTTGGAGCTTTAGGAGTTTTAGGAGCTTTCTTATTCAAGGAGCTTCCTGGTTGGAGCTGGCAGCCTCCTACCCCTGCCTCCTACCCCTGTATGACCTTGGAGATGTTACCTAGCTTCTCTGTGCCTCAGGTTCCCCATCTGTAAAATGGGGATGATAATAGAAATCACCAAAGAAATAACACCTGCAGGCCCGGCATGGTGGCTCATGCCTGTAATCCCAACACTTTGCAAGGCCAAGGTGGGTGGATCATCTGAGATCAGGAGTTCGAGACCAGCCTGGCCAACTTGTTGAAATCCCATCTCTACTAAAAATACAAAAATTAGCTGTGCATGGTAGCAGATGCCTGTAATCCCAGCTGCTGGGGAGACTGAGGCAAGAGAATTGCTTGAACCGGGGAGGCAGAGGTTGCAGTGAGCCAGGATCGCGCCACTGTAGTCCAGCCTGGGCAATGAATGAGAATCTGTCTTAAAAAAAATAAATTAAATTAAATTACAAAAGAAAACCACTTGCTAACTGTTCAGTACATTAATGAGTACATAGTGAGGAACAGGTAACTGGGAACCATTGTTCTGATTATTACTCGACCAGTAGCCTCTGCCACGGCTGCTAGGCTGCACAGGAGGCTGGCTCCATAGACCTCTTAGAAGCTTCTGGCTGTCGTAGCTTTGGACCCTGCCACAGTAATCCCCTTTTTCCTGGAAGGGAACTGAGAAAAGAGCTCAAGGCCCCACTTTTACCTCCATAACCCCCAAAGCTGTCTGGCTTTCACCTAAGCTCCCTTCTTTCCCTTCCTCCAGTTCAAAGCTGGCAGGCTTCATGGAGCTAAAGGGAAGAGCCCCTGGGGTACACAAGCCAGTGTGTGTGTGTGTGTGTGTGTGTGTGTGTGTGTGTGTGTGTGTGTGTGTGTTCAGGGTGACCAGGAATTGGCCAGTGGGGAGATGCTGGCCCACCTGGAGCCCAGGCTGGTTTTGAACGCCTGTGCTCAAGTGATCCTCCCACCTTGGCTTCACAAAGTGCTCATATTACAGGCATGAACCACCACATCCAGCCTGCCTCTCTCCATCCCAAGCAACGCTGGACAACCCATGGAGGAATGGGGTGGGGAGGGGAGTGAGTCCCTTACCTCATCCCTCTTGACTATGGTCCATCTCAGCTACACTGATGATGAGAGAATTTCAGGGATCTGAATTTTCTCCATTAGGCTCAGTTCTCTGACCTGAGACTTTAGCACCTATTAACTGGCAAATGCCCCTGGGAAGGGTAATCAATCCATTCTTTATACTCACCTGTGATCTTGAAACCTGAGTGGGAGGTAGGGGGCAGGGCCAGAAGCTCTGTTACAGGAAATCCAGATCCCCCCGCCCGGGGGAGAGTCATCTTTGGGTTTCTCATGTGTTAAAAGCAGATGCTGTCCTCTCGGAAGCCCCCTGGTCCCAGGATAGTATTCCTGGATCATGAAAGAGGGACTACATTCGGGCATTCATGCCCCCGACATGGCATGTATCGGATTAACTCACTAGGTGCTCCTCAAGGGCAGAGTCTGGTCCTTGTTCTTGTAGCTACTGTGACAAATTGCCACAAACTTAGTGCCGAAAAATGACAGAAATTTATTCTCTCCTAGTTCTGGGGACAGAAGTCCAAAATCAAGGTGTTGGGAGGACCTCATTTCCTCTGGAGCCTTTAGAACTGACTCCTTCCTGCCTCTCCCAGCTTTGGTGGCTCCATGCATTTCTTGGCTTGTGGCCACATCACTCCAATCTCTGCCTCCATCTTCACATGGTCCTCTCCTCTGTGTGTGTGTATGTCTCATCAAATCTCCCTGTTTATGGGGATACATATGATAGCATCTAGGGCCCACTTAGATAATCCAAGACAATCTCCCCATATCAAGGTCTTTAATTTAACCACATCCACAGTGACCTTTTTGTTACATACACTAGCATTCACAGGATTCAGGGATTAGAAGCCATTATTAGCCACCCCACAGCCCTCAAGTACCTAGCCTGGGACCCAGCTCACACGAGGTATTCCAGAAGATGTTTGTAGGCTAGCCGAATGAATTGTAGTTTGGACTCTAAACTCTAAACCCAGTAGCCTCCATGTGGATTCTAGGCCACCAAGAAAGGGTTTGTTTTGGAGTTAGTTGTGTACTTGTTCCTGTACTGGGGAAAGAAGATGTTACGATCAGTTGTGGACTGCAGGGGTAGAGACAGATAAGTCCAAGGTCAAGAGTACTGGGCTAGCTGGGTCCCTTAGTGCAAGTCCATTGCCCTCTCTGGACCTCAGTTTCTCTAAAATCAGATTCATAATCCCTGCCCTGCCTGCCTCCAGATACTAGAGCAATGACAGCGTGAAGGAGGGATGTCTAATATTGCACACATGCCAAGCATTATTAGAAATATTACTATAGAGCTTAAAAGGAGGAAGGGGCCAGGTGCAGTGGCTCATGCCTGTAATCCTAGCACTTTGGGAGACCAAGGTGGGTGGATCACTTGAACCCAGGAGTTTGAGACCAGCCTGGGCAACACGGTGATACCCCATCTCTACCAAAAAAGATATAAAAATTAGCTGGGCATGGTGGTGTGCACCTGTAGTCCCAGCTACTCGGGAGACTGAGGTGGGAGGATCTCTCGAGCCCAGGAGGTAGAGGTTACAGTGAACCTAGATCATGTCTCTGCACTCCAGTTTGGTGACAGAGTGAGACCCTGTCTCAAAAAAAAAAAAAAAAAAAAAAAAAAAAACCAGAGGAAAGAGGGTAACGTTCAACTCAGAGAATCCCATCTCTAATAGTGGAATTTAGGTTTGTAGGAGAACTGCAGGAGCCTTTCAAGCCCTGTGGACTCCTCTAGCTGTCAGTATAGTGGCCCTAGCACTTCAGGCATGGCCCTTCAGAGCTCTCCTGCCGCCCTGAGTAGAGGGGCTAGAGTCGGGGGCTTCCTTGGATACACAGCCACAGCTCTGACCTGTTGCTGGCCTTCCCTCTGCTTCCCTACAACATGTGAGGCGAAGCACAGAAAGCCATGCCACTCCGTCTTGGCACAGAGATGAGGAGGGGCTGCCCACGGACTCCTGGGCCAGGGGTCCTTCCTCAGGGGCTGAGCACACCTGAGGCGCCGTGGCCCTGGAGAAGAAGAAATGCAGCGGTAAAGTCAGATAGTTTGGCAAGTGACACGAGATTGGCTCTTTGGCACCTCCTGGAATTCCTGGGTTTTTCTTTTTCTTTCTCTTTCTTTCTTTCTTTCTTTCTTTCTTTCTTTCTTTCTTTCTTTCTTTCTTTCTTTCTTTCTTTCTTTCTTTCTTTCTTTCTTTCTCTCTCTTTTTTTTTTTTTTTTGAGATGGGGTCTCCCTCTGTCACCCAGACTGGAGTGCAGTGGTGTGATCACAGCTCAGCGCAGCCTCAAGCTCCTAGCCTCAGGTGATCCTGTCACCTCACCCTCCCGAGTAGCTGCGACTACAGGCATGCATCACCATGTCCGGCAATTTTTTTTTCATTTTTTTTTTTTTTTTTGTAGAAACAGGGTTTCCCCATGTTGCCCAGGCTGGTCTCCTGAGCTCAAGCAATCCTCCACCTCAACCTCCAAAAATCCTGGGATCACAGGCATGAGCTACCGCGCCCAGCCCCAGAATTCTTGTTTTCTTTATTGTTCCCACCTTGCTCTCTCCTACGGAGAACCAGATGGCCTGAGAAGTCCAGGCTGGCCTACCCACCCTTGGGTTGAGCTCTGGCTTCTGGCCCTCCCAGGACCTGTTCCTGTTTGCCCTTAGAGGTCCTCATCCTCCAGCCTGCTCCTGGGACCTCTCTGTGAGTTTCAATACCTGTGTCCTTTCTGCAAACCAGGGAAGAACAGAGCACAGCGGTGCTGGTGCACAGTTGTGCTGTGTGAACTTCACAGACATCAGGCAGTGTTTCGCCTGCTAGCCCCCTCTCACTGGGGACAGAATGGAGCATGCCTGCAGCAGCATGAGTGATGCTAAAAGCACTGGGCAGAGACAGGTCACTCAGTCCTTAAGAGCCAAATGGATAGCAGACACTGTCAGGCTTCCCTTTCCACCTGTTTCCAGCAGTTTTCCCATGGAGGGAGCATTGTCTCAGGAATGGCTTGGCTTTACTGGTGCCAGGGGCTATTCCCCAGTTGCCTTTGGGTCCTGCAGGTTTCCTTTGTGTGCAATCATCAGAAGCAAGTGGGGTTGATGTGAGGAGGGAGCACTGACTTCAGGGTTTCCAAAGTGCCAAGCCCCCAGAGCTCATTTGGTTCAAGGTCCCAGAAGCAGCCAGGGAGAAGAGATGGGAACCCCCGAGGGCAGGCAGGCTGGAAAAGATGCTGAAGAGTGAGCAGGCAGGGATATGTTAGGATAGAAAAGGCTCCTGTGGAGTGGCTGGGGCCAAGGCTTCTAGTCTCCACTCTACCACTGGCCAGCCTGCGACCTTGGGTAAGTCACTTCCCCTCTGCTGGCCCTCACTTTCCCCATCTGAGCACGAAGGGTTAGGACATGACTTATTTGTTCATTCACTTTTGGGCCAAATAGGCACTAAGCGCCTGCTGTATTTCAGGTCTATTTCAGGCACTGGGGATGCAGAAAGAAACTGGACCACGCCCCGGGCCCCTAAGAGCAGGATGGAAGGGCAGAGGATAGAGGGGAGCAGAGGAAAGCAAGCCTGGCCTTGTGGGGACAGGAGACAAGGTTGCAGGAGCGGCACTAAGACTGGAGCTGGACTCTGAAGGCAGAGTAAGAGTGTAGAATGGCCAAGGACAAAAGGAAACGAATGCTGGCTTTTTTATTTTTTTTATTTTTTTTTTTTAGTGGTAAAATACACATAACAAGAAATTTAGCATTTCAAAGTGTAAAATTCAATGATATTTAGTACAGTTACAATGTTGTGCAATCATCACCTCTATCTAGTTCCAGAACTTTTCCATTATCCCAAAAAGAGACCCTGTACCCATGAAGCAGTCACTTCCCATTCTCACTATCCCAGTCCCTGGCACCCATTCATCTACTTTCCATCTCTATGGATTTCCCATTCTGTACATTTCGTAGAAATGGAATCAGACCATATTTGTCCTTTTGTGTGGCTTCTTTCACTTAGTGTAATGTTTCCAAGGCCTATCCATGTTGTAGCATGAGTTGGTACTTCATTCTTCTTCTTCTCTTTTTTTGAGACAGGGCCTCCCTCTGTTGCCTAAGCTGGAGTGCAGTGGCATGATCATAGCTCATTGCAGCCTCAAACTCTTGGGCTACAGTGATCCTCCCACCTCAGCCTCCGGAGTAGCTGGGACTACAGGCACATACCACGATGCCCAGCTAATTTTATTTATTTATTATTTTTAAAAATGTTTTTGTAAGGCCAGGCTCAGTGACTCACACCTATAATCCTAGCACTTTGGCAGGTCAAGGCGGGTGGATCACCTGAGGTCAGGAGTTCGAGTCCAGCCTGGCTAACATGGTGAAACGCCATCTCTACTAAAAATACAAAGAAAATTAGCCGGGCGTGGTGGCACGTGCCTGTAATCCCAGCTACTCAAGAGGCTGAGGCAGGAGAAGTGCTTGAACCTGGGAGGCAGAGGTTGCGGTGAGCCGAGATCGTGCCACTGTACTCCAGCCTGGGCAACAACAGCAAAACTCCATCTCAAAAAAATAAAAATGTTTTTGTAGAGATGGGGTCTTACTAGGTTGCTCAGGGTGATCTCAAGCTCCTGGACTCGAGTGATCCTCCTGTCTTGGCCTCCCAAAGCTCTGGGTTTCAAGCAGCCACTGCACCTGGGCTTCATTCCTCTTATGGCTGAATAATGTTCCACTGTATGGCTAGACTACCTTTTGCTTATTCATTCACCTGTTGATAGACATTTCCATTGTTTCCACCTTTTGGTTATTGTGAATAATGCTGAATGAAATTTGTGTGCAGTTCCTGTTTTGATATACAACTCCTGAGTCCCTGTTTTCAGTTCTTTTGGGTATATACTCTGGAATGGAATTGCTGGGTCATATGGTAATTCTATGTTCAACCTTTTGAGGAATCGAACTGTTTTCCATAGCAGCTGCGCCATTTTACATTCCCACCGGCAGTGTCTGAGGGTTCCTATGTTCCCGTATCCTCCCCATCATTTGGTATTTGGATGTCAACTCGTGAAGGATAGGTTAAGGAGGATGAGTCTGAATGAGACCAGGAGAAGCAGCAGCCAGGGAGAGAGAAGGAAAATCTGGAAGCCAAGGAGACAGCAAGTGGTGAGCAGTATGAGCTGCTAGCAGGATGACTGGTCAGAGGGCTAGGTCTAGGGCAGGGGGCAGGGGCAGGGCCTGGCCAGGCACTTGAGGCTTGGGGGAAGATGAGGGCATGGCAAGGTGTGGACATGTAGCCAGCTGGGAGTGGGTAGAGTTGGTGTGTAGCAGTAGCTGGGGTGGTGAGGTGGGGAGGGCACATGTGTGGGAACCTGGGGTTCAAGATGGGGCTTTTGGCAGGGCTGGAGGACTTGCTGGCAGGAGAAGGGCAATACCCTCCTCTCTGGCTGGGGCTGGAGCATATGCCAAAGGCCAGAGGTCCAGCTGAGCTGACAGCTTTTTGAAAGAGAGACTGCCCCCAGGAAACCTGGTAAAAGCAGCACTGGGAGAGGCAGACCCAGGGCTTGGGGAAACTCAGGAATGCTGGAGAGGTGCCAGCACCCTCCTCACTGTGGAAATGAGGGGTTGGTTCATAGCAGCGCCCTGTGCGCAGGGCCTCTGAAAACCCCAGGGCTCAGCTCAGTGCCTGGCTAATTGTGAGGACTCAATAAATGCATTTGGATGAAGGAATGAAAGCCTGTGAGGAACATGTGAGGTCATACATGAGATCCTGTGAGCTCAGGGACAGGTGGTGGTGGCAGCTGCTGAGGCCATGGACAGCCAGGGCAGCCCAAGAGACGAGAGGCTGGCAGGCCAAAGGGCTTAAGGGTCACTCCCGGCTATGTCCTTCTGCCCCTTTTCCTTGGCCCATTCCTCAATATTTGAGGCAAAGGGCTCGGAAAGACCCACAGTGAGGGTAAAGTTTCGAAGCAGCCCTTTGACAGTGGCCAAGCACTGAGGCCTGAGCCCAGCTGGCAGGGCCTATGCCTGACTCCACTCTGTGGCCCCAAGGCCAGTGGGGCTTGGTGCAGTTGGGTGCCCAGTGGCCCAGTGAGTAGTGGAAGGTCTGATTGGCATGGTAGGCAACCCATGGCACTGGGGTCTCTGAATGCCTTGCCAATCTCCCCAGCCTGGCTGATGGTTTGCTGAAAACAGGA
The DNA here is from genome assembly GCF_000001405.40 of Homo sapiens. Taxonomy (NCBI): domain Eukaryota; kingdom Metazoa; phylum Chordata; class Mammalia; order Primates; family Hominidae; genus Homo; species Homo sapiens. The sequence goes on from NC_000023.11 coordinate 150,953,113, forward strand.
GAGGCTGGACTTCCAGAACTGAAAGGTAAGAGGGAGAATGCAAGGTGGGGTGGAAAGGCTGGGTGCTACGGCTCATGCCTGTATTCCCAGTGCTTTGGGAAGCTGAGATGGGAGGATCACTTGAGGCTAAGAGTTGGAGACCAGCCTGGGCAACATAGTGAGACCTCATCTCTCAGAAAAAAAAAAAAAATTAGCCAGGTGCGGTGGTGTGTGCCTGTAGTCCCAGCTACTTGGGAGGCTGAGCCAGGAGGATCACTGGAGCCTAGGAGTTCAAGGCTGCAGTGAACTGTGATCGCACCACTGCACTCCAGCCTGGGTGACACAGTGAGACCCTGTCTCTAAACAAATAAATAAACGAAAAAGTGAAGCTAGTCTCAGAAAACACAAAAACAGACAAGATGGGGCGGTAGGGGTAGGGGTAAAGTGGGGGCTGATAGTGTCAGGGCCATCCCCCTGTACTGCTTCTTTTTCAAAAAGCATATCACCCTTTCCAAAGCCCTTCCCATGTCCTCTCCTCATTCACAGGAGCCCCCAGGGCCCCAGCTTCCCGCTCCCCATGCACTGAGCCATCCCCCACTACCTGCTGTGGCTGGGGCACCAGAGGCTCTTCCGCTTCACCCAGCTGCCTCCCTGCAGGGTCCCTCTTGGAGGAGCCACCTTCAGTCATTCGTTCTCCAAGCCTATTGCCCATTCCCTCCCCTGCGTCCTCTTCCCCTCCCTTTCAGTTTCCCTTCCCCCTCCATACCACTTTCACCTCTGTCCCCCCTCCTTCTCTGTTTTCTTGCACCACCTCCCCACCTCCCTTCCCTCCTTTCTCTCCAACCTCCAACTCCCCTCTCTATTTCCCTTCCTCCCCAGCCAGTCTCCTCTCTTGGAGGGGGCCCTGTCGCCTTGCGGAGCTGCATAGCATAGGGGTTGCTGCCCCTGGCTTTAGCTTCTCCACTATCCTTCCCCATTCTTCACTGCCAGCCCAGAAAATATGCTATCTCCCTTGCCAGATGGAGGAGGAGGCCAGGATCAAGTCCCCTTCCCCTCCTGCTCTCCTGCCCTCCTGCCTGGGGGGTGGGGAGAGGCATTGGGTCCCAAATGCGGGGCCAGTGGGCATGAGGAGGAAGCCCTTGTCCTTGCCCCAGGAAGCCTACTGCCAGTGTGAGTGACAGAGACAAGCAGGGATAGAATCTGCCGGGGTGTTGGGGCGGATCTGTCTAGGCCTCCCCATCCACCACTCCACGTTCCCTTCCTATACACACCCAATGGCCCCCAGTGCTGCTCAGAATGCCCAAAAAGGAAGGAATGAGGGATGGCAGGGCTGCATGTCACATGGATGCATTCTAGGCACTGCGTGGCTTCTTTCTGCTGGACAAGCTGTGATAAAGGTCGTGCTGGTGGGAAATATTATGGGGTGACTGTCAAGGGCGCCCCTCCACCATTTCAAAGCAAGTCCTCAAGCTGTGGAGGGGCGCACATGTGTCCCTTAGGAGAACTAGGGTGGGGAATGTGAAGAGAAAACAGCATTGATATCAGGCAGTCTGGCCTCGGCCAACATTTATTTATTTATTTATTTATTTATTTTTCTACAGATGGAGTCTCCCTATGTTGCCCAGGCTGGTCTCAAACTCCTGGGCTCAAGGAATCCTCCCACCTCAGCCTCCCAAAGTGTGGGATTACAGGTGTGAGCCACCACACAGGACCTCAGCCACCACTTAAGTGGGTGACCTTGGTCAAGTAACTGACGCCCTTTGGGTCTCATTTTTGACCTCCGTCAAATATTTTGGCCTTTGTGGCCCCAGAGGTGCCTTTTAGCACCGGCATTCAGTGATTACGAGTGACTTTCCTATCTTCCTCAGTCTTCCTGGTGCTGCTTGGCCAGCTGACAAGCAGCCATACTTTCTATTTCTTCAGAGCCTCAGCAACATGCTGGCATTCCCTGCGTACCCTAGAGTGGTTCTCCAAGTGAGCCTCTGGGCCACTAACATCAGTGTCACTGGGAGCTTATCTGTGACACAGATCCCTGGGCCTCCACTCCGGATTTGCTGACTCAGCAACTCTGGGGGTGGCACCCAGTAATCTGGGTTTTAGCAAGCCTCTGGGGTGATTCCAGTGCACAGGGACATCTGAGAACTGCTTTTACTGAACTGTATGTGTTACTGCAGGGAGCAGGGGAGCAGTTAAGCCTAAAGTTTGGGCAATAGACCCATTCCTGGGAGTTGACATTCAGTTAGAGGTTGCACGCATGCACAACACACACACACACACACACACACACACACACACACACACACACACGGTAGCACTTACTCTGTTTGCACAATAGTCCCTGACCCATCCACCCTTCTGTTGTCAGCCTTGAATTAGATTTGTTATTGTATTTTATTTGTTTTAATTATATGGAACACTTCGTGAACTTGTGCAGGGGCCATGCTAATCTTATCTATATAGTTCCAACTTTAGTATATGTGTTGCTGAAATGAGCACTCAAATTAGGTTTGATTACAGCAAAATTAAGGATTCCTTTCCATGAAGGACAGCACAGATAGAATTAACAGACAGACAACAGATGGGGAGAAGATATTTGCTGTTTAAAAGCAACAGGAGATTAATGGATAAAATATGCAAGAACATTCTGCAAAACAACAAGAAAAAGACCCAACAGGAAAATGAGCAAAGCATATGCATAGGCAATTCTTAGGAGAAGAAACTGAAAAGGCTGGCAAGTAAGTATGTGAAGAGATGCTGGGATCCCAGATTCATTAGTAATCGGAGAAATGGAAATGACAACAATGACATAGGATACACACATGTCAGATTGGCAAAAATCAGCTGTATGATGCCAAGTGTTGGCTAGAATAAGCAGAAGGAGGAACCATTGTGTGCCGCTGCTGGGAGTCCTGCTAGATGGATGCAGGCGCTTTGGAGAGCCACCTAGTAGCATTTAGCCAAATCTTGTCTGTGCCCACACTGTCCCAGTAAGCCCATTCTTGGGTATAACCTCAAGAAATTCTCCTGCAGGCCCACAAAGGGACTGAGTATCTTGTGGCTGCTGTAACAAAATATCACAAACTCAATGGCTCAAAACAACAGAAATGTATTCTCTGATACTTCTGGAGTCAAGAGGTCCAAAATCAGTATCCTTTGGCCGAACCCCAGATGTCAGCAGGGCTATGCTCTCTCAGGAGGTTCTGGGGGGTCTCCACTCCTTGCTTCTTCCAGCTTCTGGTGGCTGCCAGCCTTCCCTGGTCTGCGGCTGCATCGCTTTGATGTTCAAGGCCAGCATCTTCGAATCTCTCCGCTCCCTCTTCACTCTGCCTTCTCTGTGTGAGTGTCAAATCTACCTCTGCTTCTCTTTTATAAGGATATAAGAGTAGTGGGCTGAATAATGTCCCCCCAAATTCACATTCACTTAGAACCTCAGAAAGTGACCTTATTTGGAAATAGGGTCTTTGAAGATGTAATTTGTTAAGATGAGGTCATACTGGAGTAGGAGGGGCCCTTAATCCAATTTCTGCTGTCCTTATAAGAGGACAAAAGGACAGAGAGACAGGGAAGACCATGTGAAGACGAGGCAGAGGTTGGAGTGATGCTGCCACAAACCAAGGAACACCTGAGTCCACTAGAATCCGGAAGAGGCAAGGAGGGGATTCGGAGGCACTGTGGCCCTCCTGACACCTTGATTTCAGACTTCTGGCCTCCAGAACAGTGAGAGAGTAGATTTCTATTGTCTTAAGCCACCAAATTTGTGGTACAGTACTTTGTTACAGCAACCACAGAAAACCAATACAACATGTGACTTCCTTTCCAGCCCACCCTGATAACCCAGGATAATCTCCCCATCTCAAAATCCTCAACACGATCACATCCGCAAAGACCCTTTTTCCATATAAGGCAACATTCACAGACTCCAAGCATTAGGACCTGATACCTTTGGGGTCCATCTTGAGCCTGCTATAGGGACCCATGCAAGGATGTTTATTGTACAGAGCCTGTGCTAGGACAGAATTGGAGGCAATCCAGGTGTCCACCACTGGGGAAAAATAGAAGCAAATGAGTGGTTACAAGCAACTCAGGAACACACAGCAGCATGGACAGTTAACACACACAGGGCTCAGTGGAAAAGCACCCAGTAAGAGACTGAACACACTCTCCAGGCCACTACCACTTATGTTTACTGAAAACACACACACACACACACACACACACACACACACACACACCCCTCTACACAGTTTGACAGAGCACACACTTGAGTGGTTGCCACTGAGGGGAGGAGCATTAGAGTGGAAAACAGTAATTAAAAAGACTGGAGAGATGGATAGATTGATTCAGCCAGAGAAGAATCTCACAGACCAATGATGGTGAGATCATGAATTGAGAAGCAACATTACCTGAAAGCCAAACAAACAAACAAACAAACAAACAAATGGAAAGAAAAAGTCTGTGAGAGGTCCTTTCTGGGGAAAGCTGGCCACCTCTGCAAGTGCCTGGTGTGTTTTGCATAAAGACACATGGTCCCCCAGCCTGGGCAACACAGCAGGTAACAACTTGTCTCTACAAAAAAAAAAAAAAAAAATTAATTATCTGGGCATAGACCGGGCGTGGTGGCTCACACCTGTAATCCCAGCACTTTGGGAGGGTGACGCAGGTGGATCACCTGAGGTCAGGAGTTCGAGACCAGCCTGGTCAAGATCGCGAAACCTCATTTCTACTCAAAATTAGCTGGGCGTGGTGGAGCGCGACTATAGTCCCAGCTACTCCAGAGGCTGAGACAGGAGAATTGCTTGAACCTGGGAGGCGGAGGTTGCAGTGAGCAGAGATCGTGCCATTGCACTCCAGCCTAGGCGACAGAGCAAGACTCCGTCTCGGGGAAAAAAAAAAAAAAAATCCGGGCATGGCAATACATGCCTGAAGTCCCAGCTACCCAGGAGGCTGAGGTGGGAGGATCTCTTGAACCTGGGAGGTCGAGGCTACAGTGAGCCATGATGGTGCCACTGCACTCCAGTGTGGGCGACAGAGCCACGCCTGTCTCAAAAAATAAATAAACAAATATAAATAAATAAATAATAAATAAATTAAAAAGACACATTGTTCCTTCAGTTGGAGCAGCAGTGGGTGGCAGCTAGGGACCTTCATCCTTCCCTACTGTTTGGGGAGGGTGGAACCATGTGGCCTGCAGAATGGAGAGAGGACATCCTCCCTAGCAACACCAAGGAACAAAGGAAGCCACACTAATGCCATTTGCTGTTGCCTGCCAGTTGTGTTCCATCTGCTGCACTGAGTGTTCCCTCCCAGCAGCCTTGAGCAGCCAGCTGGCATTGTTGGCTCATCCACTGGTCTTAGTTAGGCTTCCCATTATTTGATTCATTCTTGGAACACACCCTGGCCTTCCTCTTTCCGGATGCAATACTTCTCTCAGTGCCACTTGGTCAAGTAGCAGGGATGAGGCCAGTGGCCCTGGAAATAGGCATCTAAACGGTCGCGAATTCGGAATCAGCTTGGTAAACGGTCAGTCATTTTTAACCCCTGGAGAGGGTTTGGATCTTGTTTGTTTAATGCCCCATTGGGTTCCTCATAGTTCCTTGTAAAGTTCCCTTTGAAAATGCCGTCCTACCATGTACGGTGGCTCACGTCTGTAATTCCAGCACTTTGGGAGGCCAAGGCGGGAGGATTATTTGAGGTCAGGAGTTCAAGACCAGCCTGGCCAACATAGTGAAACCCCATCTCCACTAAAAATACAAAAATTAGCCAGGCATGGTGGCACACGCCTGTAATCCCAGCTACCCGGAAGGCTGAGGCACGAGAATGGTTTGAACCCGGGAGGTGGAGGTTGCAGTGAGCCGAGATCACGCCACTGCACTCCAGCCTGGGCGACAGAGTGAGACTCCATCAAAAAAAGAAAGGAAGGAAGGAAGGAAGGAAGGAAGGAAGGAAGGAAGGAAGGAGAAAATGCCATCCTATCTTGACTATGCTTGGGAAGGAAAGAGAACCTGACTTTTAATGTCTTGTCTGTTAGTACCAAGGCCAGAGGGAAAAGGGGAGTAATATTTTATTATAACCTTTTCTTTATCCTCCACAAAGGCCTTTTAGCAGAACTGACCTTAAATGTTTTAAAATCTAACAACAACAAGAAAAATGTGATGTGGCATTCACCTGTGCTCTTATCTGGGCTCTTCTTGATCCACTTAGGGATTCATATTTCCGGGTTCACCGACAGCTGGTTAACTTTGCTATTCATTCCTGCCCACCTCCTCACACCCACTGTTGCAGTCATACCCACGAGACTCAATTTGCAAATACAGGTGAGGAATCAGGCAGTAATTTTTCATCTCCGAAGATGCCTTAACAGCCTGCTCCAGGTCTGTGCTCTTCATGAGCAAATACTTCATTTGAGCCTCGCCATATTTGACACAGCTGGCAGTCCCTGTTCAAAACTGGAACTAGTGCTAAAAACAAAATTCATATAGAGACAGCAACGTATTCTTAGTTGTTTGCTTGGGAGACAGGGATTTGGCCAAACCAGGCAAGGGAAGATGAGAGAGCAGGCAGGAGTAACTTGCCTTGTTTTCCTCCCCATAAGTGTTCCTTGCTGCCTGCTAAGGGAGGCCTTCAGCCAATCACTCAGCCCCTAGAGGCTCAAGTTATTCATCTGTACAATGAGGTTGAAACTAGACAAGTGTTTTCACACTCTGTTGGTGGAAGGTCCTGGGAGGTGCTTCAGGAGCCACCATTGAGGGGATTTAGCAGGTGGGGATCTGGACCTCCTTTTTCAATCATCACTCCTCTGTTTGCATCTGTTGTTTCTATAGGCAATGATTTCATTTGAAAAGTAATTGATTTCGGTGCTAAGAAAATCATTAGAGACTGAGCATGGTGGTTCATGCCTGTAATCCCAACACTTTGGGAGGCCGAGGAGGATTGCTTGAGCCCAGGAGTTTGAGACCAGCCTGGGTAGCATACTGGGACCCTGTCTTTACTAAAAACAAAACAAAATTAGCTGGGCACGGTGGTGCCCAACTGTGGTCCCAGCTACTTGGGAGGCTGAGGTGGGAGGATTGCTTCAGCCTGGGAGGTCGAGGCTGCAGTGAGCCATGATTGCATCACTGTACTTCAGCCTGGGCAACAGAGGGAGAGCCTGTCTCAAAAACAAACAAACAAACAAACAAAGGAAAAAGCCCATACCTTGGACTAGATGAACTCTAAGGACTCTGTGTTAGTTTCCTGGGCTGCCATAACAAAGTACTACAAACTAGGGGGCTTTGAACAACAGGAATATTTAGCCTTTCACGGTTCTGGAGGCCGGAAGTCTAAAATCAGTATCTCTGGGTTGAAACCAAGGTGCTGGCAGGGCCCTGTTTCCTCTGGAAGCTCAAAGGGAGAATCCATTCCTTGTCTCTTCCAGCTTCTGGCAACTTCCTGCATTTCTTGGCTTAAGGATGCATCACTCTGATCTTTAAGACCAGCATCTTCAAATCTGTCTCTGCTCCAGCTTCACATCACCTTCTCATCTGTGCATCAAATCTTTCTCTGCCTCCCTCATAAGGATATACGTGGTTGCATGTAGGACCTACCCAGATAATCCAGAATAGTGTCCCCATCTCAAAATCCTAAACATGATCACATGTACATAAACCTCATTTTATTTATTTATTTATTTTTGCCATTTAAATTAACATTATTGTGGGTAATAAGAGAGAGAGGAAACAAAACAAGTAAGTTAACACTTACAGGTTTTGGTGATTAGAATGTGGATCTCTACTGGGGGACCAGTTTGTAGCCTACCACAGGCCCTTTCAAAAATCAGGTTCTAAGATCCCCTTTCCCCCAAATAATTCCTATCTCAGTAGCTTTCTATACATTCTTATGTCTTAAAGAACCTAAAAGAAGACCGGGTACGGTAGCTCACGCTTATAATCCCAGCACTTTGGGAGGTCAAGGTGGGTGGATCATGAGGTCAGGAGTTCAAGACCAGCCTGGCCAACATGGTGAAACCCCTGTCTCCACTAAAAACAAAAAAATTAGCTGGGCGTGGTGGCAGGTGCTGGTAATCCCAGGTACTCGGGAGGCTGAGGCAGAGAATTGCTCAAACCTGGGAGGCGGAGGTCGCAGTGAGCCGAGATCACACCACTGCACTCCAGCCTGGACAACAGAGTGAGACTCTGTCTAAAAACAAACAAACAAACAAAAAAACCAAAAAACAAACAAACAAACAAAAAACTAAAAAACAAAACCGAAAAGTACAGCATTACTTTTTATTTAACTCAGGAATAGGGAACCCAAACTTGACTCCTTCATCATGAAAGACTGTAGATTTGAGAGCTGTGCCTGAGCTGAGATGTTTTTATTTCTGCTAAAGTGTAGTGGAGGCTGGGCACAGCAGTTCATCCCTGTAATCCCAGCACTTTGGGTGACTGAGGCGAACAGATCACTTGAGGCCAGAAGTTTGAGACCAGCCTGGCCAACATGGCAAAAACCTGTCTCTACTAAAAATACAAAAGTTAGCCGGGCATGGTGGTACGCACCTGTAATCCCAGCTACTTGGGAAGCTGAGGCACGAGAATTGCTTGAACCTAGGTGGAGGTTGCAGTGAGCGGAGATCGCACCACCACACTCCACTCTGGGCAACAGAGCGAGACCCTGTCTCAACAACAACAACAACAACAAGTCTAGTGAAAATCATGAGTTGGTTTTCGTTTCGCTTTGGTTGGCTTTGCTGCCAGAAGATAGCGTGCACCATGCATAACCACAGGGCAATATAAAGAGAAACACCAAATGCTGGCCCCAGGGCACAAGTTAGGACCACAGGTTTTGGTACCTGCTTCCCAGCTTAAGCTCTTTCCTTTTCCCTGTGACCTGGCAACATCCTGTCCACCCCCTGATAGTGGGGATGACATATGTGAGGACTCCCAGATCCTCAGAATTACCTCACAGGTACCTGTACCTTCTAGGATCTATTTGAAAAATGTTTTGTTGCATAGGTTTTTTTCTCCCTTTATACTGTATTTTTTCTGGTCATAAAAGTAATTCCTGATTCGTATCAAATAGTATAAAGAAGTAGAATTTTTTAAGATACTCTACCTCCAAAAAAAAAAAAAAAAAGAAAAGAAAGAAAAAAGAAATAGAATAAAAGATCACCTGTTGGGCCAGGCGCAGTGGCTCATGCCTGTAATCCCAGCACTTTGCAAGGCCGAGGCGGGTGGATCACGAGGTCAGGAGTTTGAGACCAGCCTGGCCAACATAGTGAAACCCCGTCTCTACTAAAAATACAAAAAATTGGCTGGGCGTGGTGGCAGGTGCCTCTAGTCCCACCTACTCAGGAGGCTAAGGCAGAAGAATCGCTTGAACCTGGGAGGTGGAGGTTGCAGTGAGCCGAGATCGAGCACTCCAGCCTGGGCAACAGAGCGAGACTCCGTCTAAAAAAAAAAGATTGCCCGTTATTTCACCTTTCTAGGACAATCACATTTATTGAATGCTTCCATATGTGCCTGGACCTTGATACAGTGCACTCCATACTTTTTCCCTACAATTGTCACAATAATCCTATGAAGTGGGTATTATCAGACCCATTTTATCAGTGAGGAAACTGAGATACAGAGAGGGTCAGCAACCAGCCCAAGGGTGCTCAGCTAGGAACAGACAGAGTTGAGGCATAAACCCAGGTCTCTCTGACTCCAAAGCCTGTGTGTTTTTATTTATTTTTTATTTATTTTTGTTTTTTTGACAGGGTCTCTGCCCTGTTGCCCAGGCTGGAGTGCAATGGCGTAATCATGCCTCACTGCAGCTTTGACCTGTTGGGCTCAAATAATCCTCCCACCTCAGCCTCCTGAGTAGCTGGAACTACAGCTACAGCATGCACCACCACACCCAGCTAATTTTTTCATCTTTGGCAGAGGCAGGATCTCACTACGTTGCCCAGGCTGGGAGCCTGTGCTTTTGACCTCTGCACCCACCACATGCCCGCAGTACAATTTTGTATTCAAAGCTCTCAAGACAACATGACAGCAAGACTATATGCCCACCAGGACATACCCCCACCAGGATGTATCCTCACCTGGACTCAGTTATATTCCAGCCTGCTCAAAGTCTCATTCTGCAAGGCTGTTGTACCATTCTGAGTTTCTGGAGGTGAAGTGCAGCTGGTGGGGTACTCATATGGATACAAATTGATCAAGAGGTTTGGGAAGCCAGGTGCTGTGGTTCACACCCATAATCCCAGAACTTTGGGAGGTTGAGGTGGGAGGATCGCTTGAGCCTAGGAGTTGGAGACCAGCCTGGACAACAAAGTGAGACCCCATCTCTCCAAAACAAAACAAAAATAGAGGCTTGGGTAAAACAAGATCCGTCAGCAGGGCCTGAGAAGTCTGTCCCCACCCTCGCCATTTGGAGGGAGGGGCAGAGTGGTATATTCCAAAGGCCAGTTCATACACTCAGATCAACCGGAATGGCACCAACTCTATGGAGTGGCTTTGCTGGGGTAGGGGACAGGTGAGATGGTGGGAGATCACTTACACTTCTCTCAGGCTTAAGTGAACTATCTCGCCATCTACATCCACTTTCTTTATTTCCTTTCCTAGAGAATGATGTGCCTCCTTTTCCCCTGATGCTGTATAAACATAGCTCACAACCAACACAGCTCACAACTAACACACCAGCATGCTTGCCAATCAAACGCTGTGTTGCTGTGCTGGCTCATTTCAATCTAAGGCAGGCATTGGCATCCAGGAGTTTGGAGTTTGCTCCAAAGTTTTCTAGTTTTCATTTTGGTGAAAGAGGCGGGCAGTGTGGTGCAGTGGACAGAGCCCTGGGCCATGAGGCAGGAGCCCCGGGTTCTAGGCCCAGCTCTGCCACTAACATTCATGTGACCTTGAGCCAGCTCCTGGCCCTCCCTGGGACTCAGTTCCCCATCTAGAAAAGGAAAAGTTTACATTAGATGCTAATGGTCCTTCCACTTGGAAAGTTGTATGATTCATAGAGTCTCAACACTCTGGCAAGTTAAGAGCTGATTTGAAAACCAACCATAAATATTTAAATTAAGTAGCAACATATGCTGAGCTTATCACATAATCAGGTGTCACATTAGTGGAGCAAGATCTAAAGGAGAGAGGGCAATGCCTGATTTGGTACTCACTTCCCTCCAGATCCCCCAATCAAGTGTTCCAGAAGCCGGATTTCTGTCGAATCCTTAGCTTATCATCATCATTAGCATCACCCAGTTCCTTTTTTTTTTTTTTTGAGATGGAGTCTCGCTCTGTCACCAGGCCAGAGTGCAGTGGTGCAATCTCGGCTCCCTACAACCTCCACCTCCCGGGTTCAAGCAATTCTGGTGCCTCAGCCTCCTGAGTAGCTGGGACTACAGGCGCGTGCCACCACGCCTAGCTAATTTTTGTATTTTTAATAGAGATGGGGCTTCACCAAGTTGGCCAGGATGGTTTCGATCTCCTGACCTCGTGATCTGCCCACCTCGCCCTCCCAAAGTGCTGGAATTACAGGCGTGAACCACCGCGCCCGGGCCAGCATCACCCAATTCTTAGGATTAAAGGCAGAAAGCTGGAGGGAGACACTTCCCAGAGGCCACCGCAGCAGTGGCAGCAGCAACAGCAAGGCCACTGTGGATCTTTCTTTCTCTCTCTTCACCCTTTTTTTCCCTCAGAGCTTTCAGGTTGCTGCACTTATTACCAAATGATGCTGCCCTTCATCCCTGAACACCGGCAAGCTAATTTAATTCTGTTCCAATTTTACTGGGAGCTCCTAGTAAGGAACAAACCCTGCAGGGCAATGGGTGGTCTAGAGAGCTCTGGGAGGTGGTTCCCACCCTGGGGGTGCACCAGGTGTGGTGGAAGAGCCCGGCAGGTACCAAACCACCTGGAACGCCCAGCCCACCCTCAGCTCTGGGCTCTTGCAGAGCTGCCAATCAAGCGCTGTGTTGCTGAGCTGGCTCATTTCAATCTAAGGCAGGCATTGGCATCAAGGAGGCCTCAGGAGGAAGGTGCTGATTGAGATTGAAGAGTAAGCAGAATCTCCATAGAGATAAAGGAGAAAGGGCATTCTGGTCCTCAGGAATAGTGTGAGCAAAGTGCTTGGAGACAGAGAAGTGCTGAGAGGGATCATGAAATGTGTGTGCAGTTGGTGGGTGGGGGAGGTTGGTGGCAGGAACCTGGCTGGAACTGAATCTTGGAGGTTTTTTTTTTTTTTTTTTTTCTGAGACAATGTCTCACTCTACTCTGTTGCCCTGGCTGGAGTGCAGTGGTGCAATTATAGCTCACTGCAGCCTTAATCTTCCAGGCTCAAGTGATCCTCCTGCCTCAGCCTCCAAGGAGCCAGGACTATAAGCACGTACCACCGCACTTAGCTAATTATTTTATTTTTTGTGGAGATGGGGTTTTGCCATGTTGCCCAGGCTGGCCTTGAACTCCTGGGCTCAAGCAATCATCTCACCTTAGCCTCCTAATGCTGGGATTACAGGCATGAGCCACTGTGCCCTGCCTTGAAGGGTCTTTCTGTGGCTTTCTCTCAAGGTAATGAAGAGTCATGAAGGGTTTTATTTTATTTTTTGAGATGGAGTTTCACTCTTGTTGCCCATGCTGGAGTGCAATGGTGTGATCTCAGCTCACTGCAACCTCTGCCTCCTGGGTTCAAGTGATTCTCTTGCCTCAGCCTCCCAAGTAGCTGAGACTACAAGCGCCGGCCACCACACCTGGCTAATTTTTGTATTTTTAGTAGAGACAGGGTTTCACCATGTTGGCCAGGCTGGTCTCGAACTCCTGACCTCAGGTGATCCACCCGCCTCAGCCTCCCAAAGTGCTGGGATTACAGGCGTGAGTCACTGTGCCGGGCCAGAATTTTAAACAAGACAGAAAAATGTGTATTTATAAAAATTCAGCCAGGTGTGAAGGCTCATCTCTGTAATCTCAGCGCTTTGGGAGGCCAAGGTGGGTGGATTGCTTGAAGCCAGGCGATTTGAGGCCAAACTGAGCAGCAAAGGGATACCCTGTTACTACAAAAAAATTAAAAATAATAAAAATGTTTAAAAAGTAAAAAGTTCCCTCCAGATGATAGGAGACGGCTGAGCAGGGAGACGAGTTAAGGGAGAGACAGATAGACGATCTCTGCTTGGTAGTGAGAGGTGGGGAGGAGCAGCTGGATTCGGACATGTTTAGGATTTGCTGGTAGCCTGGATACGGGAAGTGAGGGCGAGGGAAGAGCCAGGCGGGACGCTGGGGGGATGGTGGTGCCATTCTCTAAGCACGGATATGGGGGCCGGGGCCGAGGTTGGGGAATTTAGTTTGGGACACACTGAGGTGAGGTAGTGGCAGGTCACGTAATTGATGACTTCAGCAATTGCCCTCAGGCCCTTTCACCTTTGCTGCCCTTTTCTCTGGCTGTCTGCAGGCAGAAGAGTCCTGAATGGTCACTGACACCGGACTGTACAGAACGGGAAACAGATGCCCTCTGTGCATCTAACCCTCTCCTTGTTTGTTTGCTCACTGAAAACAACCAGGCAGTAAAGCCTGTTACAAAGACTGAGAGGGGAGGATCACTGGAACTCAGGAGCTCGAGGCTGCTGTGAGCTATGATTGCACCACTGCACTCCTGCCTGAGCAAAAGAGTGAGATCCTGTCTCAAAAGAATAAAAATAAAAAGACAGAGAGGCAGAGTTCCAGTTTTCTCACAGATGGCCTGGTATACTTGGACAAAACAGTTGCCTCCTCTGGGTTGCAGTTTTTCCAAAATATGCCAAAACATCCCACGTGATCATTAGGGGGTGCAAGTCAGACAGCAGATACGCAAGCACCAGGCAAACTGTTAAGGAACAAAATGCAAGGTGGCATCATTACCATTCACATCATGTTCTCCGCTTTGAATTGGGCCATTTGCTGTTTCTGTTTACAGTTCCTTACTCTTATCATTTTATCTGATTGTACTTTTCTCTGATAACCAGTGAATCATGCAGACCAGGTAAAAACATAACCAAAAGTAAATGGAAAGTTGAGATGATAGTCTAGACAAATCATGTTTAAAAGAAAGGTTTTTACTTGAAACATCTTGAGGCAGGCTGATCTGAGAGGCACAGTGAATCTGACACCAAGCTGTCCAGAATCACTAGAAAAGATGATTACCAAACAAAGGGGATCTGTTTATGAATACAAACATACCTTTTCAAATTAGCTAGGTGTGGTGGCACGCCCCTGTAGTCCCAGATACTGAGGTAGGAAGATCACTTGGGCCCAGGAGTTTGAGATTGCGGTGAGCTGCGATCACGCTACTACACTTTCAGCCTGGGTGAGAGAGTGAGACCTCATCTCAAAAAATCCAAAAACCCCGAAACAAAAACAAACCATACCTTTTCCAGTTCACTACAAGACCTTAGAATCGCAGCGTCTTCATCCATTCATTCAGCAACTATTCACTGGGCATATACAATGGACTTTCTTCAAGGCATCTGGGAAACATTAGGAGGAAAACCAAACCAAAACAAAACAAAATTTCTGCCCTCTTTTAAGGAGCTTATGCTCCAGTGGCTATTAGTACAAGAAAGAGCCCTGGAGATGATCCAGTATCTAGTAAGACTCGCTGACTGTACAGAACGGGAAACTGAGGACCAGTGAAGCTCAGGAATTTGCCAAAGCCTCTTGAAGCTGTAGAAGAGCAGAGAGCAGAGCCACATCCTATAGCTCCTGGGTTACTAGTCCCTCTACTGTACCTTTCTTGGTTTGGTTTTGGCAACACAGCTGTTTGCCCGATACTTCATGGAGCAATATCACCTGTCCAGCCAGAAGGCAAGGATGCGGGTGACACTCACCTGTCCACTTCCCAAATGCAGGTCCGTTCTGCTGGAGACAAAACTCTCCCACACAGCAAACACTCACTCAGCTTGTACTTTGTGCCAGGCCTTGGGCGGGGCACTGTGGAGGTGGAGCCATTGAGAGGTGAACGGAACTCAGTCCTTGCTCTGGAGGAGCTGCTGCCGGACCCTGGCAGCGCGATGGCCCAAGTGCCCCTCACCGCTTCTGGCACAGACCAAGATACACAGGACCGGCACCCCACCAGGTGTTGCAGCATAAATATTTGTTGAAGTAGGGCTAGCGTGGGTGTGGGTGTGTGTGTTCAGATGCACCCAGCCATGATGCCTTGATTCTACAGCTCAGGTCACAGACAGATGCAATTCCCAGCAAAGGCAACTCTCTTGGTTGTAGAAAAACACAGTTCAAAGCCTGTGCTACCGAGGTTTGGATTTTCCTTCAGTGACTGCTCTTCTGCACTGTCTGAAGAATTAAGAGTGAAATCAAAGGTGACTCTGTTAGAACAGTGAACCCTTCTTGGGCACTTATTTTTGTGCCAAGCATTGCTCTAAATACTTCATGTGTATTAATTTGTTTAATCCCCAGCATTTATAAGGTAGGTACTATTACAAGGCTCATTGTGAAAATGGAGAAACTAGCCAGGCGCGGTGGCTCATGCCTGTAATCCCAGCACTTTGGGAGGCTGAGATGGGTGGATCACTTGAGGTCAGGAGTTCGAGACCAGCCTGGCCAACATGGTGAAACCCTGTCTCTACTAAAAATACAAAAATTAGCCGGGCGTGGTGGCACACACCTGTAGTACCAGCTACTCGGGAGGCTGAGGCAGGAGAATAGCTGGAACCCGGGAGGTGGAGGTTGCAGTGAGCCAAGATCATGCCACTGCACTCCAGCCTGGTCGACAGAGCGAGACTCCATCTCAAAATAATAATAGTAATAATAATAATAAGAAGAAGAAGAAGAAGAAGAAGATACTGGGGTGGAGATAGGTGAAGTCACTTGCCAAAGTCACATAGCTGGTAAGTGACAGGATGCGGAGCCAGCTCCTGCTTTTCCTCGCCACGCCCGCCTGACCTACAGGCAGTGCTCTTCGGACTTCAGTGCTCTCTTTGCAAGTCAAAGCCCTGGCCAGCACTGCATATCGGTCACAGGATTCTAGTGCTTAGAAATAAAGAGGAGGGTGTTCCCGGAACCCACCTCCCTCCAGGTCCCCAGCTGGGCCCTGTGGCAGCCAAAGGGGAGTGCCCTTGGGCCTCCCTCTAGGAAGGAGGTGGATATGCAGCGAATCCACTGCTTGACTGAATTAAGTCCTCTCTTTTCCTCATTCCCCCTCCCCTCAGCCAGGTCCTCTTCCTTGCTTGGCTGAAACAGCCCACAGAGTGCTTGCTTCCTTCTGAGAGGGTGTGCCCTCCACACCTAGCACCCAAGAACACAGGCTTTCCTTTACTTGCTCAGGTCTTCATTCAGCAGATGTTTCCTGGTGTCTCCTGGGCCCCAGGCCCTGTGCTAGTTGCAAGGAAGCCCACGTGAGACAGTCAAGTAATCACCCAGACAGTGGCTGTGGCTGTGAGAAGCACCACAAAGGACCAGACGGAGAAAGGAAAATGCGGACCAGAAGTCGGGGAGTCTCCCAGGGAAGGTGTTGGGGACTGGGCTGAGGTCTGGAGGGTGGGTGGTACTTGTTTAGGCATGAGAGAGGAGGGAGAGGGCCTGAGGCAGTGGAAACAGCGGGTATGCGCCCCCGATGAGGGAAAGGAGAGAAGGCGGAGTTGGTATTAAGAGTGAAAAAGAGGCCAGGCCCGGTGGCTCACTCCTGTAATCCCAGCACTTTGGGAGGCCGAGGTGGGCAGACCACGAGGTCAAGAGATCAAGGCCATCCTGGCCAACATGGTGAAACCCCGTCTCTACTAAAAATACAAAAATTAGCCGGGCATGGTGGCGCGCGCCTGTAATTCCAGCTAATCCGGAGGCTGAGGTGGGAGAATCATTTGAACCCAGGAGGTGGAGGTTGCAGTGAGCCGAGATCGTGCCACTGCACTCCAGCCTGGAGACAGAGTGAGACTCAGTCTCAAAAAAAAAAAAAAAAAAAAAAGAGTGAAAAAGAGGCCACGCGCAGAGGCTCACGCCTGTAATCCCAGCACTTTGGGAGGCCGAGGTGGGTGGATCACCTGAGGTCAGCAGTTGGAGACCAGCCTGGCCAACATGGCGAAACCCCGTCTTTACAAAAAATACAAAAATTAGCTGGGCATGGTGGCGCCTGCCTGAGCTTCCCAGCTACTTGGGAAGCTTAGGCAGGAGAATCGCTTGAACCCAGGAGGCAGAGGTTGCAGTGAGCCGAGATGGCACCACTGCACTGCAGCCTGGTCGACACAGCAAGACTCTGTCTCTAAAACAAAAACAAAATAAAGCAAAAAAAAAGGGCCAGGCACGGTGGCTTACGCCTGTAATCCCAGCACTTTGGGAGGCAGAGGTGGGCGGATTACGAGGTCAGGAGTTCGAGACCAGCCTGAACAACATGGTGAAACCCCATCTCTACTTTAAAAAAGTACAAAAATTACCCGGGCATGGTGGCGTGCACCTGTAATCCTAGCTACTCCGGAGGCTAAGGCAGGAGAATGGCTTGAACCCGGGAGGTGGAGGTTGCAGTGAGCCGAGATCAGGCCACTGCACTCCAGCCTGGGAGGCAGAGCGAGACTCTGTCTCAAAAAAAAAAAAAAAAGTGAACAAGAGGCTACAGAGACAGGAAGGGCCGTGTCTGGGGTCCTTACTGCAATGAGAGGAGAAGCCATTGGAAAACTAACATGATGCTCAGAATTACAATATGAAGAAAGGTCACGCTTGCTATTGGTCGGAGGGTGGCTGGGAGGTAGGTGGGGCACAAATTCAGTTACTTTTTCCCACCCTTACTACCAATATCCCAAATCTAAGCCCACACCAGCTTTGACCTGCAACCTCTCCTAAAGGATCTCTCTGCCTCTGGCCCATCCCCTACAGCAGCAGGGAGGGCTTTCTCAAATAGAGTCTGGACTGGGTCATATCCTTGCTCAAAATCCCGTCATGGGCCTAGCGCGGTGGCTCATGCCTGTAATCCCAGCACTTCGGGAGGCCGAGGTGGGCAGATCACGAGGTCAGGAGATCGAGACCATCCTGGCTAACACGGTGAAACCCCGTCTCTACTAAAAATACAAAAAATTAGCCGGGCATGGTGATGGGCGCCTATAGTCCCAGCTACTCGGGAGGCTGAGGCAGGAGAATGGCATGAACCTGGGAGGTGGAGCTTGCAGCGAGCCGAGAACTCGCCACTGCACTCCAGCCTGGACGACAGAGCAAGACTCCATCTCAAAAAAAAAAAGAAAAGAAAAGAAAAAGAAAATGTGGTACATATACATAATGGAATACTATGCAGCCACAGAAAAGAATGAGATCATGTCCTTTGCGGGGACATAGATGGAGCTGGAGGCCCTTGTCCTTAGCAAACTAACACAAGAACCAAAAAACAAATTCCACAGGTTCTCACATGTAAGTGGGAGCTAAATGATGAGAACACATGGACACAAAGCGGAAAACAGCACACACTGGGGCCTACTGAAGGGTGGAGAGCAGGAGGAGGGAGAGAAACAGGAAAAATAAGTAATGGGTACTAGGCTTAATTCCTCAGTGATGAAATAATCTGTACAACAAACCCTCATGACCCAAGTTTACCTATGTAACAAATCTGCACATGTACCCCTGAACTTCAAAGTTAAAAAAAAGAAGAGTCTTAAATTCAGCTGATTAAAAAAAAAAAAATGCCGGGCCTACCTGTGGTCCCAGCTATGCAGGAGGCTGAGGCAGGAGGATCTCTTGAGCCTGGAAGTTGGAGGCTGCAGTGAACTATGATCATACCACTGCACTGCAGGCTGGGCAACACAGCGATATCCTGTCTCTTTATTATTATTATTTTGAGATGGAGTTTCGCTCTTGTTGCCCAGGCTGGAGTGCAATGACGCGATCTCCGCTCACTACAACCTCCATCTCCCGGGTTCAAGTGATTCTCCTACCTCAGCCTCCCGAGTAGCTGGGATTATAGGCATGCACCACCATGCCTGGCTAATTTTTGTATTTTTAGTAGGGACAGTTTCTCCATGTTGGTCAGGCTGGTCTTGAACTCCCAACCTCAGGTGATCCGCCCTCCTCGGCCTCCCAAAGTGCTGGGATTACAGGCATGAGCCACGGCGCCTGGCCACCTCCTTATTATTTTTATTTGTTGATGTATTTATTTATTTTTGAGATGGAGTCTTGCTCTGTCACCCAGGCTGGAGTGCAGTGATGTGATCTCGGCTCACTGCGACCTGTGCCTCCCAGGTTCAAGTGATTCTCATGCCTCAGCCTCCTGAGTACTTGGGATTATAGGCGCACGCCACCACACCCAACTAATTTTTGTATTTTTGGTAGAGACAGGGTTTTACCATGTTGGCCAGGCTGGTCTCCAACTCCTGACCTCAAGTGATCCACCCACCTCTGCCGCCCAAAGTGCTGGGATTACAGGCATGAACCACCGCGCCCAGCCTGAGATCCTGTCTCTCTCAAAGAAAAATCCTGTCATGGCTTCCCATTGCCTGCTGGTGAGAAGCAGTGGATGACAACCTCTGCCATGAACAGCCTTGGTCTGTCCAGGCTGTGCCCCACCTCTATGTCCCCAGAGCAGCTCTCACTGCACCCCTCCCCTGACATCCCAGCCTTCGGGTCCTCCCACCAGTTCACAGTAAACCTGCCCACAGCCTGGGGTAATTGGCTCGTTTATTGCCCATGGAAAACTCACTAACTCTCTGCATCCATTTCAAAATTACCTCTTTTGTTCATAAAGCCTTCCAGACCCTATGCCACCCACAATCAGACATAAAGCCTTCCTCTCAGCCTTTGCTGGCTCTGCCTGCTTGTCCCTCTATTTGGCATTGGCATTTATTTTATGCACACTCCATTGCAGGTGTGTCTGCCCTCCCTCCATTGCAAGTTTCTTGAGGGTGGGGAGTCTCCCTTGGGAATCTATGGAAGTCCTCTTGCCTTGGGGCCTACTTAGAACATGGTAAAGGAGTGGTCAAGGTCAATGGAAAACGCATTCGCTTGTTCAACAAATTGTAATGGAATGCCTGTTCTGCGCCACATAGAGGGACACAGTGGAAAACAGCAGACTGAGGTCCTTGGCCTCATGGTGCTCACTGTCTCCTGGGAAGCCAGTGTGAAGCTGCTGTACCACAGTGGGCATGAATTGGATGTGGAAAAACTAAGCAAGGAAAAGAGAGGCAGGCAATGTGGAGCTGGGGATTTTGATTCGCAATAGGTTGCTCAGGGAAGGTGACACATTTGAGCAAAGATGGAAGGGAGGTGAGGGCAGGATCCTGGCAGATGTGTGGGAGAGTGTCCCAGGTAGAGGGCAGAGCAAGCAGCAAGGTAGCAAGGTCCTGAGGTGGCTGTTCCTGAGCGAGGTTGACAACAGGGTGAGGAGAGATAGAATCACGTGTGTTTGCTGAGGGGGTTGGGGGGAGAGCAACCTGTGCAAACCCATTGGGAAGACGGGGGCTTCCCCTGAGGAGGTGGGGAGCCCCCAAAGTGTCCTGAGCCCTGCCTCTATGTCCCCAGAGTGCCTCGGGCCCCAGGGCAAGGCATCTGCATTTCATCCGATAGCTGTGCCCCGGGTCCACTCCGGACTTCCTTCATAACAAGGTCTGATTTAGCAGGACCGGTCTGACTACTGTGTCCAGGGCAGAGTGAAATTGGGGAAGAGGGACTGACACTCATAGTCACGACAAATGCCATACTTTTTAGAGTCACACATAAAGGACCTTTGCAAGGCCACCTTTCAGACTTGTTTGCTGTTTGTGGGGTTTATTTTGGTGGCGGGGGAGGGGGGAGGTGGGTGGCGGCAGAACTGGCGTGTTGCCTTGGGGGTACCTTTGTGAAGCCCCACCAGCAATGTCAAGAATGTTGATGCAGCCGGGCGCTGGGCGCGGTGTCTCACACCTGTAATCCCAGCACTTTGGGAGGCCGAGGCGGGTGGATCACCTGAGGTCAGGAGTTCGAGACCAGCCTGGCCAACATGGTGAAACCCCGACTCTACTAAAAATACAAAATCCCAGTGTGGTGGTGGGTGCCTGTAATCCCAGCTACTCAGGAGGCTGAGGCAGGAGAATTGCTTGAACCTGGGAGGTGGAGGTTGCAGTGAGCCAAGATCGCACCACTGCACTCTATCCTGGGTGACAGAGCCAGACTCCATCTCAAAAAAAAAAAAAAAAAAAGAATGCTGATGCTGTAAGAGACCCCAGAGAGCAGCTCCTGCTCCCCTTTTAATGATAAGAATCAGGCCCAGGTGGGGTGCAGTGGCTCACGCCTGTAATCCCAGCACTTTGGGAGGCCGAGGTGGTGGATCACCTGAGGTCAGGAGTTCCAGACCAGCCTGACCAACAAGGTGAAACCCCATCCCTACTAAAAATACAAAAATTATCAGGGTGTGGTGGCGGATGCCTGTAATCCCAGCTACTCGGGAGGCTGAGGCAGGAGAATCGCTTGAACCCAGGAGGCGGAGGTTACAGTGAATGAGATCATGCCATTGCACTCCAGCCTAGGAGACAGAGTGAGACTCCTTCTCCAAAAAAGAAAAAAAAAAAAAAAAAAAAAAAAGGAATCAGGCCCAGAAAGAGGGAATGAGGAATGAGCAGCATTTTAAAAACGGCAACTGTTGTGGATCACAAGGTTAGGAGTTTGAGACCAGCCTGACAAACATGGTAAAATCCCATCTCTACTAAAAAAACAAAAACAAACAAACAAAAAAATTAGCCAGGCGTGGTGGCGGGCGCCTGTAATCTCAGCTACTCAGGAGGCTGAGGCAGAATTGCTTGAACCCGGGAGGTGGAGGTTGCAGTGAGCCAAGATCGCGACACTGCACTCCAGCCTGGGCGACAGCGTGAGACTCCATCTCAAAAAAAAAAAAAGAATTAAAAATGGCAACTGCAGGCCAGGCATGGTGGTTCACGCCTGTAATCCCAGCACTTTGGGAGGCCGAGGTGGGCAGATCACCTGAGGTCCAGAGACTAGCCTGACCAACATGGAGAAACCCCATCTCTCTGAAAAATACGAAATTAACTGGGTGTGGTGGCAGGCGCCTGTAGTCCCAGCTACCCAGGAGGCTGAGGCAGGAGAATCGCTTGAACCCAGGAAGCAAGAGGTTGAGGTGAGCCAAGATCACACCATTGCACTCCAGCCTGGGCAACAAGAGTGAAACTCCGTCTCAAAAAAAAAAAAAAAAAGGCTGGGTGCGGTGGCTCATGCCTGTAATCCCACCACTTGGGGAGGCCGAGGCAGGCGGATCACTTGAGGTCAGGAGTTTGAGACCAGCCTGGCCAATGTGGAGAAACCCTGCCTCTACTGAAAATATAAAAATTAGCCAAGTGTGGTGGCACATGTCTGTAATCTCAGCTACTTGGGAGGCTGAGACAGGAGAATCGCTTGAACCCGGGAGGCGGAGGTTACGGTGAGCAAAGCTTGCTGCCATTGCACTCCAGCCTGGGCAACAAGAGCAAGACTCTGTCTCAAAAATAAATAAATAATAATAAAAATGATTTTTAAAATGGCAACTGCAATCCCATTTAGAGAGTGGCTCCTCCTCTCCCCACTGCAGGAATCCTTTCAGTTCAGGTAAAGAGAAACAGCTTGTACCTTTACATTACACATTACACGGGGTAGACACAGAAGGGCCTCAGTCACTAGCCAGACGGAAACTTGGTGTGGGTGGAGGGTGGGGACTACAGTCTGCTGCGTGTGCAGGCCTTCTGGATGGGATGGGGCTTGGAGGTGAGAATCTAGAATGGGTAACCCAGCAGCATGGTGAAGACTTCAAGGCGGGACAAGGCAGGGCTGTTCGGTAATGTGGTGGCTGGTGGGAGCTATCCCATTGGAGAGTCCCCTCTCTTCTGCTCCCTTCCCCTCCTCTGAAGGAGACCGGTGCCTAGAAGGTCAAGGGCCCTTCAGTTTCATCTCCATCTTCCCCACAGGACCCGGCCGGCCTGGCACGTCACTGGCCCTTGATGGGCTTTTGTAGATTAGGATTGTATTCCCACAAGGCGCCGGCGTGGAGAGTAAAAAGTAGGAAATCCTTTGGTCACTGACCCACTTCCCGCTTTTCATTCAATATGAAAGGAACCCAGAGCAGGGACGCGGTGGCGCTGGTGCTGCTGAAGAGGCCTGTGTCGTGCTGAACAGCCCTGGCTTCTGCGCTCCTTTCTCTTCCTTGTCCCAGCCCTGGGCAAGAGCAGTGCTGTGGGAGGGAGCCGCCCCGGTGGCTCCTTTCCCACCGTCCCCGGCAGCCTCCGGGGTCTGGTGGGGAGGGGGTGAGGGAATTCGGGAGGGGCAACGGGCGCAGCCATCTGGTGAAATGCAGACGCCCGGTCCCGGTCCCGGTCGGGCGCCGTGGCTCACGTCTGTAATCCCAACACTTTAGGAGGCCGAGGTGGGTGGATCACCTGAGGTCAGGAGTTCGAGACCAGCCTGGCCAACATGGTGAAACTCCGTCTCTACTAAAAATACAAAAATTAGGCCGGGCGCGGTGGCTCAAGCCTGTAATCCCAGCACTTTGAGAGGCCAAGGCGGGCAGATCACGAGGCCAGGAGTTCAAGACCAGCCTGGCCAACATGGTGAAACCCCGTCTCTACTAAAAATACAAAAATTAGCCGGGCGCGGTGGCTACCCGGGAGGCTGAGGCAGGAGAATTGCTTGAATTCAGGAGGCGGAGGTTGCAGTGAGCCGAGATCGCACCACTGCACTCCAGCCTGGGCGACAGAGCAAGACTCCGTCTCAAAAAAAAAAAAAAAATTAGCGGGCCGTGGTGGCGGGCGCCTGTAATCCCATCTACTCGGGAGGCTGAGGCTGGAGAATCGCTTGAACCCAGGAGGCAGAGGCTGCAGTGAGCCAAGATAGCGCCCTTGAACTCCAGCTTAGACGACAGAAGCGAAACTCCGTCTCAAAGAAAGAAAGAAAGAGGCCGGTCGCGGTGGCTCACGTCGGTAATCCCAGCACTTTGGGAGGCCGAGGCGGGCGGATCACGAGGTCAGGAGATTGAGACCATCCTGGCTAACACGGCGAAACCCCGTCTCTAATAAAAATACAAAAAATTAGCCAGGCGTGGTGGCCGGCTTCTGTAGTCTCAGCTAGTCGGGAGGCTGAGGCAGGAGAATGGCGTGAACCCGGGAGGGGGAGCTTGCAGTGAGCCGAGATTGGGCCACTGCACTCCAGCCTGGGTGACAGAGCGAGACTCCGTCTCAAAAAAGAAAGAAAGAGAGAGACAGAGAGAAGGAAAGAAAGAAAGAAAGAGAGAGAGAAAGAAAGAGAGAGACAGAGAGAAGGAAAGAAAGAAAGAGAGAAAGAAAGAAAGAAAGAAGGAAGGAAGGAAGGAAGGAAGGAAGGAAGGAAAGAAAGAAAGAAAGAAAGAAAGAAAGAAAGAAAGAAAGAAAGAAAGAAAGAAAGAAAGAAAGAAAGAAAGAAAATGCAGACACCCACGTCGCTTGGGGCCCGAGGCGCCGTCGAGGCTCTAGGTACCCGCGGCCTGAACTGTGCGATGTGGGCAGGAGAGGTGGTGGAGGCCAGCTTCAGCCACCGGGTTCCCCGCGGGTCTCTCTCGGCTTCTGTTTGGAACCAGAAAACCTCTTCTCAAGGGTGCTGGCTGCTCTCGCCAGCTCACCAAAGGCCGCGGCACCCACAGTGGAGCTAAGCTATCGAGAGCTACCAAGTGTGGCACCTAGTAAAGGCCAAGAGACCAGAGTTCCCGCCCTGGCTCAGCCACTGACCCATGTGGGGACTTCAGCAAATCTCCAGGCGTTGGGCCCTCTGTGCCACGAGGAGGCTGGGTTGGAGGGCCTGGAAGAGTCTTCCCAGTGGTGCAGCTCTGCAGATCCATTCTAATAGAGAACCACCTCTGAGAAGGTTTTCCCCTCTATGGGAAAAACAAGTAGAGTTGGAATGCAATTCCCACCAAAGAGCAGACGGTGAGGGGAGGGGACCCGGGGCTGGTAACAGGGAGGGGTGAGGGGAGGCACCTCGTGGTGAAGTAGTTCACAGGAGGCTAAGCGGTGTGCGGCAGGGGCCCTGAGAAGGCCTGGAAGCCAGTCAAGACTCCCTATCCCTGAAGATCTGCACTTATAAGGACTCCATATTTACAAAGGTTCCTAGGTGCCATATTGAAAGATCTTGTTTCATTGTAGGGTCTTCACAGCAAGTTCCCTTAATACTTATATATAAGATTTTATTTTATTTTTTTGGCTTTGTTGTTGCTGTTGTTGTTTTGTTTTGCTTGTTTGTTTTTGGATACAGGGTCTCACTCCAGGTTGGAGTGCAGTGGCACGATCTCGGCTCACTGCAACCTCTGCCTCCCGGGTTCAAGCAATTCTCGTGCTTCAGCCTCCCCACCTCGGCCTCCCAAAGTGCTGAGATTACAGGCATGAGCCACCTCGTCCAGCCTATTTCTTTGTTTTGAGACAAGGTCTCGCTATATTGACCAGGCTGGTCTGGAACTCCTTGCCTCAAGTGATCCTCCCGCTTCAGCCTCCCAAACTGCTGGGATTACAGATGTAAGCCACTGCATCTGGTTCATATATATATATATATTTGAGATGAGATCTCACCTTGTTGCCCAGGCTGGTCTCGAGCTCCTGGGCTCAACCAGTCTTCCCACTTCAGCCTCTCAGCCTCTCAAGTAGCTGGGACTACAAGTGGGTGCCACTACACCTGGCTTCCCTTAATATATTTTGTTCAACAATCCCATTCCACCCCTACCCCCCAAATCCACTCTGTCTACACTTCCATTGATTTTTTTAGATGGGGGTCTCACTATGTTGCCCAGGCTGGTCTCAAACTCCTAGCCTCAGGTGATCCTCCTGCCTTGGCCTCCCAAAGTGCTGGGTTTACAGGCGTGATTCCTTTTTTTTTTTTTTTTTTTTTCCCCTGAGACAGAGTCTCACTCTGTCACCCAAGCTGGAGTTCAGTGGTACGATCTTGGCTCACTGCAACCTGTGCATCCTGGGTTCAAGCAATTCTCTGCCTCAGCCTCCTGAGTAGCCGGGATTACAGGTGCCCATCACCACGCCCAGCTAATTTTTGTATTTTTAGTAGAGATGGGGTTTCGCCATGTTGGCCAGGCTGGTCTCGAACTCCTGACCTCAGGTGATCCACCCACCTTGGCCTCCCCAAGTGCTGAGATTACAGGCGTGAGCCACCACATTTGGCCTACAGGCATGATTCTTTTTTTTTTTCTTTTTCTTTTTTTTGAGACGGAGTCTCACACTGTCACCCAGGCTGGAGTGCAGTGGCGCCATCTCTGCTCACTGCAACCTCAGCCTCTCAGGTTCAAGCGATTCTCCCCCCTGAGCCTCCTGAGTAGCTGGGATTACAGGCAGGTGCCACCACACCAGGCTAATTTTTGTATTTTTAGTAGAGATGGGATTTCACCTTGTTGGCCAGGCTGGTCTTGAACTCCTGACCTCAGGTGATCTGCCCACCATGGCCTCCCAAAGTGCTGGGATTACAGGCGTGAGCCACCGCACCCGGCCAGGCATGATTCTTAAAAGGAGGCTGGGTTGGCCCAAGGTACTCAAATGAAGACTTTGGGAACTGTGGGAGGGTGGGTGGAGTGTGTAGGCAGTGGGCCAGGGGACCAGGGTTTCATTTTTGTTGAACGATGAGGATTCCCCTTAGTCTTTTAGGGGCCTTGAACTGACAGGAACTGAAAACCTCTTTAAATAGCATTTGCCACACTTCATCCCATTTCTTATTTAATGTTTTCGTAACTTCTCTAGGCAGCCAAGCAGCTTAAGGGATTCTGGTTTGAGGTTCTCCTGTGTGGATGGGCTTTGCCTGTTTCCAGGTAGGGCCCGGGCAGAGGCCTAGAGTATCCTTCATTCCCTCAAGCCCTTGCACGCTGACCTGGGTGCTGCTGCTGGAGGTATCCTCAAGCTAACGGGCATTGAGCTTTGCTGCAGAGAAGGCAGCCTGCCTTGGGCTCCCTGAGTCTAGGGTGTGCCCAGGCATCCCTGGCTTTCTGTCACCTTTTCTTTCTTTTTTTCACCTTCCAAACTAGTCTTTAGGCCTCTCCTGGTTGGCCTTTGACTGGTGACAAGCAGACCGTCTTCACTCAGTCTCCCTCACCACCAAGACTGGCAGTGGTCTGGGTGGATGAGGCGGGTGGAATCACCTTTGATAGAGGACACTGAGGCTCGGAGCCCTCAGGTGACATGTGAAAAGGCATACCAGGAAATCAGTGACAGAGCCCAAAGCCTCTATCTTGTCCCTTCCTTCCAGCCTTACTCCCCACTCCATCTCATCTCCCTTCTGTTACTGATTAGTAGACATGCAATACATATACATGAAAGTTTCTGCTAAGGCAGGAGCCCACTGGGCCACAGGCCTTGCTCAGGCATGTCGCCGCACACGGGCAGGTGTTAAGGAGAAAATCTGGCTGTGAGGAGCCTCCATTGGTAGGTGGGTGGCTGGGGGGATGGGGAGGAGCAGGGAGCCATCTTTGGATCTCTGTCACTCAGTGATGTCATAGTCATGTTCTGTGAGTTCATGTTCTGACGATGACCAGTTTGTAGTTCAGCTTCAGGCCAAGTGCTTCAGCTCCATATAAGAGGTAGCTTTCTTGAGAGCAGAGATCGAAATATTTCCTATGCAAAGGATGGAAATACTTCCTGCGCGTAAGCGCAATCCTTTCATCATTCGAAGTATGTGGGGAGAAATAGATGGTCAATGGGCAGGGTTGGGGCAGTGGGGCAGGGAAGCATGGATCTTGAGGGTGGCAACTGGGGGCCAGTTTGGGTTGGGAGATGCTCTTATTTCTCTGGTTTGCCCTTGAAGCTGCTGCCTCTGGGAATGCCCTGGGTGTGCCCATACGTGAGTACGTGTATACATGTGCTGCTTGTGAGTTGGCATGGGCTTGTGTGACCCTTGTCATCCATCCAAGGGCCCACCACCCTGGTTCCCCCACCAAGGTGCCTGCCAACTGTGCCGTGTCACTTGCCACTGTGGGCAGTTGCTGGGCAGTAGCTGGACCCCAACTTGAATCTCTGGTCTAGAAAGGCCTGGCAACCTTGAGAGGCTAGGGTGCTCTGGCAGAGGCGAGGTATTGGTCAGATCACTTGTGGAAACCCTGCTCCCCTCTAGGCCTTGTGGAGACAGGGGAAGAGGGAGTGGCTTGGGCAGGTCAGGCCCTGGGAAACTGCTTGTAGAAGGAGCAGGGAGGGGCTGTCTGTCTGGAGAAAAGGCCTGGCCTGCCATGAACTATCTGAAGGGTGAGGGATTACCCTGTGTGGAGATGTTGACCTTAAGGCTCAGAGGTGGCTGGAGATGGAAGGAACTGCCATGAAGGAAGATGGTAAGCTCCCTATGAGTGGAGGTATGCAAGCAGAAGGCAGGCAACCACTAAGCTGGTTCTAACAGGACAGAGGGATGGATGAGGTGGCCTTAAGATCTCTGAACTCCTGAGTCTGTAGTGGGGACCTGGGTTAGTGACACAATACCTGCCTGCTCTTGTCAAAAGCAGCACTATCTCTGCCTTTTTTTTTTTTTTTTCGGAGTCTTGCTCTGTTGCCCAGGCTGGAGTGCAGTAGCATGATCTTGGCTCACTGCAACCTCCACCTCCCAGGTTAAAGCGATTCTCCTGCCTCAGCCTCCTACAGGCATGCATCACCACACCTGGCTAATTTTTTTGTATTTTTAGTAGAGACGGGGCTTCATCAGATTGGCCAGGCTGGTCTTGAACTCCTGATCTCGTGATCCGCCTGCCTCAGCCTCCCAAAGTACTGGAATTACAGGCATGAGCCACCGCGCTTGGCCTCTATCTTTGCCTTTTGATCTGGATTGGAACCTTGATGATGGGAGCCAACAGCACCAGCTTCAGGGGCTCAGGCTTGGCTGGGAGGCTCAGAGGAGTTGGTAAGAGGGGGCGTAGGGGTGAAGAAGCAGGTGCCCTGTGAAGCCAGATCCTTTGCACACCTCAAACTCAGCCACGGTTTCTGGAAGCAGCATTTGGAAAATTCATGTTCTGGTGGGGCTTATTTCTGAATATAGGACTCATAAATAGCTGGATCTCTTGGCCTTTCAAAGAAAAGAAAAACCAAACTCATGACATCTCTTCCTTTGCATTATTTTCTCCAACTGTCAATCTTTAAACTGCTCTTTTTCTCACCCTTTCATTCTTTCCAGGCAAGGGCCCTCAGATACTTTCTTTCCAAATAGGGCTGATACTTGCATTTGAAGTGGAGTATTTCTTCCTTGCGTGGGACTGTCCTATGCAATGTAGGATATTTAGTATCCCCGGCCGTTCCTTCCTCTTATTGAATTCCAGCAACACCTGCCAGTCATCCAGGCACCGGCCCCACGAATTTCAGAACATCCCTTACAGAAGTGACACTGCGGCTCCTATACTTTGAAAAACATTGCCTGAATCCCCAAAGAAGTGACTAGCTCAAGGCCATACCACCAGCCAATGGCAAAGTGGAGATCAAGTCAAATCCCATTCATTCATTCATTCACTCATTCATTCCCGAAGCTTTAATTCTTTGCTCTAGGGTGTGTCAGGAGAGCAGAGGGAATGAGGGCCTTGAACCGAGACAGTGAAGAGGGTAAGAAGAAAAGTGTTATTCTTTGCCCACAAAACTACAATTTCTCACAAATTCTCTGCTCTTGCCAAATTTTGTTTTCCTCTTTTAGCCCGTCGGTTCCGCAATTTCGGGCGCAAATAAAGACCTTCTGGCATTTAGTGGAAAGAGCCTAGTTGAGCACGATCCGCAGAAGCGGAATCAGGTGGCTTTCGGATAGGCAGCGAGATCCGAGGACTAAATCCCGAGGTCTTGGCGAGCAAGCAGCTGCCCTCCGCCAGGCATCGAGGAGCGAGCTGCCGCCGCGTTTCTGTCGCGGCGCCGCGGCCGAACCGGGTAGAGGTGGTCTACCATCGGCCCTTCGTGGTGGGCCCAGGGGTGTTTCCCCGGGCAGGGGAGCTGACTGCAGGCCAGGGGCGCCAAGGCCGCGGTGCGGTGGGAGCAGAGGGCAGCGCAGCGGGGCTGGACTTCATCTTCCCACGCCAGAGGCCGAGGCCTCCGGGAATCGCAGGGCCACCTCTTCAAAGCCCTTGGCGATCCCAGTTCTGTTCCCCGAGGGGGCTGGCGAGGTGGGCGGGGCGGGCAGGCGAGACTAGGTCTTTCCCTGTTTGGCCTCCGTAGCCGGCGCCGGCGGGTCGTTCTGTTTGAATGAATGATCCCAGCAGCCGCGCCCAATGGGCGTCCACGCCTGCTTAATATGCATGAGGCCCGCAGCCAATGGCCAGGCGAGGAGGCTGTTTTAAACGGCAGAGCCCGCTGGCCAATCAGGCGGCTCTCGTGGAGGCAGCTAGCGCGAGGCTGGGGAGCGCTGAGCCGCGCGTCGTGCCCTGCGCTGCCCAGACTAGCGAACAATACAGGTACGTCTCGCACCGCCCGCTCCCGCCGCCGCCGCCGCCGCCGCCGCCGCCGCCGCCGCCGCCGCCGCCGCCGCCGCAGCGCCCGCACAACTTTCCGGCCCGCGCCGCCGTGAGCGCGCCCTGCCGCCGCCTCCCCCTGCCTCTACTCCCCATTCCCTTCCCGCCCCCTCCGCCTTCCCTCCTGCTAGGCGGCCGGGAAGGAAGAAGCAATTCAGGTGTTTCAACTTTTCCAACGCGTTCCCCGAGCTCCCCGCTTTCGGGGGTCGGCCCCCTCGGCGGACGCCCGCCCGTGGCGGCCCCAGGGGCCGCAGCCGGGAACCCAGGGCCCCCGAGGCCAGATGTTTGGGCAGCTGCGGCTGCGGCGGCTGGGCGAGCAGAGGGGCGGCTGCGGGCTGTGGGCGCTGGGCGGCGGCAGCGGGAAGGGGGCCGGGAGTTCCCCGGCCCGCGACGGACTCCGCTGGGGAACGGGCGGCCGGTGCCCGCCGGGGGCTGCGCGGCTGGTGCCCGCCGGGGGCCGCCGCACGGGCAAACTTCGCTCCCGGGCTTGGCCCGGCGCCGCGCGGGCCCGCAGGCTACGCCGCTGGCTCTGCGTTAACATGGCCGTCGCGGAGCGCCCGGTGGCCCGGGGGGGCGCGGGCCGGCCGCCCCCCTCTCGCCTCCCGCCCGCCCGGCGCCGCCGCCGCCGCTAACATGGCTGGCGCGGCGCTGGCCTCCGGCGAGGGCAGGGGAGGCGGGCGGAGCGGTCGGCGGGGCGCCCGGCGGGCTCCGGCCTCGGCCCCGGCGCCCGCGGCCCGGGGCGGGCGGCTCGGAGGGCCGGGGGCGCCGCTGCGGGCCCTGGAGCGGCCGAGCGTCATGGCTGCACGGGCGCCTTTGTTATCCCGAGGAGTGCGCCCCGCGCCGGGGGGCGGGGAGGTCCGGCCCGGGCCCCCGAGCCCCCGGGCGGCCCGGGCGGGGCGGGGCGGGGCGGGGTGGGGGCCGACGGGCGGGCGGCGGCGGCGGGGCCCGGGCCGCTTTGTTCGCCGCTGTCGCCGCCGCCCGCGCCGGCCGCGCGCGGATCAGCCATTTTAGCGAGTGGGACTCCGAGGCGCGGCGGACGCCGCCACCAGTGCCGCGGCTGCCGCCGGCCCGGCCGCACACCCCCCGCGCACCGCCACCGCCGCCGCCCCCGGCCCCGCGCGTCCCCCGGGGATGACAGCGGCGGATTTCAGGGGCACTTTCTTTCATCAGGAGGCTTTTGACAAAATGGAAGGTGAATTACGGGTGTCCCGGTGACCCGGCACGGGGGCCGAGGCGGGCTGCCTGCTGCCGGCCGGGACTCCCCCGCTCCCGGTCCCGCCCCGCCCGGGCCGCCGCTGCGGGTCTCTGTTGGGCAGCCTCCTGGGCGGCTGCTGCCAAGGGGAGCTCTTTAGTTTTACATGATGACCTTGGGTGTGGGAAAAGGAAAAGATGGCGGGAAGCTGGGGGGTGGGACAGGGACGATGACATGCCGCAGCTGCATTTTTATTTGGAAACTTTGGAGAAAGTGTTCTCGGCTGGACCTGCATTCTGGGTTACAGATGAGCACGACTAGCCCTTTTTATACACCCTCCCCCTTTAGATAGTGACGAAGTGATGAATTGAACTAATAGTACGGGGGTACCTGCTCACTTTCCAGATCTCCCGTGTTGTAAAGCCGTTTTTTTAGTAAGCCAAAACACATCAACAATAGTGACAATTTCAGATGTCCCCTACGTATAGTTCTCCTGCTTTGGTCTTGTGTTCAGCAGTGGTAAGAGTTGTTGTTTTTAATTGTGTTAACAGTTAGCAGATGACCAGATAGTCTTAAGTCATAGATTTCAAGCTTCTATCACCCCCACCAAATGTGTCCTCTCTCTACCCTTCCCACTTTGTGATTGTAGTTTCCAAAACATAGCAGTTCTGTAAACGTAACACTGAGTACCCTACTTGGGTCGGCTCCATTTGGAGCACTTGATCGCTTTTGAGAAGTAACTCGCAAACCAGCGCGCTTCGTGCTGGTCAAAAGTTAAATGACAAGCGACAATGAAGCTGATTTCTTTCCTACTCTGCCTTCTGCCACTGGTGTCCGGCATTGGGGGAAGGGGACTTCCTAACAGCAAGTGTAGTTTTAGTTTTGCTCTGCCTTTGGTACGTCTTGTACTTCTTGTCAATTCCTCCTTGCTTTTCCTCATTGTATTTCTTTGTTTCTCTTTTATCACAGTCAGGATGGCTAAAGGTGACCCCAAGAAACCAAAGGGCAAGATGTCCGCTTATGCCTTCTTTGTGCAGACATGCAGAGAAGAACATAAGAAGAAAAACCCAGAGGTCCCTGTCAATTTTGCGGAATTTTCCAAGAAGTGCTCTGAGAGGTGGAAGGTATTTTTCTTTGGTACCCTTCAAACTAGTCTTAGTTGGGTTTCTTACTTTGGGGTTACTTACCTTCAGATTTTCTCCCAGATAGCTGCTTGCTTCCTCTTTTACTTTTACTTAGAATCATTTTTGCTTGTCTTAAGAATTTTGTGTGTGTGCTTTTATTTTTTTAAGGCCCTGCACAGGTTTCAGGCCTTTACCTACCCCCTTTTGCAAGTGGTTCTAGCAACTGCTAGTTTAATCACAAGAAACTGAATAGGTATGTGTTCACTGCATCGAGGGATTTAACGAGTCCTGTTCTTTGCAGACGATGTCCGGGAAAGAGAAATCTAAATTTGATGAAATGGCAAAGGCAGATAAAGTGCGCTATGATCGGGAAATGAAGGATTATGGACCAGCTAAGGGAGGCAAGAAGAAGAAGGATCCTAATGCTCCCAAAAGGCCACCGTAAGTGACTATAGGATTCAAGATAACAATTAATACCTTTTCTTCTGCTTGGAGGATTTGGTTTTTTGGTCGTCCTGTATTTCATTTCAAAATGAAATATTTTTTAAAAGATACTTAAAAGATGGCAATACCTCTGCAAACCATTCTGTACTTGGGCTTTACGATGCAGTGCCAGCGTTGTCTGTGGTTAAGGCTGAAGTGTTTGTGGGCTGTGCTTGCACATTCACAGTGGTTGTCTGTTGGCCTTTCCATTGTGAAGGAGGCACTCTAGTTTTGGTTGTCAGGGTCCTTGAAGTATGTTCTTTATGCCTTTCCTAGTAATTGAAAGACTGGGACAGCACCATATATATATGCGCGTATATATACGCATATGTATTATATATGCATACACACACACAGAGCACCATATATATATGCGCGTATATATACGCATATATTTTATATATGCATACACACACACACGCATACATATTTGAGATGGAGTTTCGCTCTTGACCAGGCTGGAGTGCAAGGTGTGATCTTGGCTCACTGCAACCTCCACCTCCTGGGTTCAAGTGATTCTCCTGCCTCAGCCTCCTGAGTAGCTGGGATTACAGACATGCACCACCATGCCCGGCTAATTTTTTTTATATTTTTAGTAGAGACGGGGTTTCTCCATGTTGGTCAGGCTGGTCTGAAACTCCCAACCTCAGGTGATCCGCCTGCCTCGGCCTCCCAAAGTGCTGGAATTACAGGCGTGAGCCGCGCACCACATATTTTTCTAACCTTATATATTTTAGAACCTACAACTTTGTAGCATTGTATATGGTATCATAGATTACTTCACTTTAGGGAGAAGTCATAGTGGTAGGAGGGAGATGCTTCTCAGGAATGTGGGATTTCAACTTTAACTCAAATTTTTTGTGGTTTCTCATGTAATGTATGTAATTCTTCCAAGGTCTGGATTCTTCCTGTTCTGTTCAGAATTCCGCCCCAAGATCAAATCCACAAACCCCGGCATCTCTATTGGAGACGTGGCAAAAAAGCTGGGTGAGATGTGGAATAATTTAAATGACAGTGAAAAGCAGCCTTACATCACTAAGGCGGCAAAGCTGAAGGAGAAGTATGAGAAGGTAAGGTGGGGCTGGAAGCCTGGACTGGTGAACAGGCAGTGGTTCTGCTATCAGTAGGTTGCAGGGCATGTGGCAGCTTTGCTGGGCTGAGTACTTAGCATAGCGCTCAAGGGCCCATCCCCCTGCAAGGTAGCTACGGGTGCTGGTGTTCATGCTTTTTTTTGACAGGTCTTTGTTTTGGGGACAACTTCAGGCTTGAAAAATTTTCCTTACTCTTTAAGGAAAAAAAAATGTTAACAGAGGATTTGATAGTCCTACTAATGTGACTTGAAGGACACTTGAACACCCACTAACTTTTAAATTCGAATGGCTAAGAACCAAATTCATATATGGAAACACTTCAGATATATATGATAGCAGCACTGTCTTACTTGATTTCAATTCCTGTCCTCTTACCTGAGATGAGGACTGCATGTTTCTACTTTGTGTTAAAACAGCCGCATACTCATTTGAAATGTGTCCCTGTTCCTCTAGGATGTTGCTGACTATAAGTCGAAAGGAAAGTTTGATGGTGCAAAGGGTCCTGCTAAAGTTGCCCGGAAAAAGGTGGAAGAGGAAGATGAAGAAGAGGAGGAGGAAGAAGAGGAGGAGGAGGAGGAGGAGGATGAATAAAGAAACTGTTTATCTGTCTCCTTGTGAATACTTAGAGTAGGGGAGCGCCGTAATTGACACATCTCTTATTTGAGAAGTGTCTGTTGCCCTCATTAGGTTTAATTACAAAATTTGATCACGATCATATTGTAGTCTCTCAAAGTGCTCTAGAAATTGTCAGTGGTTTACATGAAGTGGCCATGGGTGTCTGGAGCACCCTGAAACTGTATCAAAGTTGTACATATTTCCAAACATTTTTAAAATGAAAAGGCACTCTCGTGTTCTCCTCACTCTGTGCACTTTGCTGTTGGTGTGACAAGGCATTTAAAGATGTTTCTGGCATTTTCTTTTTATTTGTAAGGTGGTGGTAACTATGGTTATTGGCTAGAAATCCTGAGTTTTCAACTGTATATATCTATAGTTTGTAAAAAGAACAAAACAACCGAGACAAACCCTTGATGCTCCTTGCTCGGCGTTGAGGCTGTGGGGAAGATGCCTTTTGGGAGAGGCTGTAGCTCAGGGCGTGCACTGTGAGGCTGGACCTGTTGACTCTGCAGGGGGCATCCATTTAGCTTCAGGTTGTCTTGTTTCTGTATATAGTGACATAGCATTCTGCTGCCATCTTAGCTGTGGACAAAGGGGGGTCAGCTGGCATGAGAATATTTTTTTTTTTTAAGTGCGGTAGTTTTTAAACTGTTTGTTTTTAAACAAACTATAGAACTCTTCATTGTCAGCAAAGCAAAGAGTCACTGCATCAATGAAAGTTCAAGAACCTCCTGTACTTAAACACGATTCGCAACGTTCTGTTATTTTTTTTGTATGTTTAGAATGCTGAAATGTTTTTGAAGTTAAATAAACAGTATTACATTTTTAAAACTCTTCTCTATTATAACAGTCAATTTCTGACTCACAGCAGTGAACAAACCCCCACTCCATTGTATTTGGAGACTGGCCTCCCTATAAATG
Source organism: Homo sapiens (assembly GCF_000001405.40). Classification (NCBI taxonomy): domain Eukaryota; kingdom Metazoa; phylum Chordata; class Mammalia; order Primates; family Hominidae; genus Homo; species Homo sapiens. Next base: position 150,988,860 of record NC_000023.11, read on the forward strand.
TGGTAGCTTCTTTTATTACTCAGTGGCCAGCTCACTTAGGGCTGAGATGAAGGAGAGGGCTACTTGAAGCTACTGTGTGATTTTGTTTGTGTCTGAGTGGCATTCAGATGAAGTCTGGAGGAGTTAGGAGAACGACATAGGCAAGGTTCAGCAGCCTTCCAAGGTATAGGAAGGTGGGTGATTAGGACTGAGGCTATCTAGGTTTAACTTTTGTCCCACCTCCACCCCCTATTTTGTGGGGCCAAATGCATTGCTAAACAGCAATTTCAGAGTGTATGGTGTGTCAAAAATTAAGGCCTTATTGTTTTTCTCTTTCACCCCTACCCCCCGTGCTCCTGGCACATATCACATTATTTGTGGTGCCCAACATTTGGGGTCTTGAGCCTGCTGCTGGTCTCCTGGATGCCAGTGAGGGTATGTGGGATGGGGTGGTGGGGTAGGGGACGGTATCCTTTTTTTGCTCCTACTTGGAAACACCAAACACCCCAAGGAAGATGATAGGCTCCATCTTGGGCCACCTGAGCTATAGGGCAGGCTAATGGAATCAACCATTTCTGAGCACTAAATGTATCATGAAAAGTTGAATGGCCTGCTCATAAGTTTAGCTCATTCACTGGAAATGTAGATTGATGTTCAATGTTAAACTGGAAGGAGCTTGGTTTGTGTGTCAGTGGTTATATTAGTGGGTAGTGTAACATTTTATCCAGGTTGGGGTGAGGGGAGATGGCCACAGTAGCAAGTGGTGACACTAAATACCATTTTGAAGGCTGATGTGTATATACATCATTACTGTCCGTAGCAATGAAGGATACAGTACTGTGTTGTGGGTGAGTGTTGCTATTGCCCAGCATTAATATTTGGGTGTGTATGTTTGAGGCTATGAAACACGCAGGAGTGTTTTTGTGCTATTAATTTTAAGAGAAAGCAGCTTTTTCTTAAAATTCACTGTTGAGAAACTTGCATGTCTGGAGGCGGTGTCCTCTCCGCCCTGTCGGGTCCTGGATGAGTACGAGTTATGGTCACGGTCACAGCCTGATCTCTTATGTGTTCATAGCCATTCGCTCTCCCATCAGAACTGTTTGTCCTGAATGTGTTCCTCTAGTTCTAGAAAATGACCACTAATTTAAAAAACTCGGTTGTGAGGTTTGCCCAGAGGCACTTGTTCCAGAATTTCCCCTCCTGCTTCAGCCATGTCCTTGTCACTTGGCATTCTAAGCTAAAGCTTTAGCTTCCCAATTCGTGATGTGCTAGGCCAAGATTCGGGAGCTGTTGCCAGCCTCGTCAAATATGGAAGAGAAACAACCTGCGGTCAAAAGGGAGTGATTTGTTAAGTGGTGCGCGTCTATCTCATAACTAGATGTACCAACCAGGGAAGGGCCAAGGATGGAAAGGGGTAACTTTTGTGCTTCCAAAGTAGCTAAGCAGAAGTGGGGGAGCAGTTTAGCCAGATGATCTTTGATTAGGCAAACATTGAGTTTTAAAGAGGCTGTCAAGTTGAGGCCACTTGGTCCATTAGCTGGGGCAGCAAGATCACTACTCAACGTTTTCACACTGTGGCAAGATTGCTCTTCTAGTGGAATAATGCCCTAGTTTCTCTGAGATGATGTAAGTGGCATGATGTTACCTAAGGCTTAGGCTTAGCTTGATTTCTGGGCCCACTGTCTGTGTTCTTAAGATGCCAACCTGTTGCTTTTTTTTTTTTTTTCCCCCATTTAAAAGGATAGTACCTACTCCCTCTAACCACCTCACCCCATTCTTGAATGACATTTTATCCTTCGGAAAGAACAAGGCTGTGATGTAGTGACTATTGTCTGTGTCTCCTGTGTGTGTCTGTTCTTGTCACAAATGTATTTGGGGACGTTGGATGCATTCATTTTCTGTAATAAAGTTTCTTAATCACTCTTCCCAAAAAGTAATCAGTGGGCTGTCTGCGATCTGTCTGAGATACTGAACCTCTGTACTTTTGGTTGATTATCATCAAGGTTTTAGAAGTGCAAACTTTGTGGTAACCATAGATCTGAACTACTAACATTTAGTGGAATGATACCATCAAAATGACTTAAGTGTTAAGGACTCCAAAGCCCCAAGATCAACCTCCTGGCCCGAGGCATAAGGGGGAGTTGGCTCTGAAGCCCTGGACCAGGATAAATAGGCAATTTGCAGGATGCTAACGAGCTACTATTTGATAAAGTGGTTGGGTACTTGTAATCAGCCAGCCCTGCCCACAGGGCTCCTCGAGGCCAAGGGTCTGGGCTTAGTTGGCTGACTCAGCCATGCCCAACAAGGAGTTCTGGAGGAGAGCCACAGGGACCGCTTGCTGTTCTTGGCTCCCAGCTCAGTTTTCTGTGGAGCCCAAGGCTACCTGGTAAGGAAAGGCCATTGAGCCAGCTTGGCGGCCCCAAGCTTCCCTTACTGCTTCAACCAGAGCAGCCTCCCACCCTGTTTTATATGTTGGGCATCCTACGATTTCAGCTTTCAAAAGAAGCTGGGATACCATATCAATAAAAGGAAAAAGACACACATGATCATCTCAATAGACACAAAAACCTTGACAAACACTTTCATGATAAAAACAAGGGTAGAAGGGAACTTCCTCAACCTGATATAGGACGTTTAGGAAAACCCATGGGTTTATTCATGATTGTACTAGAAGTTCTAGCCAGGGCAATTAGGCAAAAGAAAAAGAAAACATCCAGACTGAAATTGAGAAGACAAAGCTATGTCTATTTGTAGATGATATGACCTTGTATACAGATAACCGTAAGGAATCTCCAAATAAAACTGCTAGAAAAATGAATTGATCATCTGCAGTATACAAGATTAACATACAAAAACTAGTATTTCTATATACCAGCCATGAACAATCTGAAACTAAGAAAACATTCTCTTAAATATCTACAATAACATCAAAAAGAATAAAATATTTAGGAATGAACAATATAAGTGCAAAACTTACATGGGGAAAAGTACAAAACATTAAAGACCTAAGGAAATAGACATTCCACGTTCATGAATGGGAAGGTTTAATATTGTTAAGATGGCAATACTCCTGAAATTGATCTAGAACGCAATCTCTATTAGAATCCCAGCTGGCTTCCTCTAGTAGAAATCAGGCTGATTCTAAATGTCATATAGAAATTCAAGAGATGCAGGAGATACCCAGATCAATCTTGAAAACAGTTGGAGGATTCACATTTCTTGATTTCAAAACTACTTTATTAAAACTTTTTTTTTTTTTTTGAGACAGAGTCTTGCTCTGTTGTCCAGGCTATTGTGCAGTGGCACAATCACAGCTCATTGCAGCTTCAACCTCCCAGGCTCAAGGCATCCTTCCACCTCATCCTCCCAGGTAACTGGGACTACAAGTAGCACCACCGCACCTGGCTAATTTAATTTCTTTTAGAGGCAGGGTCTCACTGTGTTGCCCAGGCTGGTCACAAACTCCTGGACTCGATCCTCCTGCCTCGACCTCCCAAAGTGTAGGGATTACAGCACACCTGTAAGCCACTGCACCTGGCCTGATTTGAAAACTTACAACAAAGCCAGGTGCAGTGGCTCATGCCCGTAATCCCAGCACTTTGGGAGGCCGAGGCAGGTGGGTCACTTAAGGTCAAGTGTTCAAGACCAGCCTGGCCAACATGATGAAACCCCATCTCTACTAAAAATACAAAAAAAAAAAAAAAATTCCAGGCATGGTGGTGCATGCCTGTAGTTTCAGCTACTCTGGCCGGAGGTTGAGGCAGGAGAATCGCTTGAACCCAGGAGGCGGAGGTTGCAGTGAGCCAAGACTGTGGCCACTGCACTCTAACCTGGGCAACAGAGTGACTGAGACTCCGTCTCAAAAAAACAAAAACAAACAAAAAACCCAAAAACTTAAAGCTACAATAATCAAGACGGTGTAGTACCAGCATAAGGACAGACATATAGGCCAATACAATTGTGAGTCCAGAAATGAACCCAGACATTTGTGGCCAACTGATTTTTCAATGGGGATAAAAATAACATTCAATGGGGGAAATAATTTTCAACAAATGATGTTGGGACAACTGGATATCCATGTGCAAAGGAATGAATTTTGACCCTTCCCTCACAGCACATTCAAAAATCAATTCAAAATAGATGAAAGACCCAAATGTAAGAGCTACAACTATAAAATTCTTAGTAGGAAACATAAGTGTGAATTTCATGACCTTGGATTTGGCAATAGTTTCTTAGGACACCAAAAGCATGTGCAACTAAAGAAAACAATAGATAAGTTGAACTTCATTAAAATTAAAACAAACAAAACATTTGTGCTTCAAACAGTACCACCAGGAAAGTGAAAAGACAACCTACAGAATGGGGGAAAATATTTGCACAACGTATATCCTATAGGGATCTAGTATTCAAAATATATAAAGGACTATTACAACTCAGCAATAAAAAGACAACCCAATTTAAAAAATGAGCAAAAGATCTTAACAGACATTTCTCCAAAGAAGATGTATAAATGGCCAATAAACACATGAAAAATCCTCAGCATCATTAGTCATCAAGAAATTTAAATCAAGACTATAATAGGATACTACTTAACACCCACTAGGATGGTTATAATAATGATAAAAAAGGGAGCTCTTTCCTTTCGCTGCTGCGACTACAGCCATGAGTATGCTCAGGCTTCAGAAGAGGCTCGCCTCTAGTGTCCTTCGCTGTGGCAAGAAGAAGGTGTGGTTGGACCCCAATAAGACCAATGAAATCGCCAATGCCAATTCCCATCAGCAGATCTGGAAGCTGATCAAAGATGGGCTGATCATCCGCAAGCCTGTGACGGTCCATTCCCGGGCTCGATGCCAGAAAAACACCTTGGCCCACTGGAAGGGCAGGCACATAGGCATAGATAAGTGAAAGGGTACAGCCAATGCCCGAATGCCAGAGAAGGTCACGTGGATGAAGAGAATGAGGATTCTGCACCTGCTGCTCAGAAGATACTGTGAATCTAAGAAGATTGATCGCCACATGTATCACAGCCTGTACCTGAAGGTGCAGGGGAATGTGTTCACAAACAAGCCGATTCTCATGGAACACAGCCACAAGCTGAAGGCAGACAAGGCTCACAAGAAGCTCCTGGCTGACCAGGCTGAGGCCCGCAGGCCTAAGACCAAGGAAGCACGGAAGCGCAGTGAAGAGCGCCTCCAGGCCAAGAAGGAGGAGATCATCAAGACTTTGTTCAAGGAGGAAGACACCAAGAAATAAAAGCTCGCCTTTTGTCTGTACATACTGGCCTCCGTGAATACATAGATCAGCCATTAAAATAAAACAAGCCTTTATCTGCTTGCCAAAAAAAAAAAAAAAAGATAAAAAAGGAAAATAACTAGTATTGGTGAGGACGTAGAGAAATTACAGTCCTGGTACATTGCAGGTGGGAATGTAAAATGGTGCAGTCGCTATGGGAAACAGCTTGGAGATTTCTCAATAAGTTAAACATAGAATTACCATATGGCTCATCAGTTCCACTCCTAGGTATACAGCCAAAATAATTGAAAACAGGTATTCAAACAAATACTTGTACATGAATATTCATGTACATAATTTTTTTTTTTCTCTGTCACCCAGGCTGGAGTGTAATGGCACGATCTTGGCTCACCGCAACCTCCGCCTTCCGGGTTCAAGCGAATCTCCTGCCTCAGCCTCCCGAGTAGCTGAGATTACAAGCACGCACCACCACATCCGGCTAATTTTGTATTTTAAGTAGAGACAGGGTTTCACCATGTTGGTCAGGCTGGTCTTGAACTCCTGACCTCAGGTGATCCGCCCGCCTTGACCTCCCAAAGCGCTGGGATTACAGGCATGAGCCACCATGTCTGGCCTCATGTACATAATTTTTTTTTTTTTTGTGGACAGAGTCTCGCTCTGTCGCCCAGGCTGAAGTGCAGTGGCGCGATCTCAGCTCACTGCAACCTCTGCCTCCCGGGTTCACGCCATTCTCCTGCCTCAGCCTCCCGAGTAGCTGGGACTACAGGTGCCTGCCACCATGCCAGGCTAATTTTTTGTATTTTTAGTAGAGACGGGGTTTCACCATGTTAGCCAGGATGGTCTCAATCTCCTGACCTCATGATCCGCCTGCCTCGGCCTCCCAAAGTGCTGGGATTACAGTTGTGAGCCACCGTGCCTGGCTCATGTACATAATTCTTAATAGCCAAAAAGTGGAAACAACCCAAATGTCCATCAAGTGATGAGTGGATAAAATGTGTTATATCCATATGAAGAAATATTGTTCAGCCATAAAAAGGAATGAAGTACTGATACATGTTACAACATAGATGAACTTTGAAATAATTATGCTAAATAAGCCAGTCACAAAAAATTACATATTGCATGATTCCATTTATATGAAATGTCCATAACAGGTAAATCTATACAGAAAGAAAATAGGCCGGGTGCAGTGGCTCATGCCTGTAATCCCAGCACTTTGGGAGGCAGAGGCAGGCGGATCATGAGGTCAAGAGATCGAGACCATCCTGGCCAACATAGTGAAACCCCGTCTCTACTAAAAATACAAAACTTAGCCGGATGTGGTGGCGTGCACTTGTAGTCCCAGCTACTCGGGAGGCTGAGGCAAGAGAATCGCTCGAACCCGGGAGACAGAGGTTGCAGTGAGCCGAGATTGAGCCACTGCACTCCAGCCTGGTGACAGAGCGAGACTCTGTCTCAAAAAAAAAAAATAGATTAGGGGTTACCTAGGGCTTGGAGTTATTTGGGGGAAATGGAGACTCACTGCTAATAGGTACAGAGGTTTTTGGTGGATAATAAAAATGTTCCATAATTAGTGGTAATGGTTTACAACTCTGAAGTTTCTAAATATTTTACATTTTTAAATTTAATTTTTTTTTGTTTTTGAGATGGAGTCTTGCTCTGTCACCCAGGCTGGAGTTCAGTGGCGTGATCTTGGCTCACTGCAACCCCCACCTCCTGGGTTCAAGCAGATTCTCCTGCCTCAGCCTCTCAAGTAGCTGGGACTACAGGCATGCACCACCATGCCTGGCTAAGTTTTGTATTTTTAGCAGAGACCGGGTTTCACCATGTTAGTCATGCTGGTCTTGAATTCCTGACCTCAAGTGATCCGACCGCCTCGGCCTCCCAAAGTGCTAGGATTACAGGCATGAGCCACCACACCCAGCCTTATTTATTTATTTATTTAGAGACAGTCTCACTCTCTCTCCCAGGCTGGAGTGCAGTGGTGTGATCTTGGCTCACTGCAACCTCTGCCTGCCGAGTTCAAGTGATTCTGCTGCCTCAGCCTCCCATGTGGCTGGGATTACAGGCGCCCGCCACCATGACGAGCTAATTTTTGTATTTTTAGTAGTGACGGGGTTTCACCATATTGGCCAGGCTGGTCTCAAACTCCTGACCTCAAGTGATCCACCTGCCTTGGCCTCCCTGAGTGCTGAGATTACAGGCGTGAGCCACCGAGTCTGGCCTAAAAAATGTACACTTTAAATGGGTGAATTTTATGGAATGTGAATTATACGTGTTGGCTTGTAAAAAAAAATGATGGAGATGGAGACGTGACTCTAGCGTGAAGGGGGTGGGGAGAGTAGATCTAGAGTGGAGACACCACTTTTAGGAGGTATGATCATGAAAGGGAGGGAAGAGAGAGAGAGAGAGGGAGGGGAAGCACGGTACGGAGTGAGGAGCAGAAGCAGGTTGGCTTGTTTGCTTGTTCTTGTTTTTGCGTTTGTTTCTGAGAAAGGATCTTGCTGTCACTCAGGCTGGAGTACAGTGGCACAATCACAGGTTACTGCAGCCTCAGCCTCCTGGGCTGAGGAGATCCTCCCACCTCAGCCTCCTGAGTAGCTGGGACTACAGGCACGAACCATCATGCCTGGCTAATTTTGTTACTTTTTTGTAGAGATGGGGTCTTACTATGTTTCCTAGGCTGGTCTTGAACTCCTGGGCTCAAATGGTCCTCCTGTCTTGGCCTCCCAAAGTGCTGGGGTTACTGGCCTGTTTTTGTTTCAAGATAGCCGAGACTTTAGAAGTTGTGATCAGTGAGGACATTACCTGTACGTTACCAGACCAGGCCTCTTCCTTGAGCTCCAGGCCCAGAGATCCAATTGCCTCTTTGAGATACCACCTGGATGGCCCATTGGCACCTCTAACTCCACATGTTTAAACCTAAGCTCATCATCTTCATCTTTTCCCAAATGTTTTCTTCACCCAGCCTGGCTCTTCCTTTTCTCACCCTTCATAGTCAGTTCCCAAATCCTGCCAATTGTGTTTCCTAAAATATCATGCATCTACCCCTCTCATTCATGCTGTCAGTGTAGGTGAATCCCTCATCTGTAAATTCTCCCATGCTTTCTTTCTTTTTCTTTCTTTCTTTCTTTTTTTTTTTTTTTTTTTTTTTGAGACGGAGTCTTGCTCTGTCATCCAGGCTGGAGCACAGTGACACGATACTGGCTCACTGCAGCCTCTGCCTCCTGGGTTCCGGCGATTCTCCTGCCTCAGCCTCCTGGGTAGCTGGGATTACAGGCACCTGCCACCATGCCTGGCTAATTTTTGTATTTTTAGTAGAGACAGGGTTTCACCATGTTGGCTAGGCTGGTCTGAAACTACTGAGCTCGGGTGATCCGCCCGCCTCAGCCTCCCAAAGTGCTGGAATTACAGGCGTGAGCCATTGCACCCCGCCAGGCTCCCATGCTTTCTTATTTATTTATTATTTTTTTTCATTAGTTCTTCTTCTTCTTCTTCTTTTTTCCCCCTGTCTTATGCTTTCTTAGGGATAGACTAGAACTTGCATTTTCAGGCTTTTACCCTCCGTGGGAATTTCTGGCTTAAATGCATGCCCTGGTGACATCTGTTATGGTGCCATCTTACCAGGATGTCACAACTGGAGATGTACTGTAGCTCAGGTCCTTACTGTCTTTTGTCTGGATGAATATAAGAGCTTCCCAAATGATTTCCCTGTTTTCCCCTTTCCCTAGTCTATTCCCAGAACTAGTATAGCTACTGACAGTTGGTGCTCAAGAAATATTTATTGAATAAGTGATTAAATGAGTGAATAAATAGGGACAGATCAGGGGAAAGTTCAGCAGTTGTAGACCATGCAGGGCATTATAGGCCATCTTAAGAATTTTGAACTTTCCTATGATCAATGGAAAGCATTTATTTAAGAATTTTCATATGGGGGGATGTGAGGAGTGGTGGATAGTGATGTGATCAGTTATGTATTGTAGTTAAATTCCTCTGGTAGCTGTGAGGGGAACTGATTAGAAGACATGGGGAGGGGCAAAAGTGGAAGCAGGCTCTCAGGATAAGCCTACTGCTACAAAGAACAATCCTCATTCTAAGTGACTTAAAGCAATAAAAGATTTACTTCTCAGTGACGTTACAGTCCAATAGGAAATTTGGCAGGCAGCCTTTTACATTGTGATTTAGGGATCCCAGATTCTTCCATTTTGTTGTGCCACCATCTTCAACCCATGTCCTTCATGCCACTGTAGAATGGGTTTTAGGGCTAGCCCCAGAAATGTCATTATATCACTCTTGCCCACATCCCATGGTCCCCAGCTGAATTGCAAGAGCAGTTTGGAGATGTGGTCATTCTGTGTGCTTAGGGAGAGAATGAAATGGATTTGTGAACACATAGCATTGTTTCTGCCATTCAGGGAGATGGGATTGAGGTGTTTGTGGGAGTCTAGATGAGAGATGCTGGGGGCTCGTATAAGAATGGCAACGTTGAGGATATAGAAAAGTAGACGGATTCAAGAGATACTAGGCTTATTCATCCCACATAACTGCAACTTACCCACCCCTCACCCCTGGCTTCTGGTAGCCACCATTCTATTATTCTACGTATTTAAAAAAAAATACTCCACCTATAAGTGGGATCATGCAGTATTTGCCTTTCTGTTCCCGGCTTATTTCACTTAACATAATGCCCTTAACAATTTCATTCATATTGTTGCAAAGGACAGAATTTTCTTTTTTTAAAGACTGGATAATATTCCATTGTGTATAATTACCACATTTTTTTTTTGAGATGGAATCTCTCTCTCTGTCACCCAGGCTGGAGTGTAGTGACGTGATCTCGGCTCACTGCAACCTCCACCTCCCGGGTTCAAGCTATTCTCCTGCCTCAGTCTCCCAAGTAACTGGGATTACAAGTGTGCACAGCCATACCTGGCTAATTTTTGTATTTTTAGTAGAGACGGGGTTTCACCATGTTGGCCAGGCTGGTCTTGAACTCCTGACCTCAAGTGATCCGCCTGCCTTGGCCTCCCAAAGTGCTGGGATTACAGGCGTGAGCCACCGCACCAGCACATTTTCTTTATCCATTCATTGATCAAGGGACACTTAGGCTGATTCCATATCTTGGTTATTGTGAATACTGCTGCAATGAACATGAGAGTGCAGGCATCCCTACCAGGTACCGACTATTTCCTTTGGGTATATGCCTAGAAGTGGGATTGCTGGGTTATGTGATAGTTGTATTTTTAATTTTTTGAGGAAGAGCCATGCTGTTTTCCATCCATCATGGCTGTGCCAATTTACATTCCCATCAACAATGTACAAGAGTTCCCTTTCTCCACTCTTGCCAGTACTTCTTTTTTTTTTTTTTTTTTTTGGAAAATAGTGATCCAAAGAATTTCGAGGTGATATCTCATTGTGGTTGCAAAGGTTCCCTTTTCTCCACACTCTCACCAATACTTGTTATCTCTTGTCTTTTTGATAATAGCTATCCTAACAGGTGTGAGGTGATAGGTTGCATTGTGTAGGATGAATATGTCTAGAGAGCAGCTAATGTACAGTAAAGGACTATAGTTAATAATATTGTATTATTTACTGGAATTTTGTCAAGAGAGTAGATTTTAGGTGTTCTTACCAGGAAAAAAAGTTAACTATGTGAGATGATGGATACATTAATTGGCTTGAGTGTTTTAACTAAGTATATGTATATAAGTATATACATTTAACTAAGTATATGTGTATCAGAACATCATGTTGTGTACCTTAAATATATACAATAATTATACAATTTTTAAAAAGTTATTCACACTGAAAAAAAAAAGGGCAAGAGAGCATTTAGGAAATAAGGATTGCTGGAACTTGGTGGGGGATTGGATGTGGGGGATGAGGAAGAAGGAGAAGTTAAAAGTGAGTCCAGGCCGGGCATGGTGGCTAACGCCTGTAATCCCAGCACTTTGGGAGGCCGAGGTGGGTGGATCACCTGAGGTCGGGAGTTTGAGACCAGCCTGACCAACATAGAGAAACCCCCATCTCTAGTAAAAATACAAAATTAGCTGGGCGTGGTGGTGGGCACCTGTAATCCCAGCTACTCGGGAGGCTGAGGCAGGAGAATCGCTTGAACCTGGGAGGCGGAAGTTGTGGTGAGCCGAGATCGAGCCATTGCACTCCAGCCTGGGCAACAAGAGCAAAACTCCGTCACAAAAAAAAAAAAAAAAAAAAAAGGAGTCTAGTTTTCTCTCCTGGGGCACTGGAGGGATTGTGGAGTCTTTCAAAAAGATAAAGCCCTGGAAGGGCACTGTGGCTCACACCTGTAATCCCAGCACTTCGGAAGGCCGAAGGGGGAGGATTGCTTGAGCACAGGAGTTTGAGACCAGCCTGTAGCAAGACCCCATCTCTACAAAAAATACAAAAAACAAAACAAACAAAAATAGTTGGGCATGGTGGCATGCGCCTGTGGCCCCAACTACTTTGGAGGCTGGGGTGAGAGGATGACTTGAGCCCAGGAGATCAAGACTGCAGTGAGCTGTGATCCCACCACTGTGCTCGAGCCTGGGTGGCAGAGTGAGACCCTGTCTCAAACAAAACAAAACAAAACAAACGGAAAAAGAAAAAAGAGCCAAGAGGAGAAGCATTGAGGGGGGATCATCTCCAGGCTGTGCAGTGTTCAGAAAGAGTAGCAGGTCCAAGTTCACACTTCTCCGGAGGGAAAGGTTTGTAACTTGGAATCACAGACCATTTGTGCTGTCAGTCTAAGCAGATCTCCCTTTCCCTCTTAAGACTTGATTTGAATGTGCATTTTCAGGCTATTTCCCACAAGTTTCCCTCTAGGGAAATCTCCTGCTTCTACATCCTGGTGCGATCCGTCTGCTATGGTACAGTCTTATGAGGGTGTCAGAGCTAGAAATTTCCCTGGAGGGAAATTAAATCCTTTGGGCTAGAAGGGGGATTTCCCCTTCCACACTCACACTTTTGTTTCTAAACTGGGAGCATTTGTGGAAAACCTCAAAAAACCTTTCTGTTTTTGGTCTCAGGCCCCAGTTGGTTTTGTCAATCCACGTAGGAAATATGAGATGCACATTTTTCTAGGCTGTGTATTTTGTTCCAGGCCTGTGGTGGGTTTTTGTTTGAAAAGTCTTTTGGAAGCATGTCAGCGGCGATACTGTGGCAATGTTGAACACAAAATTTGACAGTTCCCATTGCAAGATGTGTAGAACATATGATGCTTTTGTCCTCTGTCCAAACCCTCACTAGTTTACATGAAAAAGGGCTGATATTTCAGTGATGAAACATTAGCAGAAGGCTGAAATATGTCACTTAAAAATACTGGGCTAGCCATGATTTTTTTTTTCTTTTTTTTTTTTTGAGACGGAGTCTCGCTCTGTTGCCCAGGTTGGAGTGCAGTGGTGGGATTTCGGCTCACTGCAAGCTCTGCCTCCCGGGTTAATGCCATTCTCCTGCCTCAGCCTCCCGAGTAGATGGGACTACAGGTGCCCGCCACCACACCCAGCTAATTTTTTGTTTTTTTTATTAGAGATGGGGTTTCACTGTGTTAGCCAGGATGGTTTCGATCTCCTGAACTTGTGATCTGCCTGCCTTAGCCTCCCAAAGTGCTGGGATTACAGGCGTGAGCCACTGCGCCCCGCCAGCCATTATTTTTTTTTTAATCCTCTTTTGCTGTAGCTGCTTTTAACTTCTATATCAAGAACTCTCTTCTGCATATATTTAATTTATTAAATAAAAGAAGCTGATTGAGGAGCATAATCCCCAAAGTTTCTACCTCAATTTAGACATTGAAGATCATCCTAAGACTAAGAGGCCTCATGGGATTGTAGAATAAACATCAAGTAGTGCAGTGCCTATAAAGCAGGAAGAGCAAGAATATGGATTCCCCTTCCTCATGCTGCTCGTACCCCAAACTCCCAACTCCAGGAATGAGAAGGTCTGGGTTTTAGAGAGGTTAAGTGACTTGTCTAAGGTTACACAGATAGCTGGGAGTAGAGCTAGGATTCAAACTGATACCCATTGACTCCAAAGCCTGTGAACTATGTCTATAGAGTACATACTATGTGCCAAGCCTCCCACTGGAAGCTGAGGATATGGAAATCGTGGCACTGTGTCATGATCCTGGCCTTCGAGTAATTCATAGACTGCTGCAGTGAAACAGACAATTAAAACGCAGTGTGATAATTGTGCTGATAGAAGTCAGCCAAGGCTGGGTGCGGTGGCTCACACCTGTAATCCCAGCAGTTTGGGAGGCTGAGGTGGGCGGATCATGAGGTCAGGAGTTCAAGGCTAGCCTGGCCAACATGGTGAAACCCCGTCTCTATGAAAAATACAAAAATCAGCCAGGCATGGTGGCAGGCACCTGTAATCCCAGCTACTCAGGAGACTGAGGCAGGAGAATCACTTGAACCTGGGAGGCAGAGGTTGCAGTGAGCCGAGATTATGTCATTGCACTCCAGCCTGGTCAACAAGAGCGAAACTCCATCTCAAAAAAAAAAGTCAGCCAAGGCTCCTAGATAGTAACTAGATAGTAAGGAAGTGGAACAATTTATGCAGTGCCCCATTAGGGAAGTCTTCCTGGAGGAGGAGATGCCTGAGCTATTTGTTAAAGGTAGAAGGGTTAGCCAAATGAAGAACAATGGGAAGAGCACATGCAAAGACACAGGAGAAACACAGTGTGTACTGGGAAAGTCCAAGTAGTTTCCTTTCTTGGGAACTGTATTAGTTATTTATTGCTGCGTGACAAATTACCCCACATTTTAGTGACTTAAAATAATATTTATTATCTTACAGCTGTGTGTGTGTCAGGAATCCACTGCTTAGCTGGATCCTTTGGTTTGAGGTCTGTAATCAAGGTATTGGCCAGGGTTGCTGTCATCTCAAAGCTTGACTGGAGGAGGATTGCTTCCAAGTTCACTCACATGATTCTAGGCAGTGTTCAGTTTCTTTCTTTCCTTCTTTTTTCTTTCTTTCTTTTTTTCTTTCTTTCTCTTTCTTTCTTTCTCTCTCTCTCTCCTTCCTTCCTTCCATCTGTTTTGCTTGCTTTTTCTTTTTTTTTCTTTTTTTTGAGACAGAATCTTGCTCTGTCGCCCAGGCTGGAGTGCAGTGGCGCGATCTCAGCTCACTGCAAGCTCTGCCTCTCGGGTTCACGCCATTCTCCTGCCTCAGCCTCCCAAGTAGCTGGGACTACAGGTGCCCGCCACCACGCCAGGCTAATTTTTTTTTTTTTTTTGTATTTTTTTGTATTTTGTATTTTTAGTAGAGACGGGGTTTCACTGTGTTAGCCAGGAGAGTCTATCTCCTGACCTCGTGATCTGCCTGCCTCAGCCTCCCAAAATGCAGGGATTGCAGGCGTGAGCCAGTGTGCCTGGCCTTCTTTCTTTCTTTTGTTTCTTTGTCTTTTTTCTTTCTTGCTTCCTTTCTTTTTTTTTTTTTTTGAGACAGAATCTCACTCTGTCACCCAGGCTGGAGTGCAATGGCATGATCTCGGCTCACTGCAACCTCTACCTCCCCAGTTCAAGCGATTCTCCTGCCTCAGCCTCCGAGTATCTGGGATTACAGGCGTGCACAACCTCGCCCAGCTAATCTTTGTATTTTTAGTAGAGACGGGGGTTTCACCATGTTGTTCAGGCTGGTCTCGACCGCCTGATCTCAGGTGATCTGCCAGCCTTGGCCTCCCACAGTGCTGGGATAACAGGTGTGAGCCACCACACCCAGTCTCTCTCTCTCACTTTTTTTTTTTTTTTTTTGCAACAGGGTCTTTCTCTGTTGTCCAGCTTGGAGTGCAGTGGTGCAATCACGGCTCGCTGCAGCCTCAACCTCCTGGGCTCAAGGGATCCTCCTGCCTCAGCCTCCCGAGGAGCTGGGACCCCAGGCCCAGGTCACTACAACTGGCTAATTTATTTTTTATTTTTGTAGAGACAAGGTCTTGCCATGTTGCCCAGGCTGGTCTTGAACTCCTGGGCTCAAATAATCCACTTACTTTGGCCTCCTCAAATGCTGGAATTATAGGGGTGAGCCACCATGCCTGGCCCAGTTTCTTTTTATTTTCTTCTTCTTTATTGTTATTTTTTTCATTGTTGATTATTTTATTTTTCATTTTAGATTCAGGGAGTAGATGTACAGATGCAGTGTTCAGTTTCTTGCTGTTGATTGGATGCTGTCCTCAGTTCCTTGTCACTTGGGTCCCTCTGTAGGGCATCTCACAACATGGCAGTTTGATTCATCCAGAAGGATCAAGTGAGAAGATCCAGAGAGTGTGTGTGAGCAAGATGGAAGTCACAGTCTCTTTGGAACCTAATCTCAGAAGTGAAATCTGAGCACCTTTGCCGTATTCTATTCATTAGAAGCAAGTTACTAGGTCCAGTCCTCACTCAAGGAGAGAATACTACATAAAGGCATAAACATCAGAAGGTGGGGATCATTGGAAGCCATGTCAAAAGCTGCCACCTGGCCTGCAATGATTCACATTCCTTCCACAAGCAAAATACATTCACTTATCCAAAGATCTCTAAAACTCTCATCCCATTACAGCATTGGCTTCAAGTCCAGAATCTCATTATCTAAACCAGGTCCAGGTGTGGATGAAGCGCCTTGGCTATAGTTCCTTAATTACAACACTTGGAGTGCAGTCCTTCTCCATCTACAGACAATTTATTTCTGCCTATTTCCCAATATACAATGGTCGTATAGGGTGGGATAACCACTATAGACATTCCTGTTCAAAAAGCAGGGAAAACGGGAGGCACGAAAGAGTCATTGATCCATAGCAATTCTGAAATTCAGCCAGGTAAATAATGGGAGTTCCTTGCTTATGTTTCAAGGCCTAGAAATAATTCTCCATGCTTTTATTCAGGTTGTATCGATTTGTTTTTGTTTTTGTTTTTCAGACGAAGTCTTGCTGTGTCGCCCAGGCTGGAGTGCAGTGATGTGATCTCGAGTCACTGCAACCTCTGCCCCCTGGGTTTAAGTGATTCTCCTGTCTCAGCCTCCCAGGTAGCTGGGACTACAGGCACGCACCACTGCACCTGGCTAATTTTTGTATTTTTAGTAGAGAGGGGGTTTTACCATGTTGGCCATGCTGGTCTCAAATTCCTGACCTCGTGATCCACCAGCCTCGGCCTCCCAAAGTGCTGGGATTACAGACGTGAGCCACTGTGCCCAGTGATTGTATCAAATTTTAAAACCACATATTAAACATTCTTCAGGGAACATCCTTGTTCATATATCTTTGTGCGCTTGTAAGTGCTTTTAGAAGGTAAATTTACAACAGCGAACACTTTTTTGAACACTAATTATATGCCACACCTGGTTGTAAGTGCTTTACATACATAACCTTATTTAATCCTCCCTACTTTATGTTTTATTGAGTCTCAAGCACACAGAATTGAATTACTTATAATTTTTGGTTGATGAAACACTCAACATTAGGCTATAAATGAACAACTTACGTATGTATGTATTTTTAGTAATGTAATTGGCACTCATGACCCTACCACACCAAATGGAAAGCTATGATCTTGACAATAACCTACATGACATTCCCCCACCAGTCTATCTTCCTGTTTGCCTCTACTCAAGGGAAGCATCATCCTAAATTCTTTATTATTCTCTTGCTTTCTTTTCATATAATATTATCAAATGTTTTGTGTACACATATTTGTATACTTTCCAAAGTACAACATTTTACAATTTTTGTTGCGTTAACTTTATTAAAAGGCACCATTCCATATACAATCTTTGAATTTTTTAAAAATTAATGTATTATTAATATTATTTTTGACTGGCAAGTCATAATTGTATACATTTATAGGATACAATGTTATATTTTGATATAGTTTACAATGTGGCATGATTAAATCAAGCCAGTTAATATACACATCATCTCCATCACTTCGCTTATTTATCTTTTTTATTTTTTATTTTATTTTATTATTATTATTTTTGAGATAGAGTCTCGCTCTGTCACCCAGGCTGGAGTGCAGTGTGTGATCTCGGCTCATTGCAACCTCGGCCTCCCGGGTTTAAGCGATTCTTCTGCCTCAGCCTCCCTAGGAGCTGGGACTATAGGTGTGTACCACTATGCTCAGCTAATTTTTGTATTTTTAGTAGAGACGGGGTTTCACCATATTGGCCAGGCTGGTCTTGAACTCCTGACCTTGTGATCCACCCCCCCCCCCCTCAGACTCCCAAAGTGCTGGGATTACAGGCGTGAGCCACTGCGCCCGGCCTATCTTTTATTTTTTAAGAGACAGGGTCTGGCTGGGTGCAGTGGTCCACTCCTGTAATCCCATACTTTGGGAGGCCAAGGCGGGTGGATTGCTTGAGACCAGGAGGTCGAGACCAGCCTAGCCAACATGGGGAAACTCTGTTTCTACTAAAAATATAAAAATTAGGCAGGCATGGTGGCACGCACCTGTAATCCCAGCTTCTTGGCAGGCTGAGGCATGAGAATTGCTTGAACCCAGGAGGCGTAGGTTGCAATGAGCCAAGATCATGCCACTGCATTCCAGCCTGGGTGTCAGAGTGAGGCTCTGTCTCCAGGCTGGGGTGCAGTGTTGCAATCATAGCTCACTGCAGCCTCAAACTCCTGGTTTCAAGCCATCCTCCCACCTTGGACTCCCAAAGTACTGGGATTACAGGCGTGAGCTACTACACCTAGCCACCTATTATTTTTTATGATGAGACATTTGAAATTTACTATCTTAGTTATTTTTAAGTGTAAAATGCTCTATTATTGACTATAGTCACCCTGTGATGCAATAGATCTCAAAATCCATTTCCCCTGTCTGTCTGAAACTTTGTACCCTTTGATTACCTCCATTCCCTCCCTCCCTTCCCATTCCTCCCACCACTGGCAACAACCCTTCTACTCTCTGCCTCTATGAGATCAACTTTATTAGACTTCACATATAATTGATATCATGTGGTATTTGTCTTTTTTGTAACTCCCTTATTTCATTTAGCATAATGTCCTCCAGATTCATCCATGTTGTTGCAAATGACAGGATTTCCCCTGTTTTTTAAGACTGAATAATAATATTCCAACGTGTGTGTGTGTGTCTGTATATATATATGCAACCTTTTAAAGTTTATTTTTTCACATAAAATTACATCACAAAGATTTATTCATGTTGTAGGAATTGATTTAGTTCATTCATTTTGACTGCTGTATAATATTCCATTGTGCATATATACCATAGATTATTTATTTTCTGATGAGCATTTGAGTTGCCTAAAGCTGAAGGGTGCTGAAGTTGGGGAGAAAATGGAAAGTGACAACTAATGGGTACAGGTTTTTCTTGGGGAGGTGACTAAAATGTTCTAAAATCAGATAGTGGTGATAGTTGCACAACTCTGTATACCAAAAACCATCAAATTATGCACTTAAAATGGGTGAATTTTATAGTATGTGTATTATATCTCAATAAAACTGTTATAAACTCTTTGGCAATGAATTTTAAAATATAGAAGCTGAAGTATGATTTCTTAGTAAAATATAAAATACTTATATGGACCCAAGAAAAACTAGAAAACTTGAGGACAGAAATAATTATTAGCAGATTAGAAAGGAAATTAAAGGTCTACCATTAAAAAAACCAGGGTGGCCAATAAGCACATGAAAATCTGCTCATTAGCTGATAGGAAAATGTATTTTAAAACTCCAATAGGTATCACTAGAGACTCACCAGAATGGCTAAAATAAAAAAGACAGACAACACCAAATGTTGGTGAGGATGTAGAGCAAGTGGGGCACTCTCTCTCATACAATGCTGGTGAGGGTATAAAATTGTAGATTCATTTTGAAAAACTGCTTGGTAGTGTTTATTAAAACTCAACATTTACATTTCCTATAATGTAGCAATTGCATTCCTAGGTGTTTATGTCCAAGAGAAATTGGGTACACACTCACAAGACATGAACAAGACTGTCATAATGGGCACATTTATAATAGCCCAAAACTACAAACAATACAAATGCTAATCAATGATATAAAGTGTAAATAAATTGTGGTATATTCATACAGTGGAAAACAGTGCAACAGTGAAAGATTATGTGATACAGGTATATGCAATAACATGGGTGAATCTTGCAGACACAATGTTGAATTAAAAAAGCTAGACACAAAGAGTACATGGCTGGGCGTGGTGGCTCAGACCTGTAATCCCAGCACTTTGGGAGGCTGAGGAGGATGGACTGCTTGAGGCCAGGAGTTTGAGACCAGCTTGAGGATGTGGTGAAACCCCATCTCTAAAAAAGTACAAAATATTAGCCAGGTGTGGTGGAATGGGCCTGTAGTCTAAGCTACTCAGGAGGCTGAGGTGGGAGGATCAACTGAGCCTGGGAGGTCAAGGCTGTAGTGGGCCATGACCGTTCCAGTGCACTGCAGCCTGGACAACAAAGTGAGAAACTGTCTCAAAAAATAAAAAAGAGTACATACTGGCCCATGTATGGTGGCTCATGCCTGTAATTCCAGCAGTTTTGGAGGCGAAGGTGGGAGGATCACTTCAGCTGAGGAGTTTGAGACCAGCCTGGGCAACATAGCGTGACCTTGTCTCTACAAAAAAGAAAAAAAAACTTGCTGAACATTGTGGCATGCACCTGTTGTCCCAGCTACTTGGGAGGCTGAGGCAGGAGGATCATTTGAGCCTGGGAGGTTGAGGCTGCAATGAACCATGAACACACAACTGCACTCCAGCCTAGGAGACAGAGTGAGACCCATCTCAAAAAATTCAATAAAAGTTAAAAAAAGAGTACGTATGATTCCATTTATACGAAGCTCAAAACAGACAAAAAATATTGATAGCAATAGTGGCTATTCCTGGGAGTGGTGTCCTGACTGGGAAAAGGAATGAGGAAATCTTTTGGAGTGCTTGAACCATTTTTTGTCTTTATCTGAACAGAGGCTACATGGGCGTATGCATATATAAAATGCACCTAGGTGTACAGTTAAGATTAGTAAACTTTATGCACCTTGCTTGATATGGTTTGGCTCTGTGTCCCCACCCAAATCTCATCTCAAATTGTAATCCCCACCTATCAAGGGAGGGACCTGGTGGGAGATGATTGGATCATGGAGGCGGTTCCTCCCGTGCTGTTCTCATGATAGTGAGTCAGTTCTAGCGTGATCTGATGGTTTAAAAGTGTGGCACTTCCCCCGCCCTCCTGCTGTCTCCTGCCACCGTGTAATAGGTGCCTTGCTTCCCCTTCTGCCATGATTGTAAGTTTTCTGAGGTCTCCTCAGCCATGCAGAACTGTGAGTCAATTAAACCTCCTTTCTTTATAAATTACCCAATCTCATATTTTATAGCACTGTGAGAATGGACTAATACATTGCTATATGTACATTATCCCTTAATAAAATGTTATGCATTTTATCGAAAAGGATGTACATGTTCTATACTTTAATTTCTGATAATGGTAGACTAGATAATTTGGACCAACCCTCCCGTTTTAAAAAAACTGGGGGAAAATCACCTTAAAAACATCAGTGAGCTAACTAGATAGCTACAAAAGTATAACAAACCAAGATCTGAGAGAAAAAGGGAATCCTGAAAGGTGAGCCTGGCAGTGGAAGTGCCTTTGCCCTGAGTGGTTTGGGGTTTGCTGACCCGAGAAGAAGCAGCTGAGGGGCTGATCTTCACTTGTGGCTGCCTCCAGGGGTTAGGACAAAGAGTCACAGTCCAGAGTCCACCAAGCGCATGCATGGATACTTGACATGTGACAAATGTGTCACTGTGCTCAGACAAATCTTTAACAGTGCTAGGACAATTAAAGAGTCATATAAAAAAATAAAATTAAAGCCCTGCCTGGCATCACACACAAAAACAAATTGCAGGTGGGTTATATATTAAGGCAAGACTAAAGGTAAAACAAGAACACATTTAGAAGGTAATATTGGGATAATATCTTCCTAAAATAAGGTAGGGAAAGACTTTGTAATCAAGACACACAAACAAGTACTAACCATGGAAGACTGGTAAATTACACTACATCAACATTAAGAACTTCTGTTCATGAAAAGACATCATTAAGAGAGTGATAGGCAACCTTGAGTGGGAGAAATTTTAACGTATAACTGCAAAGAGCTTGCATCCAGAATATATAAAGAATGCCTAAGAATTAATAAGAGAAAGACAACCCTGTAGAAAAATGGGCAAAAGGTTTGAACAATTACTTCACAAAAGAGGATACCTAATGGCCAATAAGCATATGAAAATGTGTCCAATCTCATTAGTAATGACAAATATGAAACTTAATCACAACGAGATACCATCAGCTACCCATCAGAAGGACCAAAATTAACAAGTTTGACATTTCTAAGCATTGATGAAGACAAGGAGCAAAGAGAGCTTGCAGGCTGCTCTTTGTAAATTCGTGGGAATTTACATTGGTATGACTACTTTGAAACACAGCCTAGCATTACTTAGCAAGTTAAGTGTGCACCTTACAGAGGGGTAGGCATGTGACGTCCAGGAGACATCTTCACAGCAGCACTGTTTGTTACAGGCCCAAACTGGAAAGAATCCAGATGTCTGTCGAAAAGAGAATAAATAAGTCATTTGTAGTGTGTTCATACAGTGGAAATGAATAACTTCAGCTACCCACACCAACATGGATGAATCTCACAAGCATCATGTTAAGTGAAAGAAGCTGATGATTCTGTTCATACAAAATTCATAAACAGGCAAAATTAAACTCTGTTGTTTAGAGATGTACACAGAGATGGCTCAACTATAAAGAAAGGCAAGTAATGGTTACTCTAAAAGTCACAGTAGTGTTCACTCCTGGTAGGGGATGAGGGAGATTATTACCATGGGAGGTGTTATGAGCTGTGTCATATCCCCCCCAAATTTATATGTTGAAGTCCTAATCCCCAGTACCTCAGAATATGAATGTATTTGGAGAGAGAGCCTTTAAAGAATTGATTAAATTAAAATGAGGTCATTAGGGTAGACCCTATTCCAATATGACTGGTGTCCTTATGAAAGAAAAGGAGATTAGGACACACACACTAAGAGAGAAGACCAAGAGAAGACACATGGAGAAGACACCATCTACAAACCAAGGAGAAAGGCCCCAGGAGGAACCAACCCTGCCCACGCCTTAATCTTGGACTTCAAGTCTCCAGAATTGGGAGATGATGCATTTTTGTTGTTGAAGCCCCCCAGCCTGTAATACTTTGTTATGGAAGTACGAGAAAACTAATACCATTTGGAAAAGCTTCTGGATGCTTCCAATTTTGTATTTCTTGAATAGGGTGGCATTTGCTTTAGCATAAATTGTTAAATTGTACATTTCAGCTTTATTCACTTTTCTGTACAAGTGTTATATTTCACAATAAAAAAGCAAACTAAAAAAGTATGGTTTGGTCTGGGCAGGGAAAAAAGATTTTACTTTCATTGAGTCCTTCACCAATCCTGTAAGAATGACTTGGCAAGGACTCTTTTGTCTTAGTAAACAGCTTTATTGAGATATAATTTGCATATCATTCGATTCAACCATTTAAACTTTACAACTGAATAGTTTTTGGTGTATGAAGAGTTGTGCAATCATCACTGTAGTCAATTTTGGAACATTTTCATCATCTCAAAAAGAAACCCTGGCCAGGCGCGGTGGCTCACGCCTGTAATCTCAGCACTTTGGGAGGCTGAGGCAGGTGGATCACTCAAGGTCAGGAGTTCAAGACTAGACTGGCTGACATGGTGAAACCCTGTCTCTACTAAAAATACCAAAAAAATTAGCTGGGCATGATGGTGCAGGCCTGTAATCCCAGCTACTCAGGAGGCTGAGGCAGGAGAATCACTTGAACTCGGGAGGCGGATGTTGCACTGAGCTGAGATTGTGCCACTGCACTCCAGCTTGGGTGACAGAGAGAGACTCCATCTCAAAAAAAAAAAAAAAAGAAAAAGAAACCCTGTATCTTTTAGCTGTCATTTAGCTGTCATTCACCTAAACCCCCATTTACCCCAGCTCCTGGCAACCAAAAATTGACTTATTTCTCTATCGATCTGCCTATTCTGGACATTTCATATAAATGGTATCATACAGTGTGTGGTCTTTTCTGTCTGGCTTCTTTCACATAGCATCGTGTTTTCAAGGTTCATCCATGTTATAGCATGTATCTGTACTTCATTCCTTTTTATGATTGTGGATTTACCATATCATGTTTCTGTTCATCAGTTGGTGGACATTTGGGCTATTTCCACTTTGGGGCTTGTCCATTTTCATGCTGCTATGAAGAAATACTCAAGACTCGGTAATTTATAAATAAAAGAGGTTTAATTGACTCATAGTTCTGCATGGCTGGGGAGGCCTCAGGAAACTTACAATCATGGTGGAAGGCACCTCTTCACAGGGCCGCAGGAGAGAGAATGAGTACAAGCAGGGGAAATGCCAGATGCTTATAAAAACTATCATATTTTGTGAGGCTCACTCACTATTACAAAAACATCATGGGGAAAACTGCCCCTATCATTCAATTACCTCCACCTGGTTCCACCCTTGACACACAAGGATTATTACAATTCAAAGCAAGATTTGAGTGGGGACACAGAGCCAAACCATATCATTCTGAGCCTGGCCCCTCCCAAATCTTATGTTCTCACATTTCAAAACACAATCATGCCCTTCCAACAGTCCCACAAAGTCTTAACTCGTTCCAGCATTAACCCAAAAGTCCAAGTCCAAAGTCTCATCTGAGACAAGGCAAGTCCCTTCCACGTGGGAGCCTGTAAAATCAAAAGCAAGTTAGTTACTTCCTAGATACAATGGGGTACACATGTTAGGTAGATACACTCACTCCAAGTGGGAGAAATTGGCCAAAACAGAGGGGCTACTGGCTCCATGCAAGTCTGAAATCCAATAGGGCAGTCAAGTTCCAAAATGGTCTCCTTTGACTCTATGTCTCATATCCAGGTCATGCTGAGGCAAGAGGAGGGCTCTCACCCCCTTGGGCAGCTCCACCCCTGTGGCTTTGCAGGGTACAGTGCCCCTCTCCCAGCTGCATTCACGTCTGACATTGAGTGTCTGTGGCTTTTCTAGGCACACAGTGCAAGTTGTTGGTGGATCTACCATTCTGGGGTCTAAAGGATGGTGGCCCTCTTTTCACAGCTTCACTACGCAGTGCCCCAGTGGGGACTCTGTGTGGGTGCGCCAACCCCACATTTCCCTTCCACACTGCCCAAGCAGAGGTTCTCCATGAGGGCTCTGCCCCTGCAGCAGACTTCTGCCTGGACATCCAGGCATTTCCATATGTGCTGTGAAATCTAGGCAGAGGTTCCCAAACCTCAATTCTTTTCTCCTGCACACCTGCAGGACCAACACCACATGGAAACTTCCAAGGCTTTGGACTTGCACCCTCTGAAGCAACGGCCTGAGCTGTACCTTGACCCCTTTTAGCCAAGGCTGGAGCAGCTGGGGTGCAGGGCACCAAGTCTCAAGGCTGTAAACAGCAGGGGGCCCCTGGGCCCAGCCCAGGAAATCATTTTTCCATCCTAGGCCTCCAGGCCTGTGATGGTAGGGGCTGCTGCGAAGGTCTCTGACATGCCCTGGAGACATTTTCCCCACTGTCTTGGCGATTAGCATGTGGCTCCTTGTTACTTATGCAAATTTCTGCAGCCAGCATGAATTTCTCTCCAGAAAATGGGTTTTCCTTTTCTACTGTGTTGTCAGGCTGCAACTTTTTCAAACTTTTATGCTCTATCACCTCTTGAATGCTTTGCTTCTTAGAAATTTCTTCTGCTAAATAACCTAAATCATCTCTCTCAAGTTCAAAGTTTCACAGAACTCTAGGGTAGGGGCAAAAAGCTGCCAGTCTCTTTGCAAAAGCATAGTAAGAGTGACCTTTACTCCAGTTCTCAATAAGTTTCTCATCTCCATCCAAGACACCTCAGCTTGGACTTAATTGTCCTTATCACTATCAGCATTTTGGTCAAAGCCATTCAACAAGTCCCTAGGAAGTTCCAAACTTTCCCACATTTTCTTGCCTTCTGAGCCCTCTAAACTGTTCCAATCTCTGCCTGTTATCCAGTTCCAAAGTCACTTCCACATTTTTGGGTATTTTTATAGCAGCACTCCACTTCTGGTACCAATTTACTGTATTAGTCCATTCTCATGCTGCTATGAAGAAATACCCGAGGCTGGGTAATTTATAAAGAAAAGAGGTTTAATTGGCTCACAGTTCTGCATGGCTGGGGGGCCTCAGGAAACTTACAATAGGGCCATATGAGAGACAATGAGTGCAAGCAGGGGAAATGCCAGATGCTTATAAAACTACCAGATCTCATGAGACTCACTGTCATGAGAACAGCATGGGGGAAACCACTCCCATCATTCACTTAACCTCCACCTGGTCCCACCCTTGATACGTGGGGATTATTACAATTCAAAGTGAGATTTGGTTGGGGACACACAGCCAAACCATATCAGGGCTATTATGAATAGTGCTGCTATGAGCATTCGTGTACAAGTTTTTGTGTAGACAAATGTTTTCAATTGTCTTGGATATATACCCAAGGTTACAATTGCTGGGTCATATGGTAATTCTGTGTTTAACTTATTGAAGAACCACCAAACTGTTTTCCACAAAGGCTGTGTAATTTTATATTCCCATCAGCAATGCATGATGGTTACAATTTCTCCACATTCTTGCCAACACTTGTTATTTTTTAAATCCTACTGGGTGTTAGGTGATATCTCACTGTGGCTTTAATTTGCATGTTCCTAATGACTAATGATGTTGAGGTTTTTTTTTTTTTTTTTTTTGAGACAGGGTCTCACTCTGTTGCCCAGACTGGAGTGCACTGCAGCCTCAACATCCTGGGCTCAAGTGATCATCCTGCCGCAGCCTCTTGAGTAGCTGGGACTACAGGTACATGTCACCATTTAGGAAGCTGAGGCAGGAGAATAACTTTTTACAATTTTTTAAACAAAAAATTTAAAAAAAGTGATCCTTCTAATTCTGTGTGTGTGTGTGTGTGTGTGTGTGTGTAGATAGGGTCTCTATTGCCTAGGCTGGTCTCAAACTCCTGGGCTCAAGTGATCCTCCTGCCTTAGCCTCCCAAAGTGCTGGGCTCATAGGCTTAAGCCACTATACCTGGCCCCCTGAGCATCTTTTTATGCACTTGTTGGCTAGGACTGTTGACTCCATTTTACTGGTAAGGAAATCAAGGCTCAGAGAAGATAAGTGACTTGTTCCACATTACACAGTCCAACACTCCTTTTTCCTTCTAATACACCTCGGCTACCTCCCTGGAAGGCAGGAGCCTCTCAGCAGATAAGCATGAAACTCAGCCCTAGTTCTTGATTCCAGCCACCAGGCCCCTTGGGAACCCGCTTTGTCCCTACCCTGGGCCTATTGGTTTGTCTGGGTCAGTTTCTTTGCTGCTACCAAACCCCTGAAATCTTACTGGGTCCTCTGGCATCGCCTCACAGTGTTTGTCCTCTGTTTGTTCCATCTGAGGCCTTCTTGATACCCATGACTTTTCTACAGAGGCGATCTTGGCTTTACCCAAATCTGATACTCAGATACCCAGGTTAGCAAACAGATAGAGAATCCCAGAATGTCAGGACTGACAGGGTCCTGTGAGAGTATCCAGTCCAAACCTTTAACATTCAGAGGTGAAAACTGAGGTTCAGAGAAGGCCAGGAACTTCCTGAAGTCTCACAGAATGTTAGTGGTGGAGTTGGGGGCAGGGCAGAGCTCATCCTGCTGTCTACACAATGGAGAAAACAGAAGAACATTCTTCCCTTTACACTCTTCTCATGCAAGGAAGCATGTGGCAAAGGCTGTCTTCAAGAGGAAGGGCAAATGTTTGCTGGCTGCTGCTCAGGCAAGAAGGAGGCCAGAGCCACGCTCCCATACACACTGGTGGGGTGTTGATGGGCAAACAGGCTGCAGCCGCTGAAAAAAGCTGGATTTGACACCCCCCCCCAGCTACCGCCCCACTCCCACGTTGTAGGTGTCCTGATTGAGGAGTGCAAGGTCTTCTGCCCTGGTGACAGGTTAACCACAGTCACTTGAGAAAGGTAAAGATAAATGGATCTCTCCTCCAAACGCTTTGACCTCTGCAAGCCAGCTGCAAAGCATGCTTAGACTCAATGGAGTTGCTAGGGGGAGGGAAGAAATGATAGGTCTTTTCTTTTTCAGTTTTACAAGCTTTGACCTTCAGCCAGTCCACTTGTTTCCTCGAAGTCAATCTCTCACTATGGCCAGCAGGAGGGGAAAGCCAGTATCTGCTGGCCCCCTCCCAGTGATGTTGTTCATATTCTACTTAGAGGACTGGGCCTGTTGGGGCTAAAAGCTGCAAGTCCTTGTCCCAAAAGGTCACCCCTGCTTCTAGAATGTCATTGGTGCAAGAAGGTCTAGGGAAACCACCTGTTTCAGTCCCAGTGGTGTAGTGGTGTTGAGAAAGCACTCTGGGCTAGGAGACGGAAGCCTGGGTTCTGCCCTCAATTTCTCCGCAAACTCACTCCATCACTATGGGCGTCTTCCTTTCTTTTCTTTCTTTCTCTCTTTCTTTCTTTCTCTCTTTCTTTCTTTCTTTCTTTCTTTCTTTTTCTTTCTTTCTTTCTTCCTTCCTTTCTTTCTTTTCTCTCTATTTCTTTCTTTCTTTTGTTTTCTTTCTCTTTTCTTTCTTTTTTTTTTTTTTTTAACAAAGTCTCGCTCTGTTGCCCATGTTAGAGTGCAGTGGCGTGATCTCAGCTCACTGCAACCTCTACCTCCCGGGTTTAAGCGATTCTCGGCACATATTTTTCTAAGCCTCAGTTTCCACATTTATAAAATGGAGTTAAGAATAACAGTCTTCATACCTTTTTCATGGGAGCCTTGTGAAGATAATATCAGATCGTGCATCTCACTGTACTTTTAAAGTTCTTTTTTTTTTTCCTTTTTTCTTTTCATCAGCCTACATGGAAAAAGTAGTTTTAAAGTTCTGAATGGGCAGATAACCAGGTAATATCCTGATATAAAAAGAACCATTAATAGCAATAGGAGACGGGCGCGGTGGCTCATGCCTGTAATCCCAGCACTTTGGGAGGCCAAGGCAGATGGATCACCTGAGGTCGGCAGTTCAAGACCAGCCTGACCAATATGGAGAAACCCTGTCTCTACTAAAAATACAAAATTAGCTGGGCACGGTGGCGTGTGCCTGTAATCCCAGCTACTTGGGAGGCTGAGGCAGGAGAATTGCTTGAACCTGGGAGGCGGAGGTTGCGGTGAGCCGAGATTGTGCCATTGCACCCCAGCCTGGGCAACAAGAGCGAAACTCCGTCTCAAAAACAAACAAACAAACGCAAAAGGAAAAAGATCAAGTGCAGAAATAAAATTGGGAAAAACTTATATTAAAGAAAGTTAACAAAAATAAGGAATACAGATGATTATTAAATAAATGAAAAAAACCTAATATTCAAAGAAATACAAATTAAAACAAAAAGATATTTTCACTTATCAAGGCAGCAAAAGTTAAGAAGAATGATGATACTCAATGTTGAGAAGGAAGCGCAACATTAAATTATGATAGTGTGTTTGGGGGGCAGTTTAACAACTTGTATAAAATTTTCAAAAAGTGTATATACGGCTGGGCATGGTGGCTCATGCCTGTAATCCCAGCTCTTTGGGAGGCCAAGGCAGGTGGATCACCTGAGGTCAGGAATTGGAGACCAGCCTGGCCAACATGGTGAAACCCTGTCTCTACTAAAAATACAAAAATTAGCTGGGTGTGGTGGCACACGCCTGTAATCCCAGATGCTTGGGAGGCTTAGGTAGCAGAATCGCTTGAATCTGGGAGGTGGAGATTGCAGTGAGCCGAGATTGCACTATTGCACTCCAGCCTGGGTGACAGAGTGAGACTGTCTAAAAAAAAAAAAGAAAAGAAAAAAAAGAAAAAAGTGTATATATTTTACTCTTGGAGTGTACCTTAAGAAAACCACTCATATATGTGCAAAAATATAAGTGCATACCATCATATTTTTCTTTTAAAAAAATTTTAAAATTCAGATGGTAATTTTTATTAAAAGCAAACTTCCATAGTGCTTTCAAAAATATATCAATTCAGGCCAGGCACAGTGGCTCATGCCTGTAATCCCAGCATTTTGGGAGGCAGAGGCAGGTGGATCACCCGTGGTCAGGAGTTCGAGACCAGCCTGGCTAACATGGTGAAACCCCATAGCTGCTAAAAATACAAAAAATCAAGCTGGTGTAGTGGCGTGTGCCTATAATCCCAGCTACTTGGGAGCCT
The DNA here is from genome assembly GCF_000001405.40 of Homo sapiens. NCBI lineage: Eukaryota > Metazoa > Chordata > Mammalia > Primates > Hominidae > Homo > Homo sapiens. The sequence goes on from NC_000023.11 coordinate 151,018,331, forward strand.
GAGGCAGAAGGATCGTGTGGACCCGGATGGCAGAGGTTGCAGTGAGGCGATATCATGCCATTGCACTCCAGCCTGGGTGACAGAGTGAGACTCCGTCTCAAAATATATATATATACCAATTCAAAAATACATTTATATTAATGTTAAAAATTTTCTTTCTAATTTATCTTCTGACTACTTATTCAAGTAAAACATTTACAGGTTTTCCATTTTATATTTCCTTACTGTGGAGTGTAGAAATATACAAATTACATATTAAGTATATTTAAGTGGCAGAAATGGACACTTTTATAGAGAATAAATACATTTGCTCTATATCCTATATATGTAAAACCTATAATTGCAAAGTAAAAGTCTACACAGTTATAAGACTACACATCTTTAAACCTGTTACACCTACCTGCTTTTTATGTTGTTTTAATACTTTTTGTGTATATGGAATACTTCATAATACATTAAAAAAAAGAAAATCAGGCCAGGCACTGTGGCTCATACCTGTAATCCCAGTACTTTGGGAGGCTGAGGTGGGGGGATTGCTTGAGCTCAGGAGTTTGAGACCAGCCTGGGCAACATGGTGAAACCCTGTCTCTACCAAAAATACAAAAAACTAGCTGGGCATGGTGGCACACACCTGTAGTCCCAGCTACCCAGGAGGCCGATGTGGGAGGATGACCCGAGTCCAGGAGGTTGATGCTGCAGTAAGCTGTGGGCATGCCACTGCACTGCAGCCTGGGTGAAAAGTGAGCTCCTGTCTCAAAAACAAATAAATAAGAAAAAAGACAAAAAAAGAAGGCAAATGTATTATAAACTGGAAAAACTATTGAATAAGGATGATTATCATGGCCTTGCTTATAGCAGTAAATAATTCTAAAAATTGTATGTGCAGTAGATTGTTATAATGTCTCCAATAAATTATACCACCCCACGTTGGTCTTATTTTTGCAATGTAACACTGCTGCTCCTTCTTCTTTGACTCTGGATTGGCCTTGTGACTTGCTTTGGCCAATGGAATGTATCAGAAGTGATATTGTGTGACTTCCAAGATTAGGCCTTAAGAAACCTTGCAGTCTCAATTTTTACCCTCTTGGAATCTCCAGACGATTATGCTGTGAAGAGACCCAGTACTGGAAGATGAGAAGTGTTCAGTAAAGGATTAATTTATTAGGCTTGAGTTGCACAAAACCTACATACTCTAAAGAAAGGGCTGGCCTTTGGCTCTGGGGAAGACAACCTCTGAGACTTTGGAATAGCCTGCTTGATATAAATCCTCTGCCTGAGAGTGTTTATATATGCCTGACGCTTTGGGCTGTGCTGTATCAGTTTGACCTCTGGGGGGTTGGAGTCTGAGTAACCGAGGTCTGTAACATGGGCATTGCATGCCTATAAGACCAATCCCCAACAAAAACCCTGGACACTAAGGTTCAAGTGAGCTTTCCTGTTTGGTAATACTTTGCATGTGTTCTCACACATTGCTGCTGGGAGAATTAAGCATGTCTCCATGAGATTCCACTGTGAGGAGATGCCTGGAAGCTTGTGACTGGTGGTTTCTCTTGGACTTTGTCCCATGGGCCTTTTTCATTTGCTGATTTTGATCAGTATCCTTGCACTATGATAAACCCTAACCATGAATATAACAGCTTTTCTGGGTCCTGTGAGTCTTTCTAGTGAATCATCAAGCCTGAGGGTAATCTTGCAGACCGCTGACACAGAGGCATGTAGAGAACTGAGGAGCCCTAGCTCACAAGCCAGCACTGACTGGCAGACATGTGAATGAGAACATCTGGGGCCCTCGAGGCCCACTCAAGCTGTAGGATGTCAGCAGCTGTGGGATGTCAGCAGCTGTGTGAGTGAGCCCAGCAAAGCCCAGCAGGACAGCCAGTCAACCTGCAAAATCATGACACAGAATATATCATTATTCTTTTAAGGCATTGGGGTGTGAAGTGGTTTGTTAGCACAAATAGGTACCTGAAACAGTAAGTGATCAAAAACAGACAATTGGTTAAAGAAATTATTGGATATCTATACGTTGAAATACTAAGATGCCACCAAAAATGCTGATGTAGATTCTACACATATTAACAAGGAATTATGTTCATATATATTTCAAGTAACAAAATGTTATAAATAAATATTTATAAATAATCCCATTTTAGAAGATTTTAATATATAATGTATTTATATTTATATCTAAATGTGTGATTAGCATGAGCCATATTCAATCATTTTTGACTTCCCAAAACAGCTATTTCCTGTGATTTAACTAGTACATATTGATATACTGAAAATGTTAACTGTGGCTCTGTTTGGTTGGTGAGTAATAAGCACTTTTGTTGTTGATGTTCATCTGCATTCTCTAAATCTTGTACATCAAATATGTATTTCTTCTTGTTTTTTTTGAGACGGAGTCTCGCTCTGTTGCTCAGGCTGGAGTGCAGTGGTGCGATCTCGGCTCACTGCAACATCCGCCTTCCGGGTTCAAGCGATTCTCCTGCCTCAGCTTCCTGAGTAGCTGGGACTATAGGCACGCGCCACCACGCCCAGCTAATTTTTTTGTATTTTTAGTAGAGACGGGGTTCCACCACGTTGGCCAGGATGGTCTTGATCTCCTGACCTCGTGATCCACCTGCCTCGGCCTCCCAAAGTGCTGGGATTACAGATGTGAGCTAGTGCGCCTGGCCAAATATGTATTTCTTCTTGTAGTATTAAGAAAAAAAGAAGGCCAGGTGAGGTGGCCCATACCTGTAATCCCAGCACTGTGGGAGGCCGAGGCAGGAGGATCACTTGAACCCAGAAGTTCAAGACCAGCCTATGTCCTCACAGCAAGACCTGTCTCTACAATTTTTTTTTTTTTTTGAGATGGAGTTTTGCTCTTGTTGCCCAGGCTGGAGTGCAATGGTGTGATCTTGGCTCACCGCAACCTTAGCCTCCCAGGTTCAAGTGATTCTGCTGCCTCAGCCACCCAAGAAGCTGGGATTATAGGCATGTGCCACCATGCCCGGCTAATTGTTGTATTTTTAGTAGAGACGGGATTTCTCCATGTTGATCAGACTGGTCTAAAACTCCTGACCTCAGGTGATCCCCCGGCCTCAGCCTACAAAAGTGCTGGGATTACAGGCATAAGCCACTGTGCCCAGCCGGCTTTGCTTTTTATACACTGACTGCATTGTCGGCGTTGACAATATATATATTTTTAAATTAGCCAGGTGTGGCCGGGCTCAGTGGCTCATGCCTGTAATCCCAGCACTTTGGGAGGCTGAGGTGGGTGGATCACCTGAGGTCAAGAGTTCAAGACCAGCCTGACCAACGTGGTGAAACCCCGTCTCTACTAAAAATACAAAAATTAACTGGGCATGGTAGTGTGTGCCTGTAGTTCCAGCTACTCGGGAGGCTGAGGCAGGAGAATCGCTTGAACCCAGGAGGCAGAGGTTGCAGTGAGCCACGATAATACCACTGCACTCCAGCCTGGGCGACAAGAACGAAACTCTGTCTTAAAAAAAAAGATTAGCCAGATATGGTGGCATGTGCCTGTAGTCCCCGCTACTTGGGAGGCTGAGGAAAGGGGATCACTTGAGTTGAGGAGTCCGAGCCTGCAGTGAGCTGTGATCGCTTCTTTCTTGTTGTCTTTGTGCGGGTGTTTGTGGAAGAGATTAGAAGTTGAATTGGTGGACTGGGTAATGCAGATGCGGGTGAACATCATCCAATCTGTTGAGGGCCTGAATAGAACAAAAAGGCAGAAGGAGGAGGAATTTCCTCTCTGCCTGACTGCTTGAGCTGAGACATTGATTTTTTCCTGCCCTGGGACTGAGACTTACATCATTGGTGTTCCTGGTTCTCAGGCCTTTGGACTTGGATGGGAATTTATACCACTGGCTTTCTGGGTCTCCAGCAGGCATATGGCAGATGTTAGAACTTCTCTGCCTTCATAATCCTGTGAGTCAATTTTGTATAATAAATGTCATTATATATACATACACATATACATATATAAAATGAGATTTATTATAGAAATATAATCAATACTATATATATACATATATGTATATATTTATGTGTATGTATATGTACAGTCATGCACCACAGAATGATGTTTTGGTCAATGATAGATTGCACATGGAATAGTGGTCCCTTAAGATTATAATACTGTTTTTCTAACTATACCTTTTCTATGTTTAGATATGTTTAGGTACACAAATACTCACCACTATGTTATAGTTGCCTACAGTACTCAGTACAGAAACATGCTGTACAGGTCTGTAGCCTAGGAGCAATGGGCTATACCATACACCCTAGGCGTGTGGCAAGCTATATCATTTAGGTTTGTGTTAAGTGCACCCTAGGATGTTTTGCAACAACAAAATCACCTAATGATGCATTTCTCAGCACATATCTCTGTTGCTAAGTGATGCCTGACTGTATGTATGTATGTATATATATATACACACACATATAGATATGTATTTGTATGTATACATATTCTATTCCATTTCTACGGAGAACCCTGTCTAATATTCTTGGAATCACAAATCAGCCTCAACCTTTGCCCTCTCCCCGAGAATCTTCTTTCTTCCACTCAAGTATGCAGCTCATGGCAACCAGCTTTTTCTAAATGAAATACCTCCTTTAAAGGAATATAAATCTTTATTGACTGCATGCTATATTTCAGGAATGGGGCTTGGTGTTTTGATGTATATATGATATGGTATTTTATTGAATTATTCAAACAACCCTGTGAATGTGGTATTATTATCCCCATTTTATTGATGCCTGACGAGGCCTACCAAGGGAACATGAATGCCCAAAGTAACATACTAGGAAGTGGCAGAGCTGGGGTTTGAATCCTGGTCTGTCTGATGAAACCCCTATGGTATACAGCTGCTTTTATTCCATTGATTGACACCTGGCCTCATTTCACAATGGATTTGAGGCTGCTTACAATAAAACACAATTTAATAAAAGAGGAAAAGAGAATCAGGCCTAAAGAAAATAGAAACAGCAGTGGAAAATCAAGACCAGGTAAAGAACTGTATGAATATGAAGAACATCAGAGCTACAGTTAAGAGTAAGGATTGTTGTTGGCTCTGAATTTCCAGGCTGCCAAAGCAAAATGGGAAAGCCAATTAGTTTTACAATTTTCATTACCAGAAGCAAGTGATTTAGCAGAAGCTAACAATAAATTCTAAAAGCCATCTTTGAAAGCTGTTAATGATACTGTCAATTCTTTTTTTTTTTTTTTTGTCAAATGATCCTTTATTGAAATATTTTCCTTTGTGCTTAACTGGCTGGGCATTCCATGGCACCACTGTTGATGTCATCTATGATGTCATGAGGGTGGTGGCCATTAACATTACAGCCCACAAACTGGGCAGTCCCCAGGATCTCTTTAATGGTTCCAGAGAGTTCTTCTTAATACTTGGTATCTTCCATGTGCCACTAAACCTAGTTTTGGATCGGAAGTCAATATTGAGGAAAAAGTATATCTGTACCGATGTCTTCTGTATCTGTTTATCTGTCTATACGTGTATGTGTGTCTCTATATGTATCTCTATCTGGTCTGTGTCTCTGCTGGCATCTGTATCTGTAGCTATGTATTTATCTGGATCTGTATCTGTGTCTACATCTGCATTGGTGTCTCTATATGCATCTACATCTGTGTCTCTATCTGTATCTGTGTCTCTAGATGTTCTCTTTCTCCGTATGTGTGTGTTTTTCTGTCTCTACATGTATCTGGTTGGTGTCTCCATCTGCATCTGTATCTGTGTTTCTGCATGTATCTATATTTGTGTCTCTCTCTGTATCTGGTCTGTGTCTCTACCGGTATCTGTATCTGTACCTGCTTCTGTGTCTCTCTGTAGATTTCTGTCTGTGTCTCTACCTCTAGCTCTATCTGCACCTGTTTATATATTTGTATCTGTATCTGTCTCTACCTTGTAGTTACCTGCACCCATATGTGTATCTGTCTCTATCAGTAGTGTATCTGTGTCTCTGTTTCTCTGCCTATACCTGTATCTGTGTCTCTCTGTAGATATAGATCTGTGTCTCTGGCTGCATCTGTCTCTACCTTTATCTGTATCTGTGTCTCTTCCTGTATCTAAGTCTGTGTCTATGTCTCTACCTGTGTTTATATCTGTATCTGTTTCCATTTGTATCTGTGAGCCTATTTGTATCTATATCCGTGTCTGTATCTTTAACTATATATGATTATATACTTGTACCTGTATTTGTTTTTAATTTTTTTCTCTTTTTTTCTGCTACTACTTCTGAGGCAATTATACTTATATTTATGTCTCTACTGTATCTACATCTGTATCTGTGTCTTATTTGCATTTGGTGTCTGTCTATGTGTATCTATCTGATTATGAATCTCTGCCTTTACCTGTACCTGCATCTGTATCTGTATTTTTGTCTCCCCTTGAATAACTATCTGTATATGTATCTATACCTTTATCTGCATGTGTCTCTAATCTATCTGTATCTGTATCTTTATGCATCTGTCTGTGTCTCTTCCTTATGTTTGTTTGTACATATATCTGTGTCTTTACTTAATCCTGTATTTGTGCCTCTACTTGTATTTGTTTCTCTGTGTCTATCGGTATCTGTGTTTCTACCTGTGTCTATTCCTGTATCTGTGTCTATATCTCTGTTTGTACCTATATCTGTGTCTACACCTGTATCTGTGTCTGTATATGTATCTGTATCTGTGTCCTTACCTGTATTTGTATCTGTACACATATGTGTGTCTTTATCTGTATCTATGTCTCTACCTATACATGCGTCTGCATTTCTACTTGTATTTGTGTCTCTTTCTGTATGTATATGTCTCTCTTTCTCCATTTCTGTCTCTGCCTGTATCTGTGTTTCTATCTGTACCTGTATCTGCATCTTTACCTGTATCTGTGTCTCCACAGTTATCTGCGTCTGTATCTGTGTCTTGACTTGCATCTGTACCTCTACCTGTATCTCTTCTGTACCTGTGTCTATATCTGTGTCTGCACCTCTATCCATATTTCTTTCTGTACATATATTTGTGTCTCTATATCTGCATCCATGTTTTTACCTGTATCTGTCCTTGTATCTGTGTCTGTATCAGTTTATGTGTCTGTGTCTGTTGTATCTGTGTCCCTATCTACATCTGTATCTGTGTCTCTATTTGTATCTCTGTCTATACCTGTATCTGTATCTCTACCTTTATCTGTATTGTATCTGTGTCTTTCCATTTGTCTGTATCTGTTTCTGAATCTATGTTTCTGTCTCTATCTATGCCTGCATCTATGCCTCTCTCTATATTTGTATCTGTGCCTGTATGTGTATCAGCTTCTGTCTCTACCTGTATCTTTTCTGAACTGTGTCTATATAATTTCCTGTATTAGTGTTTCTACCTTTATCTGTATCTCTCTCTGTACCTTTATCTGTGTCTCTATATCAGAATCTGCATTGCTACCTTTATCTCTGTCTCTATCTCTTTCTGGATCTTTGTGTGTACACGTATGTTTATCTGTATCTGTCTACCTCTATCAATATCTCTTCCTGTAGGTGTATTTGTATTTGTGTCTCCAGTTATATCTGTATCTGTGTCTCTACCTATATCTATATCTGTGTTTCTCTTTGTGTCTGTGTCTCTAACTGTATCTGTATCTGTGTCTCTACTTGTATGTATATCTCTATATGTAAGTTCTGTACCCGAATCTGTATTTCTATCTGTATCTATATCAGTGTATCTAATTTTATCTGTTTCTGTGTTGTACCTGTCTCCATTTGTATCTGGACTGTGTCTCTCCCTGCATATGTATCTATGTCTCTGTTTCTATCTTTACCTCTGTCTCTATCTGTATCAGTATCTGTGCCTCTATTGTATTTATATCTGTGTCTGTGTCTCTATCTTTATCTCTATCTGGTCTGTGTCTTCACCTGTATCTGAATTGGTATTTGTGTCTCTACTTATACCCCTGTTTCTGTATCTGTGTCTTCATCTGTGTCTGCATGTGTATTTCTCCCATCCGAGTACTAGCCAGGTCCAACCCTGCTCAGCTTCTGAGATCAGAGAAGATCAGGTGCATTCAGGATGGTATGGTCATAGTGTAGACTGTCTGTATATTTCTACCTGTATCTCCACCTGTGCTTCTACCTCAGTCTCTACCTGTGTCTCTACCTGTATCTATGTCTCAATATGGATCTCTGTCTGTATCTGCATCTATGTCTCCATCTGTATCGAATCTGATCTATCCCTGTATGTATATTTGTCTCTATGTCTTCTTGTATCTATGTCTCTATCTGTGTCTCTACCTGTATCTGTGTCTGCATTAGTGTCTCTACCTGTATCTCTCTGCTCCTATGTCTGCGTCTCTGTATCTCTATCTTTGGCTCCACCTGTGTTTATGTCTGTGTCTGTGTCTATCTATATTCATGTTTTTACCAGTATCTGTATGTTTGTCTAACTGTATCTATAGCAGTACTTGTGTCTCTATCTGTATCTGTATCTCTACCTGCGTCTGTATCTATGCCTGTATCTGTGTCTTAATATGTATATCTTTCTGTACCTGTATCTGTGTCACCATCTGTATCTATATCTGATTTGTTCCTATATGTGTATTTGTATCTTTGTCTCTACCTGTATTTCTATTTTTATCTGTATCCATGTCTCTACCTGTACCTGTTTCTGCATTTGTGTCTCAACCTGTATCTCTCTCTTCCTGTATCTTTGTCTCTATCTGTATCTCTGTGGCTGTACTTATGTCTATATTCTATCTGTGTCTATCTGTATTTAGGCCTCTTCCTGTATCTGTATCTATGTCTCATCCTATATCTCTATCTGTGCCTGTATCCGTGTATATTTATATCTGTGTCTCTACCTGTTTCTACATCTGTGTTTCTATCTCTATCTGTGCCTCTCTGCCTGTGTCTATGTCTCTATCTGTATCTGTGTATTTGTCTCTACCTGTTTCTGTATCTGTGACTCTTCCTGTACCTCTGTCTGCACTTGTATCTCTACTATGGCTCTACATATATCTTTATCTGTGCACCTACACCTGTATCTGTATCTGTGTCTCTTATTATTTTTGTTTTCAACACGTATCTCTATCTCTATCTGTATTGCTGTCTCTACCTCTATCTCATTTGTATCTGTGTATCTACTTGTACCTCTTTCTGTGCCTATATCTGTGTTTCTATTTGTATCTGTGCCTCTCTCTGTATCTGTATCTGTTTCTCTATATTTATCTGTATATGCATCTCTACTTGTATCTGTCTGCATCCATTACTGTGACTAGACTTCTATCTCTGTTTGTGTATTTGTGTCTCTACTTAACGTCTCTCTCTGTATCTGCATCTTATCTTTATCTGTATACGCATCTGTATCTGTGTTTCTGCTTGCATCTCTATCTGTATCTACATTTCTGTGTGTCTTGTCTGTGTCTCTTCCTATATCTACACCTGTATCTGTGTCTTATCAGTACCTGTATCTGTGTGTCTCTACCTCTTTCTATACTTGTTTGGTAAAAAGACTAGGAGGATGTTCAGAAAAATATTAGTAGTGGCTATTTCTTTAGTCTTGCTCTGTAGCCAGGCTGGAGTGCAGTGGTGTGATCTTGGCTCACTGCAACTTCCATCTCCTGGGTTCCAGCGATTCTCCTGCCTCAGCCTCCCAAGTAGCTGAGACTATAGGCATGCACCACCACACCCAGCTAATTTTTGTATTCTTAGTAGAGATGAGGTTTCACCATGTTGGCCAGGATGGTCTCGACCTCTTGACCTTGTGATCCGCCCGCCTCAGCCTCCCAAAATGCTGGGATGACAGGCGTGAGCCACCGCGCCTGGCCGTAATAGTGGTTATTTCTGGATTCCAGGATTATGGATGATTTTTCATTTCATTCTTATACCTTCTATCTCACCAAGTTTTCTACATCAAAAAATTACTTAAATTTTTATTTTGTTACTATTTTGAAACACTTTTTTTGTTTAGTTAGTTTAAAGACAAAAAAGAGGTAGGCCTGCAGATTTGATAGACAGGCCAGCAAATACAGTTGGGAAGGAGTGGGATAGTCTTAAGCTTGTGTTCCTAGGAGCCCCCGAAGTTCAGTGTGAGGTGCTTTAGGCCTTCAAACTACCCTCACTCAATTCCAATGGGACAGGCTCTGAGTTCATCTTCTGCCACCATGTAACATTTTGTTTAGAGAAAGGGCTTTATGGCTAAAAAAAAAGTTTGGAAAGTGCTGCAGTAGGGAATGCCATCGGGGAAATGAGCTTAGACCAAATTTTGGGATCATGTCCCAGATGTCAGTGAATATAATCGGACTGGCAGCATTTAGTGCTCACCACTCCACACAGGCTGGTTGCAAAAAGTCTTTACTCAAGTCTCTATTTACTTAAGATTTTTCACTGGCTGAGCTAGCTGAACCCAGCTCAGAGGGACTCAATCCCTCTGGCTGAAAGAGACTTTGGTTCTACACATTACGAAGCTTCAGCCTAGGACAATAATGCTGTTAAAATGTATCCTACTGATGGCTGGGCGCAGTGGCTCATGCCTGTAATCTCAGCACTTTGGGAGGCTGAGGTGGGCGGATTACCTGAGGTCAGGAGTTTAAGACCAGCCTGGCCAACATGGTGAAACCCCATCTCTACTGAAAATATAAAAATTAGCCGGGTGTGGTAACACATGCCTGTAATCTCAGCTACTACTTGGGAGGCTGCAGTGGGAGAATTGCTTGAAGTAGGGAGGCGGAGGTTGCAGTGAGCCGAGACTGCGGCTGAGATTGCGCCACTACACTCCAGGCTGGGTGACAGAGCGAGACTCCATTTAAAAAAAAAAAAAAAAAAAAAAAGAAAGAAAAAAGAAAAAAAGTATCCTACTGAGAATCCATTGGTATCATTGTGTTTATACTTTGTCTCAGTAAAACTATCTCTGTCAAACTCCATCCGTTTCTCCCTAGGTGAGCTCCATTGTGGCTACAAATAGGTCCCAAGAATGTTATGGGGACATATGGACAGAGGGACAAACAAGCAGAGAGGAAAGATGATGTGGAGACATAGGGAGAATGAATGCCAACTCTGTGCCAAGGAACACTTAAGGCTGCCAGAGGGTAGAAGAGAGGGCTGGAACAGGTTCTCCCTCACAGCTCAGCTCTCAGAAGGAACTCAATCTCCCAACACCTTGATCTTGAATTTGTAGCCTCCAGAACTGTTAGACAATACATTTCTGTTGTTTAAGCTGCCTGGTCCTTGGCATTTTTGTTATGGCACTCCAGGCAAACTAATACAGGACCCAAGCATCTCTGCTGGGGAGAGCAGATCATAGGCTACGATCACTACGAGCACTGTCTAGACCAGCACAGTCCAGTAGAAATATAATGCGAGCCACATGTGTAATTTTAAATTTCTTACTAGCTAGATTTAAAAGTAAAACAAAAAACAAAAACTGGAAAAGGGTGGAATTAATTTTAGCAATATATTTTATTTAACTCATTATTTGCAACATGTAATCATTTCAAGACATAATATAAAATTATTTTTAGTCTTTGAAATCCAGTGTGTTTTTTTTTTTCTACATCTCAATTGGGACTAACCCAGTTTTAAATGCTCTATGAACACAAGGGGCTTGTGGCTCCTGGATTGGCCAGCATGAGTTTGCAGCCTAGGTCCCTGCAGTGGACCTGTGCATGGAGTGCCCTCAGACTTACTTCACCGGCAGCCAGTCAACACCAAATCGAAATGAGACTGGACCTGACTTATAAATATGCAGATCAGTATTAGAAAGACACATTTTCTTGAGTAGTAATTCCCAGGCAAACAGCTCTTCAACCTACACTGACTTGAGGCAGATCCCTGATATCCCCGCTTCCACCTGGCATTTAGCTCTCCCAAGCCATTGGATACCTCGGATATATATGCCCACCTTGGTGTGTGCCTCAAATGCTGTTCAGACTATGGCTGCTGATGGCTTCTGTGAAGGAGAATCCTGCAACATGCTCCATGTTTGTTGAGGGCTCCAGTATCCTTCATTTCTCAGTATGAACACTTGATTCTGTCCTCAATGCTCTCCCTCACCACCTACCTGCCATGGTGCTTTCCTGGCTCCCTTCAGTAAAACATACCTGCTGGGCACTGCTCAACCTTCCAGCACTGCCTTCCTTCCCACCTACAATTTCAGCTTCCTTTCTGGTTTTACTTTTTGGATTTCAGGGAGCTCAACTCACAGCGTTTCTCTTCCTCACTGGAGCCTGCAAGCAGTTGAGACCTAAAACAAAGAAGAAAGGCACAGATAGACTCTCCTTACCTCCTCCCTTACCTGTAGGCTTCCTGTCTGGCCAAGGGCAGTGTAGAGAAAGTGGGAAATGGAAGAAGGAGCTGGCCTACCAATGCCTAGTTTCTCCTTTCAAACGTACCCACCACCTCACTTACTTATTATTGTTTGTGGTGAAACATTTGAAATTTACTCTTAGTTATTTTGAAGCATACAATGCACTATTATGGGCTATAGCCACCCTGCTGTGCAATTGATTTAATCATTCCACATTGCATACATATGTCAAAACACCACTTTGAACCCCATAAATGTATACAATTAGGATTTGTCAATTTAAGAATCATATTAGTGAAAAAAATTAAAAAGTTACAAACTTGTCTATCATATAAGGCAACTTCTCCTCTCTGAGGAGGAGGAAGTGGGTGTTCTCCTTGCCCCAACATGACTCAATCACTGAAGCTCTTGAAATGACACCAGAAAATTGCTGTTGCTATGTAGTACTCTATCCTGGACCTATGTGCAAGAATCAGACAACAGTCTTAGAAACCTATGTGTCATCTCAGGGGTGCCAAGGTACATGACAAATGGAAACTTGTTTGTCAGCAGTTGCTCTGTCCTGCTGATATGGTGGTAGAGGGGCATATGTCTATCAATGTGGTGGGCTAATGTGGGGATGGAGTGGCAGAGACCCTGCACCCCTCAGTTCTAGTAGGAGGCACTGGCTGTTCCTCCTCTATGTGGCTCCACTCTAGGCATTCTTTCCACTTTCAACAGTTATTATTTGAGTGTGTAGGTGCCAGGCACTGTGCTGGGTACTCAGGGTTGGCAATGAATGAGAAGATGTTAACTTATTCAATCAACACTATTAATTGGAAGCCTACTATGTGCCAGGCACTGTTCAGGGCTGGTGCATGGTGGTCAATATGACAGATGGAGTTCCTGCCCTGCAGTGGGTAATGTGGGAGGAAAATAAACAAGTAAGTAAACAGATGTACCAGATGATGTCAAAGTGAGTAATGGATACTAAGGAAATGAGGCAGAATAATGTGATAGAATGAGGAGGAAGTCGCTATTTTAGAGTGGGAAGTCAAGAGAGCCCTTTCTAGAAAGGTGGCATTTGAATTGAACTCTGAATGATCAGAGGGAATGATCAGAGGGAGGCAGAGAGTGGATGACTAATTCGAGTGTTCAACGTAAATGCAGCAGCAGGTGAAGAGGCCCGGAGATGGGAACTAACTTGATATGTTTAGGGAAGGGAAATATAGTAGTAGACAATGAATTGAACTGTGAATAACCAGAGGGAGGCAGAGAGTGGATGACTAATGCGAGTGTTAAACGTAAATACAGCAGCAGGTGAAGAGGCCCCGAGATGGGAACTAGCCTGGTATGTTTAGGGAAGAGAAAGATAGTAGTAAGAAATGAGGCTGCAGGGAAGGCAGAGGCCTGGCCATGCTTGGCATTGGAGGCCATGTTTAGGGGCCATGGAAGACCTGAGTATACACTGAATAAATGGCAGCTAATGTAGAATTTCTGCATCTCAGTCCACAAATTTTGGGCTACCAGGAAGGTCTCATTAAAATAATTCTTTAAATCAATTTATATTCAACTCACAATACCAGGATGGCAGAAAATTCTATTTCAGTCACTAATGGGGCTTCATCCCAAGATCATGCCAAAGTCTAGAGGTGTTCTCAAAGTCCAAAAGCCAGTGGTGGCTCTTGTAACTTTGGTCTATAGTGGTTCCAGCTGGGATGTCTTTTGTTCAAACTCTCAAGGTCCCCTGATTCCAGCCTATGCTTGATAATCTTTGCCTAGTCTGGGGACCTACTTAGTCTGCCCACATCTCCAGCTGCCATGGGAACTTGGAAACACTCTGAAAACTGCATGAAGGGCTACAAAGTTTGCCTATGAACACTGCTGCGAATTTCACTACTATTTCTCATTGAATTAGTTTTCTAAGGCTGCTGTAACAAAGCACTGCGAACTAAATGGCTTAAACAGCAGAAATTAATTTCCTCACAGTTATGGAGGCTGCAAGTCCAAGACCAAGGTGTGGGCAGGGTTGGGGTTCTTTCTGAGAGCTGTGAGAGAGAATCTGTTTCAGGCCCCTCCCCTAGCTTCTGGGGGTTTGTTGACAATCTTTGGCATTCCTTGGTTTGTAGAATCATCATCTAATCTTTAATCCTCTGCCTTCATCTTCACATGGTGCTCTCCCTGTGTGTGTCTCTGTGTCCAAATTTCCTTCTTCTTCTTCTTTTTTGTTTTGAGACAGTCTTACACTATTGTCCAGTCTGGAGTGCAGATGCACAATCTTGGCTCACTGCAACTCTGCCTTCCGGGCTCAAGAGATCTTCCACCTGTTTCCTGAGTAGCTGGGATTACAGGTGTGTGCCACCACACCTGGCTAATTTTTGTATGTTTTGTAGAGATAGGATTTTGCCATGGTGCCCAGGCTGGTCTCAGACTCCTGAGCTCAAGTGATCCTCCTGCCTTGACCTCCCAAAGTGCTGGGATTACAAGCATGAGCCACTGCACCCAGCCCCAATTTCCATTGTTTATAAGGATATATCAATCATGTTGGATTAGAGGCCACTCTAATGACATCATCTTAACTAATTACAACAACCCTATTTCCAAAGCAGCACATCACATTCTGATGTACTGGGGGTCAGGATTTCATATGAATGGGGGTGGACACAATCCAACCCATTAACAATCATCTTATTTCTTCATTTCACTGCCCAGCTTGCTCCTGACCCCAGCCTTCAGGCTGACTCTGCTCTAGGCTTTCACGTGGGCCTGGTACAACTTGTTGAGAAGGTCAAAGTCATTATTTGGGGGAAAGTAGCTCCAGGGTAACCCCAAGGACAGGTCTGTGGGGCAAAAGTCTAGTGGAGGGCAGGTCTCTGTGAAGAGGTGCTCAATTATGGAGAAGTAGTGGCTCCTAGATCTGAAGCTGGAATTTGGGAGGATGGTGTGTCAGTCAGATTGGGCTAGGTAATGCTGCAGTAACAAGCAACCCTCAAATCTCAGTGCTAACTCAATAAGGCTTACTTCTCACTTTATTCTATGTATCCATTGCAAGTCATCTATCACCTGACTCAGGGCCCAGGCTGAGGGAGGTGCCATCCTCACCATACCTAATACATTTGTAGTGAAAAGAGAAAGACACACACACATGAGTGACACATCAGGAGCCTGGATTACTGCCCTGAGCAACTGGCAGCTATGAGAGGGCCACACTCTACAAGTGTCAGGGACAGCTATGCCAGATTGGCACAGAGAACTCTGAGGGTGAATGGGCCTTGTGCTAGGCAGTGGTGTCTGGGATAGCCTGCCTCTATCACCAGCTGCCTTCATGAGAGTGGTGCATGTCCGGCCCCAGCAAAGGAGAGAGAAAGGAGAAAGAGGAGGAGGAGAAGGAAGAGGAAAAGAAGAGAAAGGAGAAAGAGGAGGAGGAGAAGGAAGAGGAAAAGAAGAGAAAGAAGAAGAGGAGAAGGAGGAAGAAGAGGAAGGGGAGGAGTAAGACGATGACAATGGCAAATTTGAGCAAGCTGTCTAAACCTCTGTATGTGAGGAGAGAAAGTCATGCAGTACCACTCCTGGGGCTCAAGAGGAGGGAGAATCATCCCCTCTTGCCCTTTTCTGCCTTCTGCCATGTGAGAATGCAGCAAGAAGGCCCTCATCACATGCTGGTGCCTTTATCTTAGTCTTCCCAGCCTCCAGAACTATGAGAAATAAATTTCTGTTCTTCATAAATTACCCAGTCTTGTGTGTTCTGTTATAGCAGCACAAAATTGACTAAGCCAAGGACTCCACTCCCTGCCATCCCTGACCGCAGCTCTGGGACAGGATACTGCTCACTAACTCTTGGACAGTCATTCCAATACTCCCTCTAAAATATATGTCTTGAATTGGTCCACTTCTCTCCTTCCCCATGGCTGCTGCCCTAGTTCAAGTCACCATCATCTGTCACCCTTACTATGGCAGTAGCTTATTTCTGGTGTCCTGGCTCCAATCCTGCCCTTTATAATCCATTCTCTATATAGCAGCCAGAGTGAGCCTTTTGAAAATGTAACTTCAACTCATGTCACTCCTCTGCTTAAAATCATGCAATAGTATCTCTTTGTACTTAGAATAAAAGCAAACCTCCTTCCCGTGACCCACAAGGTCCTATAGGATCTGGCTGCTGCCCACCCCCAGCCTAATTTCCTGCCACTTTCCTTCACTTGCACGTACTCCAGTCACACTTTCCTGCCTCAGGGCCTTTGCACATATTCTTCCCTCTGCCTGGAATATCCTTCCCCTACTCTCCTCATGCCTGGCTTCTCATCCATTTGCATTTGGCTAAAATGTCCCTTCCTTTGAGAGATGGCTCCTTATTACCCTCTCTCAGTAGATGCCTCCTTCTCTCCATCCTCTGTCAGGGTACCCCATTCATTTCCCTCATGACACTTGGCACAGTTTTTGAATAAGTATTTCTTTGTTAATTTTTGTTCTCCCTTTAGACTATAAATTTCATGAGGGCAGAAACTATGCCTGCTTTATCCATCATTGTATCTCACAGCCTAGCACAGCTCTTGGCACATAGTAAGCCTTTAGCATATATTTGCTGAATGAGCAAATGAATGATTAAATAAATGAATGTATTTGTTTGAGTTTAGTTTCTAAGGATTTGTTTATTTCCTGGCACTGAAAAACAAGGTAGGAAGGTGAGAAGCATGTTGGAAAACTGAAACTGAATTCTAGTTCAAGATGGCCATTCCTGGAAGGTCAGATACATAAAACAGAGAATTATTTGGAGATCAGGGTGGAACTCAAGAAATATACCAAATATACTGGAACTCAAGAAATATACCAAACACACTGGAATATACCAAAGACAGTCCTAATCTTAGAAGGGCCGCAGGCCTTTTGGAGTATTTTTTGCTACTTCTGGTAATACTCATTGTCCATTGATGGCAAGTTCTGGGGCCATGAAGATGGTGCCAACACAGGCGTGACATGTTTGAGGCTGACTAGAGATGGCACTATATAAAAGGAAATGTATCTGGCTGTCCATAAGAATGTGATGACTTCGTGGAGAGACACAAAGTACTGAAAGTCTCTCTTGGCCAGATAGAAGTGTAGTGTATGCAGTCAGTGCTAGGATTATTAGCTCTAGCTTTCAGAAAAAGTAACTGAGGCTCAATTAAGTCCATTGTCCAAAGTCATTCTACTACTATGTAGAAGGCAGGCAGGCTGATCTTCCCCACTGGTCATTGTCCTGTGTTAGACTCTCAGTAGGTGGTGGGGGAAGGATTGGAGCCTAGAGCTTGTATCTGAGCAGCACTATCATTGGCAATGCAGATATAAATGTACCTGCTTTGTGATAAACTGTGGGAGGGTCTTAATCTCTGGCTGTGGTGAGTGGAGGTATTTACCTTGATAAAGGCCCCCAGATAATTCTGAGACACTCTCCGCCTTTCTAAGAGCACTTCCTCCAACCACCTGACCCCTTGAGAACCACTGCATTAGAAGGCACATGGGAAACAAGTTCTTAAGAAACTGACTTTCATTTAATGAGTTCATTACAAAGGCTGCCGAACATATTCCCAACTAGAGGTCAGTTACACCTACATTTCTCAAAGTCGCACAATCACTGACACTCGGGGTCATCAAGGTGACAGTGAGGCTTGCAAAATATGCAAATACCTTCTGAGTGATCAAAGGAAGAAGTTCTCTTTGGTGGAGTATTGGTGTTCTCTGTGCTTGGTATATTTCAGTTTTCTGGATTGAGCTCATCAAGGTCTGGGAATTCACAGTAATTCTGTTCGGCAGACACTTGCATTAACCAGAATATACAATCCTATTTCCCTGGCCACTGCAAAGGTTTTATTGCAAATACAGTCCCTGAATTTCCCAAAGCTTTTTCACATATGAGCAACTTGGTTAGGACTCTATGCTTCAGTTTTACCAAGAGCTTGTTTGCTTTGAAAGGACTGCCACAAAAAATAAAAAATAAATAAAAGCAAAAATTTCTGTTGACTGTAAAACTGCTCAGTGAATGATTTTTACGTACACGTATGGACCAAGGAAGCAGGCTCTGGGCCCCTCTGCCTCCAACCACATTCCCAAAGTTCTCACGCTTGTAAAAGAAAAAAAACATGTTTGTTTCCCTTTGATTTTTATGGGACTGTAAAATAAATTAAATGAAAAAGCCTATAGCCTTAAACTACCCAAAAGTGGAAAATGGAAAATTCACAAGCCAAACTCCTGTGCATTGATTCCTGGAGGCTCTTCAGAATAACTCCAGTGGTCACATTTCGCTTTCACATTCAGCTTAAGTGGCACCTCCTCTAGGAAGTCTTTGAGCATCCCTGTTTCCTTATTAATTATACAGTTCATTCATCCATCTATCCATTCATTCAATAAGTACTTATTGTGGATCTACTATATAATATCAGGCACTGATGAAGGTGTTTTGTAAATAGGCAGATAATAAGGACAAAAACACACAAAATTCCCATCCCTCATGGAGCTGACGTTCTAGTTGGGGGATACTGACCATATAAACAAGATAAAGAAGTAGGGTCTATAGTACATTAGAAAGCGGTAAATGCTATGGATAAAAGTCACGCATGGAGAAGGCCAGCAGTGCCAGATGGTGAAAGTGGTGCTGTAATTTTGGACTTGAAGGAGGTGAGGGAGTGTGCTGTGTAGCTGTCTGGGAGATGTGTATTTTAGGCAGGGGAATGGCATGTGCAAGGGCCCTGAGGAGAACAGTGTGTATGAGGAACAGTAAAAAGATCTGTGGGCCTGCAATGGTGTGAGTGAAAGTAGAGCTGTAGGGAATGAGATCACATGATGATCTCCTCCACTGCAGCATAAACATGTTCCTCTTGCAGTGCGATCACACCTTATCATCATTATTGTTACAGTTCTTAGTTGGGTTTTCTGGGAAACAGATACTGAGGCGGAGTTGTGTGTGCTTTCGGGATCAATGCCTGGACAAGGGAAGGACAGGAAGCCCAGTGGGCAGAAGGAGCAGTTGAGCTGCAGTGAAGTCACAACAAGGATTTGGTCAACCCCAAGGGGAACTTTGGGGCTGGAATGGCTCTTCAGAGTCATTCAGAGCTGTGGAGAGGGGCTGGGCCATTATACCCCTCCTCTTCCCACATCAACCAGTCACTGGATGGAGCTGTCCCTTGAAGGGGATGTGACCTGGAGCTAGGCTACTCTTTTCAGCTGTGAACAATTCCTGCAAAAGCTGACACCAGAACAAGCTGACACTTGAGAATCAGCATTACCAGCAGTTAGAGAAATAGTGCTATTTCTCAGAATGGTGAGAAAGTAAATGTTTGTTGTTTAAACCACTTAGCCTATGGTATTTTTTTATGGCAGCCCTAGCAAACTCATACACCAGGCCTCCCAACTTGCAGGCTCATGCTCTCCCCTCAGCATGAATCACTATGGCTTGATATCCCTCAGAGAGATGCAAATCCCCTCATTGGAGGTTAGCTTGGTGTAGGGCCAAGAGCACTAACTTTGCAGTCAGAAAACCTAAGGACTTTCTCCTCCTCTACTTAACTGTGTGGCCTTGAATCAGTCACTTAATCTCACTGAGCTTCTATGTCCCCATCTGTTAATTGGAAGGAATGAAGAATGCTGTCTTCCTAAGGGCCCATTTGGTGTCTGGGAACTGCATTGGCACTTTCAAGGACCTGATAAGAATGTTGGAGAATCCAAGAAGACAGCGCCCTTTGTCATCATAATTCCAAACACTTGACCAGAGGATTAAGTTGTGTCAAGGGGGCCTGGCATGTAATTGGTGGTCCACATGCCTAATACATTTTTGGGGAAAAAGAGAAAAGCATGCACGAGTGACACATCAGGGGCCTGGATTACTTCCCTCAGCAACTGACAGCTATTTGAAGGCCACACCCTATAGGTGCCAGGGACAGCTATGCCAGGTTGGCACACAGAAACCTGAGGGTGAACGGGCTTTGTGTTAGCTGGTGGTGTCTGGGATAGCCTGCCTCTATCACTGGCTGCCTTCATGAGAGTGGTGCATGTCTCCTCTCTCTTCCTCTCTCGACAAGGGAGAGAAGAGGAGGAGGAAGAGGAGGAGGAGGAGGAAGAGGAGAAGATGGCAATGATAACAGCAACAAGCATGAGTAAGCCGCCTAAGCCTCTGAAGATGAGAAGCCGTAGTCATGTAGTGCCACTTCTGGGGCTCAAGAGGAGTGGGGATCATTAACCCTCTGAACCAGACAGAATGGGCAGGGATGCTGTATAATAATCATGATACTACTACTAAGATTATCCATTATTAGGGAGAGGAGACAGTACATCAAAAGCCATGGATTTTTCCCCTCAGGTTTGCAGGGCCAAAATCTTGCTCTCCCCAGTTCACCCTGAAGTTTGAGGTTCTGAATGGGAGTGAGATGGGGCAGTGACTCACTCTCCCTAAACTCTCAACTGACTGGCAGTTAGACTGTAAGCCAGCAGATCCATCTCTCTGTGGAGGAGATTGCTATACATCTCTCTATGGGAATACTAGATCTTGTTGGTTAGGGTTTTCCCTTCCCATTCAGGACATCTGAAAAATCAAATTATTCAGCACAAGTTTCTCAGGAACCAAGGGAGTTTGGCTGGTCTTGAAGGGTATATTGCTTCTGGCTAGAGGCCAATCTTAATAAATTCTCCCAGTTCCATAGCAAAGCTCTGAGAATTCACCTTGCTAGACATCAGAATCGGGGAGTCTCTTCTTCATAGCTACTGCTGAATTAGCATGAACACAATTTAACTAACTAGTGGACATATGCTTTGTTATTGGCTCAACACCCACTCCTTTGGGGAATCACCTCTCTTCAATCTATCATCTACTGGACGTCTGACCTTGGGCAAATTACTTAACCTCATCATGCTTTGGTTTCTCCATCCTTAAAGTGAGGCTAGTACAGTAGCCTCTCATTATCCATGAAGGATCTGTTCTAAGACCTCCAGTGGATATACCAGAAACTGCAGATCGTACTGAACCCTGTATATACCATGTTTTTTTTCCTATATATACATACTGATGGTAAAGTTTAATTTATAAATTAGGCACAGCAAGAGATTAAAAATAATAACTAATAATAAAATAGAACAATTATAACAATAAAAGTTATGTGAATGTTCTCTCTCCCTCTCTCTTTCAAAATATCTCCATACTTTCGGACTGTGGTTGACCATGGATAACTGAAACTGCTGAAAGCAAAACCAGAGATAAGTGGTGACCACTGCACTAGTGCCTACTTTATAGGGTTACCATGAGAAATAAGGGAGTTAATACATTAAGTGCTTGGAACTTACTAAGCACTCAATAGATATTAGTAGTAGTAGTATCATAATCATTGTATAGTATCCCTGCCCATTCCATGTGGTTCACAGGGTTTAATGATCTCCACTCCCTTCAGCCATAGGGGTAATATTGCATGACTCAGTCCTGGCCAAAAAGAGTACTTCATCTCAGGCAAAAGCAACATAAAAGTAAAACTCACATAGTCCCATATTTCTTGGAGGCTTTGTTCGTTTCTTTTTATTCTTTTTTCTCTAAACTTCTCTTCTCGCTTCATTTCATTAATTTGATCTTCAATCACTGATACCCTTTCTTCCACTTGATCGAATCAGCTACTGAAGCTTGTGCATGCGTCACATAGTTTTTGTGCCATGGTTTTCAGCTCCATCAGGTCATTTAAGGTCTTCTCTATGCTATTATTCTAGTTAGCCATTCATCCAATCTTTTTTCAAGGTTTTTAGCTTCTTTGCAATGGGTTCGAACATCCTCCTTTAGCTTGGAGAAGTTTGTTATTACTGATCTTCTGAAGCCTACTTCTGTCAACTCGTCAAAGTCATTCTCCATCCAGCTTTGTTCCGTTGCTGGTGAGGAGCTGCGATCCTTTGGAGGAGAAGAGGCACTCTGATTTTTAGAATTTTCAGCTTTTCTGCTCTGGTTTCTCCCCATCTTTGTGGTTTTATCTACCTTTGGTCTTTGATTATGGTGACCTACAGATGGGGTTTTGGTGTGGATGTCCTTTTTGTTGATGTTGATGCTATTCCTTTCTGTTTGTTAGTTTTCTTTCTAACAGTCATGACCCTCAGCTGCAGTCTGCTGGAGTTTGCTCCAGACCCTGTTTGCCTGGGTATCACCAGTGGAGGCTGCAGAACAGCAAATATTGCAGAACAGCAAATATTGCTGCCTGATCCTTCCTCTGGAAGCTTCGTCTCAGGGGGGCACCTGGCTGTATGAGATGTCAGTCAGCCCCTACTGGGAGGTGTCTCCCAGTTGGGCTACTCGAGGGTCAGGGACCCACTTGAGGAGGCAGTCCGTCTGTTCTCAGATCTCAAACTTTGTGCAGGGAGAACCACTACTCACTTCAAATCTGTCAGACAGGGAGGTTTAAGTCTGTAGAAGTTTCTGCTGCCTTTTGTTCAGTTATGCCCTGCTCCCAGAGGTGGAGTCTACAGAGGCAGGCAGGCCTCCTTGAGCTGTGGTGGGTTCCACCCAGTTCGAGCTTCCCAGCCACTTTGTTTACCTACTCAAGCCTCAGCAATGGCAGATGCCCCTCCCCCAGCCTCACTGCTGTCTCACAGTTCGATCTCAGACTGCTGTGCTAGCAGTGAGTGAGGCTCCGTGGGTGTGGGACCCTCTGAGCCAGGTGTGGGATATAATCTCCTGATGTGCTGTTTGCTAAGACCGTTGGAAAAGTGCAGTATTAGGGTGGGAGTGTCCCGATTTTCCGGGTACCATCTGTCCCAGCTTCCCTTGGCTAGGAAAGGGAATTTCCCGACCCCTTGAGCTTACTGGGTGAGGCAATGCCCCACCCTACTTTGGCTCACACTCCGTGGGCTGCACCCACTTTCCAACAAGTCCCAGTGAGATGAACCTGGTACCTCAGTTGGAAATGCAGAAATCACCCGTCTTCTGCGTCACTCAGGCTGGGAGCTGTGGACTGGAGCTGCTCTTATTCGGCCATCTTGGGATCGCCCCCCCAAGAAAATCTCTTTTTTTCTAATAAATGCTTTTAATGCTATAAATTTACCTCTAAGAACTGCTTTCACTGCATCCCACAGATTTTGATACGTTTTCATTTAGTTCAAAATATTTAAAAATTTCTCTGAGACTTTGACCCATGTGTTATTTATAAGTATGTTGTTTAATCTAAAAAATATTTGGCAGTTTTGTAGCTAGCTTTCTTTTTTTTGATTTCCAGTTTAATTCCACTGTGGTATATGAACATACTTATATGATTTCTACTCTTTTAAAATTCTAAGGTGAGTTTTATAGCCCAGAATGTGGTCTATCTTGGTAAATTTACCATGTGAACTTGAGAAGAATGTGCATTTTGTGGTTGTTGGATAGAGTATTTTATAACTATCGGTTGTATCAAGTTGATTGAGAGTGCTGTTCAGGTCATCTATACTCCTGCTGATTTTCTACCTGTTGGATTTATCAATTACTGACAGACAGGTATTGATGCCTCCAACTATTGTTATGGTTTTGTCTACTTATCTTTTCAGCTCGATCAGTTTTGGCCCTATAAAATAACTGCTCTTATTTGCAGATGGCATGATTGTTTATGTTGACAATCTCAGAGAATCAATTTAAAAAGCCACAACTCGGCCGGGCGCGGTGGCTCACGCCTGTAATCCCAGCACTTTGGGAGGCCGAGGCAGGTGGATCACGAGGTAAGGAGATGGAGACCATCCTGGCTAACACAGTGAAACTTCGTCTCTACTAAAAATACAAAAAATTAGCCGGGCGAGGAGGCAGGCGCCTTTAGTCCCAGCTATTCCGGAGGCTGAGGCAGGAGAATGGCGTGAACCCCGGGGGGCGGAGCCTGCAGTGAGCCGAGATGGCGCCACTGCACTCCAGCCTGGGCAACAGCGAGACTCCGTCTCAAAAAAAAAAAAAAAAAAAAAAAAAAAGCCACAACTCTTGGATCACGAGGTCAGCAGATCGAGACCATCCTGGCTAACGCGGTGAAACCCCGTCTCTACTAAAAATACAAGAAAAATTAGCCGGGCGTGGTGGCGGGCGCCTGTAGTCCCAGCTACTCAGGAGGCTGAGGCAGGAGAATGGCGTGAACCCGGGAGGGGGAGCTTGCAGTGAGCCGAGACTGCGCCGCTGCACTCCAGCCTGGGCGACAGAGCGAGACTCCGTCTCAAAAAAAAAAAAAAAAAGCCACAACTCTTACAATTGGGAGGTGAATTCAACACTGTCTTAGGATACAAGATCAAAATACAAAAATAAATTGATTTTAATATACTAGCAATGAACATGTGGCAACTGAAAATAAAAAATACAATACCATTTTAAATTGCTCAAAAAATGAAATATTTGGATGCCCTCAAAGGAGCTTGCAGTGTGCTTATATAGCGTTCTGTGCTGTGGCCCAGCATGAAAACATGAGCCTGACTCATCAGTTCCTCTAAGGAACTTGAGCTGGAAAACGTCTGAAGGATGAGGTAGCAAGCAGTGAGAGCAGAAGTTGAAAGTCCCTGAGGTCAAGAGAGGTCAGAGGAGCCATGAGATGTAATGTACCTATGGCAAGTTCTGAGGAGGCTGAAGCTATCAGGAAGCATGAACCATGAGAGTCCAAAAGCCATGAAGTAGATGAGAAGTGGAGAGTAGAGGGTGAAGAAGTCAGTTTGTCACAAAATCTACGGGCAACGGATGCAGAGCAGCTGGCCCACATTGGTGGTCCCAGCGAAGATCCATAGAGTCTTTGGTTCTCATTTATGTGCATTGCAGTAGTCATAACAATTTAGATAAATAATGGAAATCCAATTCAAACTAACTTAAGCACAAAAAAAATTTATCAGCTCATTAAACTGAGAAGTCCATTGGTTGAGTTGACTTTAGGGGCTCAATATTGCCAGGGCTTTGCTTCTCCTTTCTTTTGTTGGGTCTATTTTCTTGTCACATTTCTACTTTATTCTGTAAATAATTTATTTCTTTTGTAGACATCTAGTAACAACTTAAAGTTGATTAACAATTATTAAAGTTAATTGTTAATTAACTTTAAGTCGATGTTATTGATTGTGGTGCTATCAGAGAGAGATCTCCAAGGATGCACTTCTCTAGAAAGACTCTCATTGGCCCAGCTTCAGTCATGTGTTCACCCCTAGACCAATTACTCTGGCTGGGGGAATGGATTATCCCTATTAGCCAGTCTGGGATATGACTGACCACTCCCCTCAGGGCCACATAGATTGAGAGGACTAATTCCTTAATGGAGAAACAAGGTGTTGTCAGAAGAAGGAGGAAGGGATATAAGCTGGCCAAACCCCACATGTCTAATTCATCTAGTCTCTCCTCCCCTTACTTGGGGAAGCTGAAAAGAATCTCTTCCTGGAAACCAGAAGACCTTCCCTAGAGTAAGTGCTCCTTGTCATTTCTGTCAGGTTTTGGCTCTCTAAGTGTTTTGGAAGTTCTGTGTGACATGTTAAGGGGAAATGACAAAGAGATTTGAGTCTGTACCAACTTGAACTTAAAAGAGGCAGGTACATTCCTGGAGTTCAGGAAATTCGTGAAGTTTGTCAATTGATTCTGAACATAGAAGGGGGGGTGGTATTAGTTTTTAACTCCTTACACCCCAACAGTCGCCCCCTACCACCAACTCAACCCCATTCTGCTGCCTGTTTCTGCCATTGCCCACTCTCAGGTTTGAAACATGCTGCCATCTCCCATCCAGAACCTAAGCTCCTCTTGAAAAGGTCACTGATTTTTCAATTCTCTATCTTACTTGACAGTGCTCTGGAACCTCCTCCTGGGCAACTCCTCTGGGGGTGGGGCTTCCACTCAGCCTACTAGGTTTGGGGCTGAGGGCATAGAGCTCCTGAAACCTCTCACCCAGGGATCTGGTTCAGATTCTATGGGCATAAAGGGATATGGTAGGCTTCCTGGCAGAGCTGAGCACTGTCAGCATTGTGCTTGGGGTGGCAGAACAATGTGCTGGGGCATGGAATTGGCCCCAGCAAGTGCAACTTGCTAGCAACAAGTGAGAAGGAGAGGGGCACAAGCAGGCAAAGGGATGAAGAGCTGGCAGGAGAGTCACCGGAGCCTCGAGAGACCCAGAGTGTCACTGTGAGCTTGCTTGGTT
This sequence comes from Homo sapiens, assembly GCF_000001405.40. Classification (NCBI taxonomy): domain Eukaryota; kingdom Metazoa; phylum Chordata; class Mammalia; order Primates; family Hominidae; genus Homo; species Homo sapiens. Next base: position 151,044,695 of record NC_000023.11, read on the forward strand.
TTCTGAGTCTCCATCTCTCTAAGTCCTTTAGCCATAACACCATTTGGGGTGCCGATATAGTTTGGATTTGTGTCTTTGCTCAAATCTCATGTTGAATTGTAATCCCCAGTGTTGGAGGAGGAGCCTGGTGGGAGATTATTGGATCATGGAGGTGAATTTCCCCCTTGCTGTTCCTGTGATAGTGAGTTCTCATGAGATCTGCTTGTTTAAAAGTGTGTAGTACCTCCCTCTTCTGTCTCTTCCTCCTGTTCCAGCCATGGAGAACATGCCTGATTCCCCTTCACCTTCTGCCATGATTTTAAGTTTCTTGAGGCCTCCCCAGCCATGCTTCCTGTACAGCCTGCGGAACCATAAGCCAATTAAACCTCTTTTCTTTATAAATTACCCAGTCCCAGGTAGTTCTTGATAGCAATGCAAGAATGGACTAATACAGTTGCCTTACCTCCTTTTTGTAATGATGCAAGATACAAATGAATAAACAATCAATATAGGTTGAAAATTTACACTCACTATACTCAGATAGGTGAAAATGTTCTGCCTTCCTAACTTCCCATAATTCCATCTTGTTTTGAAGCTTCCATTCCCATTGATATAGGAGAGAAAAACATGAACTTGTTAATCAAAGGAAACCAACCCTTTTTCAGTATAAGCTGTTTTCTTTCAGGTACTTTAGTTTAGCTAAGTCCTCAGTCTTTTTTTTTTTTTTTTTTCTGAGATAGGGTCTCACTCTGTCACCCAGGCTGGAATGCAGTGGCACAATCAGGTTTCACTGAAGCCTCAACCTCTCAGGCTTAAGTGATCCTTCCACCTCAACCTCCTGAGTAGCTCGAACAACAGGCATGCACCACTGCACCCAGCTAATTTTTAAATTTTTTGCAGAGATGGCATCCCACTCTGTTGCCCAGGCTGGTCTCAAACTTCTAGGCTCAAGGGATCCTTCTGTCTTGGCCTTCCAAAGTGCTGGGATTACAGGAATAAGCCACTGAACCTGGCCAATGCTCAGTCCTTTAGGCTTTCTTTCCCAAACTCTTCTGTCATCCAAAATGGCATCTGGGCATGGGGAGATGCTCTTATATTCTCAGAGAGAAGGGGCCCCAGATTCACATGCAGTCCCTGTGTTACCCTCAGGTCCTTGCTGGTCACTGTAGCCATGTCCTTTGTCCTACCTGGTCACTGCGTGGCCTGTGGAATCTGCCGCTGAAATATGCTCTAGTGAAACCTGGGGGGGTGGATCACCAGGCCCTGATCAGGCAACTGCCACCCCACTCAGCCCCAACTCGGGTCTTACTGGTGCTAAAGATCTTCCCCAAGCACCAATGCATGGGCAGTCCTAGAGCAACATGATTTCAGGATGGATAATACAACCATTCAAAACCATGTATCACTGAATTTAAGAAGCACCATTATTTTAGATACCCCTAAGAAAGTAAAAATGTTACCAACTAAACAGTGAAACATCATTAATTGTGAGATGCATTCTAGTTTCACAGATGAAAAAAATACGCATCTCAGAATTGTTAAAATATGGCATTTTACTAGTGGTTAAGAGCTCAGATACTAGAGCCAGGCTGCTTGAGTTTATGTCCCTGCTTTTCTATGTACAAGCTGTGAGGCTGTGACTCAGTCATTTGCCATCACTGTGCCCTAGTGTCCAAACTGCATAGTGGGGCTTGACCTACTTCCTAGAGTTGTTGTGGGGACTGAGTATATGTGCAAAACATTTCAAAACAGTGTCTGGCACATAGAAACTGCTATATGTGTTTGCTATTTTTAGTTTTTAGAAATATATTGTCCATTAATACACAAATAAAAGGCCTTTGCCACCAACCCAACCAACTTGTTGCCACTCCTCTCACCAGGTAAGCAAAGCTCTTGCCAGCCTTCCACAAACTTCCTGGCAGCCCTTGCCGAGAATAGATTCCTTGCTACTGCATTGCAAATTTGGGGCTATTAGGCAGCAGGGGGACTATAGCCAGTTATTCCAGTCAGATCTCTCATCAGGGTCATCCTCAGACACTTTAGGAAAGACAAGCCCCTTCCCCAACCCAAATCCCCATCCCTTTACTGCTATAAGCAGTCTCACTCCGATTCCTCTCAACTACTCCCACCCTCAAGCTCTTCTCAAAGGCTTTTTAGAACTCCACTGCAAACAAATGTTAGTACCTTCTCGATCTCTTCCCAGAATACTTTCTTCATCGTCTTGCAGCTTTAACTGGAAATGTCTCCCTCCTCTAGGGTGCAACCTTCTCCACTACATCCCATCTTGAGGAGGGACAGCTGTGAATTTTCCTGGCATGCTGCTGGATCTAGAATCAAGCATGTTTCTTCTACTATCAAAGCTGACCTTCTATGAACCTCCAACTATCAAAGTGTTCAGCTTTGATATTTTCTTAAAAATAAATGGATTTTAAATTGTGAAATTAGTACACAAAGATATCCTGCTTATAAAATTTTCATCCTTTACAGATAAAGCCACCCCCTCCAACTTGGCCCTATCCCTAGCTGCTTTTGGAGGAGTCCCAGTTATCCAATTGGTACACCTCTCTCCTGACCTTTTCTTCTGCAATAACCTATGTGCACACACACAAATGGCATCTTAGTATAAACATCATTCAACAACCTTCCTTATTCACCTGTCGGTCCTGGAAATCTTTCCATTTGGATACATATAATTCTACTTCTTCTTTTAAATTGTTGCTCATTTTGGAAATACTACAAGGTTTGTTTAACTATTTCTCCAACATGAACATTTACATTATTTTCATTTTTCCCTATTATAAACAATGCAGGATAAATAGCTTTCCATGTGTTGGCTGGCACACAAGGGAGAATTTTTTTTTATTCTTAATTTTTAAGAAGAATAATGACTTTGTTTTTATAAAGCAGATAATGCATACTATAAAAATTGAAGCAATTTAAGAATTACAATGAATAAACAAATAAATCACCAAGGATTTTGTCACCCAGAAAAGAAACAAATACAGTCAACATCTGGTGAACAACAACCCAGCTGCTATGGTTTGAATGTTTGTGTCCCCTCCAAAATTTATGTTGAAACTCAATCCTCAGTGCAGCAGTATTGGGAAGTGGGGCCTTTGGGAGGTGATTGAGTCAATGAGGGCTGTCATGAATGGGGTTAAGTGCCTCTATGAAAGAACTTAGACAAAGGGAGTTCATCCCTTTTTGCCCATCTGCCCTCTACCACATGAGGCCATAGCAAGAAGGCCCTCACCAGACACCAAATGCCAGCACCTTGATGTTGGGCTTCCCAGCTTCCAGAACTGTGGTAAATAAATTTATGGTTTTTATAAATTACTCAGTCTCAGATATTCTGCTGTAGCAGCACAAAACAGACTAAGACACCAACCGTCTCTTTATATACATGTAAAGGTAGAAAGCATCAAGCTATCAATGAATAATTTTATAACAAGGGGATCATGTCAGTCATGCTAATTTTTTAACAAAAAGTGTCAGATTTGGCTTTACTTGAATTTAAGATATACAAAAAGGAACTAGTTAGAAAATAAAGAAACTACTGAACTTGATGTAAATGTTTCTTCCCCATAAGGTCTACTAGTTTTGTAAGGCCCTGGGGTTAAAAAAAATCATAAATCCTGTAATCCCAGCACTTTGGGAGGCCGAGACGGGCGGATCATCTGGGATTGGGAGTTCCAGACCAGCTCGACCAACATGGAGAAACCCCATCTCTACTAAAAATACAAAAAATAGCTGGGCGTGGTGGTGCATGCCTGTAATCCCAGCTACTCAGGAAGCTGAGGCAGGAGCATCACTTGAACCTGGGAGGCTGAGGTTGCGGTGAGCCGAGATAGTGCCATTGCACTCCAGCCTGGGCGACAGAGCGAGACTCCGTCTCAAAACAAACAAACGAACAAACAAACAACATTAAAAAATTATGCAATTGGAGAAATTATTTTCTTTTTCTCTTCCCCCCCTTTTTACCTCCCCTCCCCCACCTTTCCCTTTCCTTTCCTTTTTCTTGGAAAATCTATGTAGACACTGTCAATGGACTACCCACAATGGAAGAAGACGTTTATTTTCTTGTTCTCCCACATCCCAATTTTCATTGGTTATATTCGCCTTACTTTGGCAATGGTTATAATGCATTATATTTTGCAATGATGTGATTTCCCCAGAGAGTCATTTAGTGAAGGTTCTATAGTTAGTCTTAGTGTTGTTATATTTTAATGGATTCAAGACTCACAGCTATTTCTGAGTTCTGGTATATCCCTTGGTTGGCAGGATTTTTCTTATTGGGTAGTACTTTTTTTTTTAGAAGAAGCAATGAATGGTTAATCCCCTGAGTATTTCCTGTTTGTGAATAGCAATTATCCTTGAATAATAAATTGGCTAGGTGTGCGTAATATTTTGGGGTCATACTTTCCCTCAGAACTTTGTGGACACTAGTCCACTGTCTTCTGGCACTGATAGTTTCTATGGAAAAATACAAGAAAAGTCCGGTTTTTATTCCTTTGACAATTTGCTGTTTCTGTTTGAATATCTGAAGAACTCTTGTTTATACTTCAAGTTAAATAATTTAACCAGGACACATCTCCAGTTAATGATTCTATATTCATTTTTTATCATGATATGTGGTATGCTTTTACAATTTGCTGATTTAATTCTTGCTTTATTTTGAGAAAATTTATTCACAATATGCTTCTGAATTTTTTTTGTTGTTGAGTTCTCTTTGAGCTTTTGTTTTATTAAATCCATTCATCCACTCAGTCAACAAATATTTATTAAGGGACTACCAAGTGCCAGGCTGCCTTAGTCCATTTGCATTCGTATAAAGGGATACCTGAGGCTGGGTAATTGATAAAGAAGAGAGGTTTATTTGGCTCACAGTTCTGTGGGCTGTACAAGAAGCATGGCACCAGCATCTGCTTCTCATAAGGGCTTCAGGAAGTTTCCACTCATGGTGGGATGGGAAAGGGAACAAGCATCACAAAGTGAGAGGAAGGAAGCTGCACATGTGTGGGCAAAAGAAAGAAAGAGAGACAGGAAGAAGAAGAAGGAGGAGGAGGAAGAAGAAGAAGGAGAAGAAGAAGAAGAAAAAGAGGAAAAGGAGGAAGAGGAAGAGGAAGAGGAGGAGATGGAGGAAGGTACGAGACTCTTTTTAACAACCAGATCTTGTGGGAACTAAGAGTGAGAACACATTCATTATCACGAGGATGGCACCAAACTGGGCATGAGGGATTCACCTCCATGATCCAAACACCTCCCACTAGGCCCCACTTCCAACACTGGGGATCACATTTTAACATGAGATGTGGAGAGGACAAATATCCAATCATAGCACAAGCATTGTACCAGACAAAAACCCCTGCCTTCCTGCAGCTGACACTCTAGTGGGATGAAGGAAACAAGCAATAAACAAAACAAACATGTACAGTAGATAGTGTATTGGATGGTGATAAGTGCTACACAAAGCAGGGAATATACAGAGCTAGAATTCTCAGTAGGTGGTCAGGGAAGAGATTGTGCAGAAGGTGACATTTAGGAAAGACTCCAGCTCAGATCTGTCCCCTGAATTCCAGACACCATATCCAGCGGCCTACTTGATTATCTCCAATTGGATGTTTAACAAGAACCTCAAACTTAACTGATATACAGTGCAACTCCCATCTTCCCCAATATGTTCCACTTGCCATTGTTTTCATTTCAGTTAATGGCAACTCCATGTTCTTCCAGTTGTTTGGGCCAAGAAAGTTGAAGTCATTGATGACTCCTCTCTCTATCTTATACTCCACATCCAATCCATCAGCAACTTTGGTTTGTCTGGTGTCTGTTGTGACTTCTCTGTACCTCTACTGTCAACTACCCTGGTCCAAGCCATTATCACCTCTCATTACTGCCATGGCCTCCTGATTGGTCTTGCTTCTAAGCATCCTTTTTCTTGAGCTTCCTGGAGATTTAGAGACAGGAAACCATGGGAATTGGTCAAAGAAAGCACCACTTCATTTATAAGATTCTGGTAAACTAGTCTGGCATGTGCAAACTTAGGACCTTGTTCTTCTCTGCTAAGTCTAAATCCACATCTTAAGAGCATCTCCCAATTGAACAGGATTACAGAGGGATAGGAATTTCTTTGCCCTATATGATGCGGTATGCTTGTTAACTAGTTAAGAGGAGGGGCTATGCAGTTAGATGGACCTGTGTTGAGTCCTGGCTCTGCCACTTAGCTGCTGTGTGACCTGGGACAGTTATATAACTTCATTGGTTTTCACCTTAATCAGGGATAAAATGAGGACATAAATGCATGTAGAGTAATTAGCAAAGTTCCTGGCACAGAGTGAATACCTAACCAATGAGTATGTTCATTCATCTGTTCATTTGACACACGCGTATTGCGCATCTGCTCTGTGCTGAGCACTGTGCTTGGCACCAGAGATCCAGTGTTGATCAGAACTGATGTTATCCTCACTGGGACAGATTGTAAAACTCCAGCAGGGAAAAGAGGTGATTGATGAAGAATTACCCATGGGACAAGTGCTGTGAAAGGGAAGACCAGGAAACATTTGTCCTTGGGACCTAAGTTAGTCTTGGAGTCAGGGTCAAGGAGAGACCTCTCAGGCAATGACATTTAATCTGAGAGGAGAAAGAGAAATACGAATTAGCCAGTTAACAGGGATGGGTGTGGGGTGAGGATTCTAGGAAGTGAGAACAGCATGTGCAAAGGCCTGGAGGCAAAGGAGAGCATGGAGTGTCCTGGGGCTAAAAGGAGTCCAGCATGGTTGATCTGGAGAAGGTACTACCACTCTCACTCCAGAGAGGGGAGAGAGTGGTGGATGAAGAGGACCTTACATAGAATTTAGCTAAGGGGAGTCCCTGAAGGGTTTTACGCAGGAGAGTGGCAGGATCAGATTTGCATTAGTTAACATTATATTTGTATTATTACTTCATGGTCACACAGCATACTTGGAGTTTTCTAGCTTACTTTCTGAAACCCAAATATTTCCTAGCTTCACTAGGCAGACAGGATGGAACCACATTCCCACTTATGCTGAGATTTCCATGACAGTTTATGCCCCACGCCTTTGCAGAAACGTAGCCCCTTCAACCATTCTCTAGCAATTTCTTGGAATCATGGAGGAGGCTTCATATATCCTGATATCACTGTCTCCTGGGGAGCAACTAACATAAGCAACCAACTTCCTTTCCACGTATGTGAGCCTCAGCAGCTTGTGTGTACAAATGAAGAAGTCTCACTGTTATCAACGATACAGGCTCCAGTCCCCAGCTGCCCCTGTTCTAAATGTCCCCCCCCAACAATATTTCTGGAAGACCCCCAAGGGAATATCCCTCACATGTGCCACAAACCAGCCCCACCCAGTGGCATCTGATTTATGCTTTCTCTTTGTGGCTCTGGTTCCCATATGGGGCCATCTACTGCCCACAGGGCCCCTGGGAAGGCCTTGATGCCACTGTTCCTAGTGATGCCCATCATGAAAATGCCACCGCCCATGCAAAAAGTGCCTTTTTCCTGGTGCTCCCAAAGCCACTAATCCTTGGAGTGCCAGAATGAAAAGGGATTCTGTACATGGGTAGGAACTATGGCCTTCTCCCTGACTCAGAGGTACCCTTTATTCCCTGGAGCCAAAACAGCTCAGCTTATGCTCATGGGCTCATGAACTCTCTTAAGAAAACCCTTCCACCAGCTTCTACCATCACCTCTGTGGCTCAGGGGCTCAGGCCCAGTTTAAGAGGCTGCCCTTCCACCTGCTTCCTCTCTCTTCCCAGTCAGCAGCTCTTTCCGCACCCACTTATAAAACAAAATCTCCCATTGTCATCAACGGATAAAAACCAACCTGTGGGTGGTGATAGAGAGATGCTATTCTTTTTGTTGTTGGTGGTGGTTTTTTTGAGACAGTGTCTTGCTCTGTTGCCCAGGCTGGTATGCAATAGTGCAGTCATGGCTCACTGCATCCTCCAATTCCCGGGTTCAAGTGATCCTCCCACCTCAGCCTCCCAAGTAGCTGGGACTACAGGTGTGCACCACCATGCCTGGCTAAATTTTTAATTTTTTTTTTGTAGAGACTGGGTCTCAGTATGTTGCCCAGGCTGGACTCGAATTCCTGACCTCAAGTAATCCTCTTGCCTCAGATTCCCAATGTGCTGGGATGACAGGTGTGAAACACCACACCTGGCCAGATGTCATTCTTTACAGTACTAGATTCTGTGGTCTTGTTCATTCTGCTCCCAGTATCCATATTTAGACAATGAAAGCTGGACCCCCTCACTCAATAGATACTAAGCCTACCACTTGGGCTTAATGGTGTGGTAGAAATAGCATGGGCTGTGGAGTCAGAAAGAGGAGTCTAAATCCAAGCTGTGATTTTTTTTTTAAATATATGTATTAGAGAAAATTGGATAACATCTCTGAATTTCAAGTTCCTGATTTGCAAGATAGCCACACCCACCTGTCAGAACTGCCAGGAAGCTTTCATGAGGTATCCTACAACCTTGTTGAAATTGTTCACTAATTCTGATAGTTTTATAGTGGACTCCTTAGGATTTTCTTTATACATTATTATGTAATCTGCCAATGGAGATAGTTTCACTTCTTACTTTCAAATCTGGATCCCTTTCTTTCCTTCTTTCTTTCTTTGTTTCTTTCTTTGTTTCTTTCTTTCTTTCTTTCTTTCTTCCTTTCTTTCTTTCTTTCTTTCTTTCTTTCTTTCTTTCTTTCTTTTTCTTTCTTTCTTTCTTTCTTTTTTTGCTTAACTGCCCTGTCGAGAACTTCCAGTACAATGTTGAATACAAGTGGGTCTTAGGAGGAAAGCTTTCAGTCTTTCACCATTAAGGGTGTTGTCAGCTGTGGATTTTTCATAGATACCTTTTATTAGGGTAAGGATGTTTCCTTCTATTTCTAAATTGCTGAGTGTTTTATCACGAAAGGGTGTTGGATTTTGTTAAATGCTTTTTCTGTACCTATTGAGATGATTGTGTGGTTTATATCCTTTATTCTATTGATTCAGTCTATAACATTATGTGATTTTTCAGATGTTAACTTGACTTTGCATTCCTGGGATAAATACATCTTGGTCACGGCCTATAATTCTTTATATATGTTGCTGGATTCAGTTTGCTAGCATTTTGTTGAGAATTTTTGCATCTGCATTTATATGAGATATTGGTCTATGATTTTTTCTTGTGATGTCTTGTTTACAATACATTGAGTTTAAAAACATGCTGCTAAAACAACATGTGTAATGTGATTCCATTTTTGTCAAGAAAGGAAAGTGTGTATGTGTGTGTGTGTCTGTGTGTCTGTGTGTGTGTTCGGCATGTGCATATTTTGGAACTTCAGTGCCAAAATTGATTAATCACCATTTGTGGTTTATGGCTGTAAAGACATGGTTCTATCAGAGAAGCAGAACCACTATAAGTGATGTAGAATAAAAGGTTTATTATAGGAATTAGACCTTGTGCAATTTGTACAAAAAATATATACAGCATCTTCTACCAGAGATAATGACCATTCAAAACTCGTGTTTAGCATTCCCTTAGTTAAAAAAAAATTATAGGCCAGGTGTGGTGGCTCAAACCTGTAATCCCAGCACTTTGGGAGGCTGAGGTGGGAAGATTGTTTGAGGCCAGGAGTTTGAGATCAGCTTGGGTAACATCGTGAGAGCTCATCTCTATAATTTTATTTTATAAAAAAATAAAAATATGGTTTTATCTGTACATGTTCCCCAAAATTATATTGTTTAGTTTTAGTTGTTTTTAACTTAATAAAAATGTTACACTATATACAATTTTTTTGGCACTTTTTTCACTTAATATATATTGCTAAGATTCATCCATATTGTTGTGTGTGGCTATAGCTAATTTAAAAATAGCTGTATAGTAATAATCCATTGAGTAAATGTAGCTATGATATATATTCCTGTTCCTGTCTATGGACGTTTAGATCGTAGTTCCAGATTTTTGCTATTATGAATGGTGTTGCTATGAATATTATTGTATATGTCTTCTGATACAAAGGTACATATGCACACAATCATTGAGAAGTGGGATTGCTTGTCAAAGGCTATGTGAAATGTTAAGCTTTACAAAATGATGTTGAACTAATTTTCAAAGTGATGTACCAATTTGTATTCCTATCAGAAATACAGAAGAGCTCTTGTTGAACTGCATCTTCTCCTACACTTGGTATTATCAGTTTTCCTAATTTTTGTCAATTTGAATGGATATAAAATAATATCTAATGTTTTCTTGATTTGCATTTCCCTGATCAATAATAAAGTAGATATTGTTTTCAAATATCTATGTTGATGATATGTATTTTTTTCTGTGAAATGCCTGTTCACATCCTTTGCCTATTTTCATTGCAATGCTTATCTATTTCTTAATGATTTCTGGTTCTTTGCCTTAGATATTTTGTTGTTTGTATGTGTGGCAAAAATCTTTTCCCAGTCTGGAACTTCTCTTTTCATTTTTAGTATAGTGTCTTTTGAGGAACAAAATTTCTTGATTTATCAATCTTTTCTTAGTGCATTTTGAGTTTTGTTTAAGAAAGTCTTCCCTACCCCCAAAGTCAGAAAGCTATTTTCTACTAAAAGTTTTTAAGTTTTGTTTTTGATATTTAAGCATTTGATCCATCTAGAGTTAGTTGATTATTGTGTATAGATGGAGTAAAACATCTGGAAGCATATAGATACCCAACATCTCACAGTGGTGACCTCTGGAGGGTGGGAAAGGTGAGGAAAACTTTCCATTTTTTATTTTTTATTTTTATTTTATTTTTATTTTTTATTTTTTTGGAGACGGAGTTTCACTTTTGTCCCCCAGGCTGGAGAGCAATTGTGCGATCTTGGCTCACTGCAACCTCCGCCTTCTGGGTTCAAGCAATTCTCCTGCCTCAGCCTCCCGAGTAGCTGGGATTACAGGCACATGCCATCATGCCCGGCTGATTTTTGTATTTTTAGTAGAGACAGGGTTTCCCCATGTTGGCCAGGCTGGTCTCGGACTCCTGACCTCAAGTGATCCACCCGCCTCGGCCTCCCAAAGTGCTAGGATTATAGGCGTGAGCCACCACATCCAGCTATTTCTATTTTTTTAGGGACAGTTTCTCACTCTGCCACCCAGGCTGGAGTGTAGTGCTGCCATCATGTCTCATTGTAGCCTCAACCTCCTGGGCTAAAGTAGATCCTCCTGCCTCAGCCTCTCCAGCGGCTGGGACTACAGGTGTGCACCACCATGCCTGGCTACTTTTCATTTCTTTTGAAGGAATGGAGTCTCACTATGTTGCCCAGGCTGGTCTTGAACTCCTGGCCTCAAGCAATCCTCCTGCTCTGTCCTCCCAAAGTGTTGAGATTACAGGTGTGAGCCACCACATCGAGACTCCATTTTTTAAAAATGTATTTTTAATCAAAGTGATATATGCATGCAATTAAAAACATAGCACTTTCAATATAAGTGGACTGACATTGAAAAACAGCAGGTCTCACTCTCCTCCCCGTTCCCGAGCATCACTCTCCAGAGATAACAATGTTCAAACCATAGCTGTTTCTGCAGATATCAACCCCATATGTTTAAAAGAATATTCCTGTGCTGTTTTAGATAGCATTTATTAAGATCCTACTATATAAAATGAGGAGTTATCTCTCTCATGATGCTACTGCCCCATAATCCCTCTTCCTCTTGCATCAAATATAGTTCTATCCTGATCTTTGGTGAAATAAATATTCAGTGTTTAAATTATTATGACTATGTAGATACTATTCACAGGTGAGCCACACAGTGAACTACAATGACCTTTTCTTTCATATTACAGCAGGTCATTGAATAACATCCTTTCATTCAATGATGTTTCGTTGTAATGTTACAGAAAAATAATTGGTCCCTGGCTGAGGTCACAATCTGTGTGGGTTTGGCATGTTCTCCCCATGTCTTCGTGGATTTTCTCCAGGTACTCTGGTTATCTTTAACATCCCCAAATGTGCTTGTTAGGGTCATTGGCAATTCTAAATTGTCCCAGTCTGAGTGAGTGTGGGTGCGGGTGTGAGTGCCCCCTGCAAAGGGGTGGTGTCCTGTCCAGGGTCAGTTCCTACCTTGTGTCCTGTGCTGCCAGGATAGGCTCCAGCCATCCACAACCCTGAACTGGAATAATTGAGTAAATAATTATTCCATTTGCTTTAATTAATTTTTCTTAAATACATGAATAGCTCACATTTATTTCAATGTTTAATATTAGAAGTGTTTTGAGTCTTTATTTAGAAGTTTGGTGATGTTTTTGTGACCAGAAATATGGCATAGGAACTTAACTCTTGTTTATATCAATTAGCCTGTGGGAAAATTGGTTTTGTTATATGTCATTTCACTTAAGGTCACAGTTACCAAGAACCTGTCAATGACATTAAGTGAAGACTTACTGCCCAATAAACTTTTTGGTTTTTCCTGGGGTCAATATTTGCTTCATTTAATTCATTTGCTTTTGCTTTCTCTGCACCTGTGATGAAGTTTTTCTTCTATACTTTCTAAGCAGAGATGTAAAATTTTTTCCAATATAGCCAAGCACATTAAGTTAGGTTGCTTATTTTTTACTCTTGGAGGATGCCTTCCTTTAACAACTTCTCCATTTTCCTGCTTCAGTTTACACTTGTCATCCTGGGCATTTCCTTCTCCCTCTTTCTTTCCTATTTTCCTAGATCCCATGTTATGTTCTTTATGTCTTAATTTTTTTTAACTTTGGAAAGGAGAACTTTATTTCTTTTTCTTATTTATTTATTTAATTATACTTTAAGTTCTAGGGTACATGTGCACAACGTGCAGGTTTGTTACATAGGTATACATGTGCCATGTTGGTTTGCTGCACCCATCAACTCGTCATTTACATTAGATATTTCTCCTAATGCTATCCCTTCCCCAGTCCCCCAGCCCCTGACAGGCCCCAGTGTGTGATGTTCCCCACCTTGTGTCCATGTGTTCTCATTGTTCAATTCCCACCTATGAGTGAGAACATGCGATGTTTGGTTTTCTGTCCTTGTGATAGTTTGCTGAGAATGATGGTTTCCAGCTTCATCCATGTCCCTACAAAGGACATGAACTCATCCTTTTTTATGGCTGCATAGTATTCCATGGTGTATATATCTTAATTCCTTATTTTGGTGGAGGACATCTTCCAGTAGCTTCTGGACAAAGGGTGCATGAGAGTTACACATTTCAAGGGATTGTATATGTTTGCATCAGGGCATTGTATATGCTTTATTATTCCTTTGCATGTGATCGACACATTGCTGGATATAGAATTCTAAGTTGGAAATAATTTTCTTTCTTTCTTTTTTTTTTTTAGATGGAGTCCAGCTCTGTTGCCCAGGCTGGAGTGCAGTGGCGCAATCTTGGCTCACTGCAAGCTTTGCCTCCCGGGTTCCAGAGATTCTCCTGCCTCAGCCTCCTGAGTACCTGGGATTACGGGCGCCCACTACCACACCCAGCTAATTTTTGTATTTTTAGTAGAGACGGGGTTTCACTGTGTTGGCCAGGCTGGTCTCGAACTCCTGACCTCATGATCCTCCTACCTTGGCCTCCCAAAGTGCTGGGATTACAAGCGTGAGCCCCTGCACCTGACCAACTTTCTTTCAAAAATTTTAAGATATGCTTCTATTGTCTTCTAGTCTCCATTGTTGCAGTTGCTAAGTCTAATACCATCCTATCAATCTTTTGACTTACTTTTTCTTTTCCTTTCTTGAAGCCTCTAGGATCTCATTATCATAGTTTTCTGAACTTTCATGATGCAGCATCTTCCTGTGGGTCTTTTCTCACTTGTTTTGATGTGCACTGCACTTGGTGAGCCTCTTTCAATCTCATATCCTTCATGAAGTCTCATATCTTTCAGTTTTGAGAAATTTCATTAAATTGTTTAAAAAATTATCTCCTCTATTTAGTCTGTATTTTTGTTCCTTAGAACTCCTATTAGTTGAATTTTGAACTTCTTAGATTGATACTCTAGTTTAAAAAATATTTTCTTTCCCATTTTCATTTTCTCTGCCTCCGTTTCTGGGAGATTTTCTCAACTTTATTTTCAATCTTTTTCTTGAAGTATAAATTTCAGTGATCATTATTTTAGAAATTACCAATAACTCTTTCTTTTCCTCTCTTTTTCCATAACTTCTTCTTTAATTGCCATAATATCTTGCCATATCTCTCTGAGACTATTAATATGTGCATGAGGTATGGTTTTTCTGCTTTCACTGGAATCTGTGGGGGTGTATCTGGTGAGACAGACTAGAGGAAGCTTGTCAACTGGTAGTCCTAGCATTCAGAGTTCTGGGAACTGGACGAGGGGGAGTTTTACCAATTAGTGGGTAGATTTGCTTAATCCCTCTGCACAGTGCCTGGCGTACCCCCTTTTGGCAGAGAATAAATCTCCTTTCTCCTTACTGGAGGTGTAATACCTGACTGGCTGTGATAGATATGGGGAACTGTTCCTTAAAAGACTTTTAATTGACTCTTTTGTTTTCAGCCCCATCTTTTACTTTGCCTTCCTTCATGCCTGGCATCTCCAGTTCTGAAGGCTTTCTGGGTTCTGTGGAAATGAACTTGTTTCTCACCTCTGATGACTTCCTCTGGCTAGCTAAGTTAGCTACCATTCCTCTCTCCACTTTCCAACCTCCAAAAATAGACAGTACCATTGGGGCTTTTTTCTTTTATTCTTTTGCCACTGTGAGCTTATAATATTTAAAAAAATCTCTGCATAGTCAATTTGAGTGAGATTTCTGGAGGAAACAATAACAAACTCATCTGCTCAATCTGCTATGCTTATCCAGAATTATTAACTAATTCTTTTTATTTTCCTTAGGACCTCTATTACAAAGAATTGGATTAGTTATAACCCTTGATATATAATGTGTTATCACCACTGGTTTTTGCATGCCCTTTATTTGTTCACTTTAATTACTCAATTGCTATAAGGAACACCTATAATCCTTATATCCAACTTGAAGACTAAGGCATTACCTGTATCTGACATCTGAATTTGTGCTTATACTCCATCCTTCTCTCTCCCACAATTCCAAGACAACCACTTTCTTTCATGTTTATATTTATAAATCAAATGATTTAAACTCTAGATATAGGCTGGGCATAGTGGTTCACACTGGTAATCCCAGCACTTTGGGAGGCCGAGGGGGGCGGATCACGAAGTCAGGAGTTTGAGACCAGCCTGGCCAACATAGTGAAACCCCATCTTTACTAAAAATACAAAAATTAGCAGGGCATGGTGGCATGTGCCTGTAATCCCAGCTACTTGGGAGGCTGAGGCAGGAGAATCACTTGAACCCAGGAGGCAGAGGTGCAGTGAGCCGAGATCCTGCCACTGCATTCCAGCCTGGTGACAGAGCAAGGCTCCCTCTGAAAAAAAAAAAAATTAGCCAGGTGTGGTGGTGTGGGCTTGTAGTCTCAGCTACTTGGGAGGCTGAAGTGGGAAGATTGCTTGAGCTCAAGAGGTTGAGGCTGCAGTGAGCCGAGATCACACCACTGCACTCCAGCCTGGGCAACAGAGCAAGACGTTGTTTCAAAAAACATATGTATACATGTATTTACTTATGTATATAATTTTATTATATAAGTATATATATTGCTGTGCAATAGGTTATAATTTTTACTTCTTTTTGAACTTTATAGAAAGAGGGTCTTACTATAAATACAGTCTTCATGGGCATGCTTTTTTTCACTTAACATGTTACAAAGATTTTTTTCACGTTATAGGTTGAGATTGTAGTACACTCATTTCACTGCTGAACATCTACCGCAATTTGTTTTTCCATTCTCTGGTTGATTGTGACTTAGGTTGTTCTTGTTTCTGCCATTGCAAACAGTGCTGCTGTGAACATTCCCATACATGTCTCCTATTGTGCCTAGAGATACAATTGCTGCATTAGAGGGCATACAAACATTCAACTTCACAATATTATGCCAAACTGTTTTGTTTTGGCTAAGTGGTAGTACTTATTTTCACTTCTATCAGGGAAGTATGAGATTCTGTTGTCACTCATCCTCTCCAACACTTGTCAGACTTCTTAATTTTTTGCCAGTTGAATGGGTGTAAATGGCATCTCACTGTAGTTTTAATTTTTCATTTCCCTGACTGCTAATGAGGTTGAGCATCTGCTCATATGGGTGTTGGCAATATGCACTAGCTCTTCTATAAACTGTCTGTTCGTGTCTTCTGCCTATTTTCCTGTTGAGTTGTTTGTTTTCTTCTTATTATTGATTTGTAGTTTTTTATATACTAATCCTTTGTCAATCATATGCATTGCCAAATATCTTCTCCTATTTTGTGGCTTGTCTTTTCATTTTCTTTTTCTTTCTCTCTCTTCTTTTTTTTGAGATAGAGTTTCGCTCTTGTTGCCCAGGCTGTAGTGCAGTGGTGCAATCTTGGCTCACTGCAACCACCCCCGCCTGGGTTCAAGTGATTCCTATGCCTCAACCTCCCGAGTAGCTGGGATTACAGGTGCATGCCACCGTGCCCCGCTAATTTTGTATTTTTAGTAGAGACAGGGTTTCACCATGTTAACCAGGCTGGTCTCAAACTCCTGACCTCAAGTGGTCCACTCACCTGGCCTCCCAAAATGCTGGGATTACAGGTGTGAGCCACCATGCCTGGCCTATCTTTTCATTTTCTTTAAGTTGATTTTTGATGAATAAAATTCTGCTTTTTTATGTTGTAAACTTTTCTTTTATAGTCAGCACTTTCGTAACTAAGTTAAGAAATCTGTGCTGATCATTTGCCTGTTTGCTCTCAGATTCACTCTCTGTCCTCCTTCTGCTTTACTCTGAATCACTAGGGGCTGGCATCCTTTAGTTTAGATGCTCATGGCCTGCCAGTTAGGTTTGGCCAATGGGATGAACTGGCATGATATCAAAGAGCAAGAGGAGGGAAAAACCAGGATATTTTCTCCCCTTCTCTCTGCTTCTAATAGCATCTCTGGCAGTGGCCATATATCTTCCATAGTTCCAGCTCCTTCTAGGCCACCATGTTTCTGCTCCTGCTGAGTGGTATCTTGATGCATATCAAATACTTTCCCACTCCAAGAGAAAAATATATTCATCTGCAGTTCAATCTAAAAGTTTAAAGATTTTTGATATTCAAATTCTTTTTCTTTTTTCTTTTTCTGAGACAGAGTCTCACTCTGTCGCCCAGGCTGGAGTGCAGTGGTGTGATCTCGGCTCACTGCACCCTCTGCCTCCCGGGTTCAAGCAATTCTCCTGCCTCAGCCTCCCGAGTAGCTAGGATTACAGGTACCGGCCACCACACCCAGCTAATTTTTTTCTATTTTTAATGGAGACGAGGTTTCACCATTTTGACCAGGCTGGTTTTGAACTCCTGACCTCGTGATCCACCCACCTCGGCCTCCCAAAGTGCTGGGATTACAGTCTTGAGCCACTGAGCCCGACCCCTCAAATTTTTTTTTCTTATTTTATGTATTTTTATTTTTTTACAGATGGGTTGTCGTCATTTTGTTTCCCAGGCCGGTCTCAAACTCCTAGACTCAAGTGATCATCCCACCTCAGCCTTCCAAGTAGCTGGGATTAAAGTTGCGAGCTGCACCCAGCTTTGGTATTCAAATTTTAAATCCATATGAAGTTAATTGTGTACAATGTAAGGTAGTGCTCAAATTTAATCTTTTCTTGTGGATAATCTTTTTGTTTTCAGCTCCAGTAATTGAATAATTCTTTTTCTCCTACTGCTCTATCATGCATCCTCTCTCATATGGCAAATACCCATAAACTTTGTGTCTAAATCAGTTACTGGTCTCTTTTTTTCTGTTCCATTGGATTATTTACATCTATTTGTCCATGCACTAATTCCATTCGAGTTTTTTATTTTTAACTGATGAGTAATAATTATATTTAAAGGGTACACAGTGATAATTTGATACATGTATACATTGTGAAATGATCAAGTCAGAGTAACTAGCATATCCATTACTTCAAATATTTATCATATCATGTAGTCAGAACATTTAAAATCCTCTTTTGGCTATTTTGAAATATACACTATATTATCATTCATTATAGTTACCTTGCTGCACAATAGAACACCAGAGCATATTTTTCTTAACTGTAACTTTGTACCCATTGACCAACAGCTCCCATTTCCCCATCCACACTTTTCCCTCTTTTTTTTTCTTAAGGCTGAATAGTATTCCATTGTGTATATATGCCACATTTTCTTTATGCTTTCATTCATTGATGGGCATAGGTTGATTCTATATCTTGGCTATTGTGAATAATGCTGCAACGAACATGAGAGTGCAGACATCCCTTCAGCATACCGATTTCATTTCTTTTGGATAAATTCCCAGTAATGGGACTGCTGGATCATACGGTCGTTCTATTTTTAGTTTTTTTTTTTTGTGGAAACTCCATGCTGTTTTCCAAAATGGCTGTGCTAATTTACATTCTCATTGACAGTGTATGAGGGTTCTCTTTTCTCTACACCCTTGCCAACATTTGTTATTTTTGTCTTTTTGATCACAGCCAATCTAACAGGTGTGAGGGGATATTTCACTGTAGTTTTAATCTACATTTCTTTGATGATTAGAGATGTTGAGCATTGTTTCAAAATATCTGTTGGCTATTTTGTGTGGTTTTTCTTTTTTTGAGTAATTTCTATTCAAGCCCTTTACCCATTTTTAGATTGGGTTATTTCTTGTTATTGAGTAGTTTGAGTTCCTTGTATATTTTGGATATTAGCCCCTTGATGTGTGATTTGCAAATATTTTGTCCCAATCTGTGGGTTGTTTCTTCATTCTATTTAAATTGTTTCATTTGCTGTGTAGAAGCTTTTTAGTTTGATGCAATCCCATTTGTCTATTTTTGCTTTAGTTACTTTTGTTTTTAGGTTCACATCTAATACATTTCTGCCCAGATTGATGTCATGGAGCCTCACCCTATGTTTTTTTCTAGTAGTTTTATAGTTGAAAGTCTTATGTTTAAGTTTTTAATCCATTTTGAGTTGATTTTGTACAAGTGGTGAAATAAGAGTTCATTTTCATTCTTCTGCATGTGGATATCCAGCTTCCCCAACCCCATTTATTGAAGAGACTGTCCTTCCCCCAATGTGCGTTCTTGGCACATTTGCATAAAGCAATTAATTGTAGATGTATGGGTTTATTTCTGGGCTCTCTATACGATTCAATTGGTCTACGTGTCTGTTTTTATGCCAGTACCATGCTGTTTTGACTACTATATCTTTGTAGTATACATATATATATTATTTATTTATTTATTTGAGACAGAGTTTTGTTCTTGTTGCCCAGGCTGGAGTGCAATGGCGCAATCTCAGCTCACTGCAACCTCTGCCTCCGGGGTTCAAGTGAGTCTCCTGTCTCAGCCTCCCCAGTAGCTGGGAATACAGGCATGCGCCACCACGACCAGCTAATTTTGTGTTTTTAGTAGAGATGGGGTTTCTACATGTTGGTCAGGCTGTTCTCGAACTCCTGACCTCAAGTGATCCACCTGCCTCAGCCTCCCAAAGTGCTGGGATTACAGGCGTGAGCCACCACACCTGGCCTGTAGTATATTTTAAAGTCAGGTTGTGTAATGCCTTCAGCTTTGTTCTTTTTGCTTAAGACTGCCTTGGCTATTCAAGTTTTTGTTGTTGTTGTTCCATATTAATTTCAAAATAGTTTTTTCTATTTCTGTGGACAGTGGCATTGGAATTTTGAGAGGGATTGCGGTGAATCTATAAATTACTTTGGACACTATGGATATTTTAACAATATTAATTCTGCCAGTCCATGAATACAAGATACCTTTCTGTTTATTTGTGTCATCTTTAATACCTTTCATCTATATTTTATAGTTTTCAGTATAAAGATCTTTCACTTCCTTGGTTATATTTACTCCTAAGTATTTGGCTATAGTGAGACTCGATACCTTATAGAGAATGTCTTCCCATCTTATCCTTTTTTTTTTTTTTTTTTAGACAGGGTCTTGTTCTGTCACCCAGGCTGGAGTGCAGTGGCATTATCACTGGTCACTGCAGCCTTGACTTCTTTCCCACATCAGCATCCCTAGTAGCTGGGACCATAGGCACATGCCACCATGCCTGGCTAATTTTTTGTATTTTTTGTAGCAACAAGGTCTTGCCATGTTGCCCTGGCTGATAAACTCCTGGGCTAAATTGATCCTCCCACCTTGGCCTCCCAAAGTGTTAGAATTGCAAGTGTGAACCACTGTGCCCAGCTCTTATTCTTTTTATTCAGAAATGTATAATTTTTTTTTGTGCGATTTGCTCTTTCATATACATTTTAGAGCCAGTTTTCAGGCTCCATGGAAAATGTAGAATTTCGATTAGCATTGTCATTGGATCTGTAGATCAATTTTGGAAGAATTGAAATCGTTATAATATTGTGTATTTCTAGCCATGAACATGGGCTATGTATTAAGTTATTTAGATTTTCATAATGTCTTTCAAAATAAAGTTTCATAAATTTCTGCATATAAATTGTGTGTATCTCTTGTTAGAGTTATTCCTCAGTATTTTATGGTTTTATTTCTATTATAAATGGTGTTTTTTTAATTTAAGAAAACATTTTCTAATTGTTTCTTGCTTACGTGTGAAAATGTAATTGTTTTCTATGTCATAATTTTATATTCTGTCACTTTGCTAAACTCTTTTTTTCCCCTCACAATTTTCTGTACTCTGGGGTTTTCTATGTAGGCAATTATATCATCTGCAAATAATGACAGTTTTGTTATTCTTTTCCTATCCTTTCCATTATAGTTCTTTTTTAAAAAGTCTTGTTTTCCTGGCTAGGAACTTAATCAAATACAACGTTGAATAGATGTGGTAAGTTCGGCATTACTGTCTTGCTTCTGATTTAAAGGAGATGCTTCTAACTTTCCCATATTTGGAACGATATTTGCTTTAGACATTTTTGTAAGTGCCTTTATTACATTAAGAAAGTTTCCTTTTGTTTGTAGTTTATTACGGCTTTTATTTATTTATTTATTTATTTATTTTTGAGACGGAGTCTCGCTCTTGTTGCCCATGCTGGAGTACAGTGGCGTGATCTCAGCTCACTGTAACCTCCGCCTCTTGGGTTCAAGCGATTCTCCTGCCTCAGCCTCCCAAGTAACTGGGATTACAGGTGCCCACCACCATGCCTGGCTAATTTTGTATTTTTAGTAGAGACCGGTTTCGCCATGTTGGTCAGGCTGGAGTCGAACTCCCGACCTCAGGTTATCTGCTCGCCTTGGCCTCGCAAAGTGCTGGGACTACAGGCATGAACCACCGTGGCTGGCCTATTACAGCTTTTAAAAAATATGAATGGGTGTTGAATTATATCAATACTTTTTCTGTATCTATTAAGATGATCATAAGATTTTTCTTTTTTGACCTATTAATATGTTGAATAACAATTTAGGTAGATTTTCTAATATTAAAACCTCCCTATATTCCTGAAACTTAAATTAGTTAAGGTATATTGTCTTCCTTATAAACTGCTAGACTTCATTTTTGTAGTATTTTGTTTAATTTTTTTTGTCATAAAATAGGCTTAACATTTTTATTCTTATGTCATTGTATGATTATGGCAACAAGGTTATACTAGCTTCATAAGAGTTTTTTGGAGAATATTTTCTCTTTTTCTGTGTCTTGCAACAGTTTGAATAAGAGTAGAATAATTTGTTTCTTGTTAGGCTGGTACAATGTTCCTGTAAAATCATCTGGGTCTACTGTTTTCTTCATAGGAGGATTTTAAAACCCACTGCCTCTCAACCTACAGAATGGGAGAAAATTTTTGCAATCTACTCATCTGACAAAGGGCTAATATCCAGAATCTACAACGAACTTAAACAAATTTACAAGAAAAAAACAACCCCATCAACAAGTGGGCGAAGGATATGAACAGGCACTTCTCAAAAGAAGACATTTATGCAGCCAACAGACACATGAAAAAATGCTCATCATCACTGCCCATCAGAGAAATGCAAATCAAAACCACAATGAAATACCATCTCACACTAGTTAGAATGGCGATCATTAAAAAGTCAGGAAACAACAGGTGCTGGACAGGATGTGGAGAAATAGGAACACTTTTACACTGTTGGTGGGACTGTAAACTAGTTCAACCCTTGTGGAAGTCAGTGTGGTGATTCCTCAGGGATCTAGAACTAGAAATACCATTTGACCCAGCCATCCCATTACTGGGTATATACCCAAAGGATTATAAATCATGCTGCTATAAAGACACATGCACACGTGTGTTTATTGTGGCACTATTCACAATAGCAAAGACTTGGAACCAACCCAAATGTCCAACAATGATAGACTGGATTAAGAAAATGTGGCACATATACACCATGGAATACTATGCAGCCATAAAAAATGAGTTCACGTCCTTTGTAGGGACATGGATGAAGCTGGAAACCATCATTCTCAGCAAACTATCACAAGGACAGAAAACCAAACATCGCATGTTCTCACTCATAGGTGGGAATTGAACAATGAGAACACATGGACACAGGAAGGGGAACATCACACACCGGTGTCTGTTGTGGGGTGGGGGGAGGGGGGAGGGATAGCATTAGGAGATATACCTAATGTTAAATGACGAGTTAATGGGTGCAGCACACCAACGTGGCACATGTATACATATGTAACAAACCTGCACATTGTGCACATGTACCCTAAAACTTAAAGTATAATAAAAAAAAATAATAAAACCACTGCCTCAGTTTATTTAGTAGTTATAGCATTATGTCAAACTGAATGTTTGGTCCTGATTTGTCACTTTTTGTTGTTGTTGTTGATGTTGTTGTTGTTGAGATGGAGTTTCGCTCTTGTTGCCCAGGCGGGAGTGCAATGGCACGATCTCAGCTCACTGCAACCTCTGCCTCCCGGGCTCAAGCGATTCTCCTGCCTCAGCCTCCAGAGTAGCTAGGGTTACAGGTGTGCACCACTACGCCCAACTAATTTTTGTATTTTTTAAGAAGAGACAGGGCTTCACTATGTTGGCCATGCTGGTCTCATACTCCTGAACTCAGGTGATCCACCTGCTTCGGCCTCCCAAAGTGCTGGGATTACAGGTGTGAGCCACCATGCCTGGCCAACTTTTTGATTTTTTAATTTTCTTTTACTTTGCAGGATCCTGAATTTCCCCCTCTTGTTTTTCCCTCTGATCCATGCAAGTTCTGAGGGTGTCCCTCCCTTCCTTCTTTGAAACCCTTCAGACTGTCTAAGTCTCGTGTGTTCTTATTTATTTATTTAGTATTAGATATTATAAGTAACTGTGTGTTCTCTAAAATCACTTTCCATAATCAGTAGTGTTCTGACCCCCTAGGATACACATAATAGATCCATCCAGCATCCCATCAGCTGGAGCATTGTATAATAACTCAGGAAGTTCCAAGATTTCAACCTCATTATGTACAGGCCATTAGGTAAGTCAAGAGTTTGATTAGTCAATCTTGTAAACTCTTAACACTAGTCCTAGGAACTTGAGCCAACATATTAAACATTGCAAACTAGATGAATACATTCATGGCAATGAATTTAGTCTTTGCTGGGGTCTTGTAACTCTTTTGGAATATGAGCTATATCCTCCCTGAACAGGAATTGTACCTCTCCCTCTGGGCTATATTGGAATTCAACTCTTGTTATGGGCCTGGAGGCAGTGAGAGGTGGTTAGGAGAGACCTCAGTTTGTGAGTTTACTGCCCGATATGTGATCTTGAAAGGCTTTAATGCTGGGACAGAAGAGAGGGGTTGCCTCTCCGTGACCTCTCAAAAGTCTCCTTTCCATTTTTCTTCTTTTTATTTGTACAGCAATGTTCTAAGTATCCTTATTCACAATAACCAAATAGTAGAAAAACCCCAGTGTCTGTTGATGAATGAACAAAATGTAATATATTATGTACAATGGAATATTTTTCAGCCTTAAAAAGGAATGGAAATTTGACACATACTACGATGTGGATGAACCTTGACAACATTGTGATAAATGAAATATGCCAAATACAATAGGGCAAATATTATGCGATTACACCTATATGAGGCACCTAGAATAGTTAAATTCACAGAGGTACAAAGTAGAATGATGGTTGGCAGGGACTAAGAGGAGGGAGAGATGGAAAGTTATTGTTTAATGAATACAGAGTTTTCAGTTTGGGATGATGAAAAAGCTGTGGAGATGAATTGTGGTGATGATTGCACAACAATTTGAATGTACTATGCCACTGAATTAAACATTTAAAAATGGTTAAAGGCATGAATTTCAGGTTACGTATATTTTACCACAATAAAAATGACTTTGACAGGCCAGGTGCAGTAGCTCACGCCTGTAATCCCAGCACTTTGGGAGGCCAAGGTGGGCAGATCACCTGAGGTCAGGTGTTCGAGACCAGCCTGGCCAACATGGCGAAACCCCGTCTCTTCTAAAAAATACAAAAATTATCTGGGCATGGTGGTGCAAACCTGTAATCCCAGCTACTTGGGAGGCTGAGACCCGAGAATTGCTTGAACCCAGGAGGTGGAGGTTGCGGTGAGCCGAGATCTTGCCACTGCACTACAGCCTGGGCAACAGAACGAGACTCTGTCTCCCACCCCAAAAAAAATGATTTTGATAAATATTTATTATGGAATCATTTTTGTTTGGGTACCCTCACCTCTTACAAAATATCTATACTTCTAATGTGGCTTCTCAATGTCCTTTAAAATGTTCATTTTAAATAAAGCACCATAGAATAGTCTCTTTGCCTATCAATCGGAGGAGAAAGGCAATGAATCAAAAGATATTGTTTTGAAAAATGAACATACATGCAATGCACCTGCTCTATGGGCTGTACTATACTAAATAAGTATATTTAATAGAGAAAATAAAATATTTAACAATAAACACCGTGCTTCTGGATATGAGAGCTGGTGAGGTGTGATGGAGGTTTTGGAATGAAAGGACTGCATAACCGAATACAGTGCGGTAGATGTAAAACGCCAGGAGGCGTTCATGTTGAGTCTGATATGAAGTGGCCAATAAGGCAATGTCTTAGCCACCCGCACATGCAAACTGCGAGATCAAAGACTAATATGATCAAATGGGATTACTCCAGTGACACGAATGTATGCTGATATTGTGAACTGCAGATTATGGAGCATCTACTCCTTTTCCGACTCCTTGGGGTGTAGGATATGCACAAGGTCCATTCCATTTTTCAGAGTCCCAGCTCTTCCTATTGGTGCCCTTATCTTAACCTAAGAGACTCAAGGGCTGAACATTTAATTGGTGCTGCAATTCTGCAACCATTGCAATGAGACGTTGAGCTTGGCCTACAGTCACATCTGCCCTTGCTTGAGGAGGTAGGAAATGCTCTAAGATGCCGTGGAAGCCTTCTGCTGCTCTACATGTGTTCTTTTTTCCCCCACATACCATCATTCCCAATCTAGTTGTGTTCTCAACTGCATGTTCATAGTTTTAAAGTCTTTTTTCCCCTATGATTTCTAGAGCCTTAATATGGATCTAAGTGCTACTGCAATCTTTACAATCACTGTTGTTACTATGTCAACCGAGTGCCATAGTCACTTTATCTCCTATCACATTGCCCTCCACTTGTACTTCATCCCAGTTTTGGGATGGTGATCATGTGAGTAATCATGATATTACTGAATGCCATGGATTACCATGGACTGTATCATCTTGGAAGAAGACTATTCCCTGTACTGCCCCAAAACATGTTAAAGCTAAACCCAGAATCCCATTAGGAGAATTTGTTTCCTGGGGCTATTTCTGATACCAATGATTGTACTAGACAGGTCTCAATAGGAAACATATGGGACAAGAGAGAAAGAGGATAATTTAAAAAGTGCAAAAACCTGGGACTTAGTAACAGCTGACTTGTTACCACTCCTAGGCCTGAAGGGATTAGTAGAGAGAGTGTGTCCCAGGACCCAGTTGTATACAGAGTTTATAAAGTCACTTGTGTTGAGAGGGGTAGTGACTTTCATTCAGCCAAGGGACAAGTCAGCTCAGGGGTGACCTTGCAAGAACGGAGTCAGGGGAATAAATACCGTGACCTGATTCTCTGTCCTTCCTCCAATTCGCTGCTGGGGTATCTAATTGGCTAAACCCAATTGGGAAATAGAGGTCAAGGGAGCAACACTGATGAAGTTCATGCAAGTCAGCCTTTTGAGGTGGTCAGCAGGTTACAGAAGGGTGAAGGGTGGATCTGGGAGGGAATGTATGGACAGTAAACCATAGATACCCAGCTCAGGTACTTTTTGGGTTCTTTAACATCTGAAAATGGCTACACCTTTCATTCACAAAACTGGTTTGAGTGGATATAGAATTTAGCATGCAATAATTTCCCCTTAGAAATATACAAACATTGCTTCATTGTTTTCTGGCATTTAATACTATAAATGAAAAGTCTGACTCTGATCTGATTATCTTTCCCTGTGGATAATTTTTATTTTCTTTTGGAAGCAAGTAGGACTTTCTCTTCATCGTTGGGATTCACTAATTTCCCCAAGATAGTTAACATGTGAGGTTATATTTTGTTTTTCCCGCTCAGCACTCAGTGGGCTCTTTCAACATGGAGACTCAAATCTTTAACTCTTTTCTCCCAATTCTAATTTCCTTGTCATTTTGCTCAGCTCTCTGTATCACTCCTTTTAATTAATAAATTTAGTCTCAGCACCATCCAATTTGCTAGTCAGTATCTCATTTGTACTTTTTTTGGGTCAATCCTGTTGGATATTTCTAAGGAGTTTCTTGTTTTCTAATATTGTTTTATTTTTCACAGTGGACTGCAGGAGAATATCTGCATATTCTCTCAAATCCTCCTCAGATCTCATATCTCTCAAATCTAATTCCCCAATTAGATTTTAGAAAGTTCTTTCCTGTTTGCTAGATTGACTCTGTTTCACTGGTTTGAACTCATTTCTCAGATTGATTTTCTGGGTTTTTTGTTTGTTTTCGTTTTTTGCTTCTGATTCTCCCTATATATTTGGTGACTGTCTGTTGTTTGTTTCTTTGTTTTTGGTGTGACAGCTTGTGTTGTGTTTGATTGGCTCTCCCACTCCAGCCCAAGCTTAGATGACAAAGAACCACCTTCCTTAAATTTTTTTTTTATTAAGAGTTGGCTTTAACAAGAAAAAAAAAACACTATTAGCTACCATGATTTCTGTTCCACTCCACAGTGATCTTCAGTGGGGGAAAAATTAAGTAGAGTTGGGTTTCTTGTCTGTTCTGAAACACTTTTTAGATTGTGTCCCTCTAAACCAGAGAAAATTATTGAGACCAGTTGGGTCATGAATAAAAAAGAAATAATAAAAACAAAAGATTGTGCATTGGATTCAAGAAGTTAGAGAGAAACAATAATATCAATAACAATGAAAACCCCGAAGAAGATAAAGAGAAGCAATTATTAAAGACAAAATAATAAATCACTGAAGTAGAAGACAATTGAAAAATAAATTTCAGTTAACAGGGTAGTTCTTATGGTAAAATAAAAAGTAAAAAAAAGACAAGAAAAATTAAGATATATATGAAAAAAGAAAAATAAATTGAGGAGCTGGGTCTTTGAAAAGATAAAATTGGCTAAACTTGGGTAAATAATATTGGGAAAAAAGAATCATACAAGTACACATAACTCAATGCCAAATGATATCTCTAGTCCAGATACAGATGTTTAAAAAAAATTATGCAGGCTGGGTGCAGTGGCTCACACCTGTAATCTCAACACTTTGGGAGGTCGAGGCAGGCGGATCACCAGGTCAGGATACCAAGACCAGCCTGGCCAACATGGTGAAGCCTCGTCTCTACTAAAAATACAAAAATTAGCCAGGCGTGGTGGCGGGCGCCTGTAATCCCAGCTACTCGGGAGGCTGAGGCAGGAGAATCGATTGAACCCGGGAGGCAGAGCTTGCAGTGAGCCTAGATCGCACCACTGCACTCCGGCCTGGGTGACAGAGCAAGACTCCATCTCAAAAAACAACAAATACATATATATATATGTGTGTATATATATATGTATATATATGTATATATGTATATATATGTATATATGTATATATGTATATATGTGTATATATGTATATATGTATATATGTATATGTGTATATATGTATATATGTATATATGTATATGTGTATATATGTATATATGTGTATATGTATATGTGTATATATGTATATATGTGTATATATGTATATGTGTATATATGTATATATGTGTATATGTGTATATGTGTATATATGTGTATATATGTGTATATATGTATATATATGTGTATATATGTATATACAGTGTATATATGTATATATGTATATATGTGTATATATGTGTATATATGTATATATGTATATATGTGTATATATGTATATATGTGTATATATATGTGTGTATATATATGTGTATATATATGTGTGTATATATATGTGTATATATATATAAAATATTTTGTAAATTCTATGCTAAATTTAGAAACTCTGGGATATCATGCATGGTTTCATAGGAAAACATAAATGATCAAAGCTGACACAATGATAAATAGGGAGTTCCATGGATGAATAATATTAAAAGAAATCAAAAGCATTAAAGCATAGTGTTTTCCAAATAATCGTCCTTGGACTACCTGCGTCAGAATCTCATGGATTGCTTTTCTTTTTCTTTTTTCTTTTCTTTTCTTTCTTTCTTTCTCTTTTTTTTTTTTTTGTTTGTTTGTTTGAGGCGGGATCTTGCTCTGTCGGCCATGCTGGAGTGCAGTGACATGATCACAGCTCACTGCAACCTCCGCCTCCCAGGCTCTGGCAAACCTCCCACCTCAGCCTTCCAAGTAGCTGGGACTACAGGGATGTGCCACCATGCCCAGATAATTTTTTTTATGTTTTCTTTTTATTTTGTAGAGACAAGGTCTTGCTATGTTACCCAGGCTGATCTCAAAATCCCGGGCTCAAGTGATCATTGTGACTCAGCCTCCCAAAGTGCTGGGATTACAAGGGTGAGCCA
Source organism: Homo sapiens (assembly GCF_000001405.40). Lineage (NCBI taxonomy): Eukaryota > Metazoa > Chordata > Mammalia > Primates > Hominidae > Homo > Homo sapiens. The sequence goes on from NC_000023.11 coordinate 151,073,673, forward strand.
CCGCACCAGGACTATTGAGTGCTCCTAAAATGAAGATTCCTGAAGTTTTAGTGTTTAATGGCACTATAGGGTGACTATTTTTTTTTAATTAAAAAGTGAACTTTAATGTCGAAAATGCAAACTTGGGGAGGGCAGAAAAATCACACACAAGGCTGTCACTTCACACTTGGAGGGTTGCACAGCAGCCAGGCAGGGGTGCTCCTCACTTCCCAGACGGGGCAGCAGCTGGGCAGAGGCACTCCTCACTTCCCAGATGGTGCGGCGGGCAGAGGGGCTCCTCACATCCCAGATGGTGCAGCGGCCGGGCAGTGGCGCTCCTCACTTCCCAGACAGTGGGCAATCGGACAGAAGGGCTCCTCACTTCCCAGAAGGTGCCGAGGCTGGGCAGAGGCGCTCCTTACTTTCCAGACAGTTGGGCGGCCAGGCAGAGGAGCTCTCAGAGGAGTGAGACGGAGTTTCACTCTTGTCCAGGCTGGAGTGCAATGGCATGATCTTGGCTCACTGCAACCTCTGCCTCCCAGGTTCAAGCGATTCTCCTGCCTCAGCCTCCCGAGTAGCTGGGATTACAGGCATGCGCCATCACACCCGGCTAATTTTTTGTATTTTTAGTAGAGACGGAGTTTCTCCATGTTGGTCAGGCTGGTCTCGAACTCCCGACCTCAGGTGATTTGCCCGCCTCGGCCTCCCAAAGTGCTGGGATTACAGGCGTGAGCCACCGCGCCAAGCCAGGGTGACTATAATTAACAACAGTTCATTGGATATTTTCAAATAGCTAGAAGAATGGATTTTGAATGTTCCGAAAACAAAGAAATGGTAAGTGTTTGGGGTGATGGATATGTTAATTACCCCGATTGGCTCATTATACATTGTATAAATATACTGAGATATCACACTGTACCCCATAAGTATGCACAATTATTACATGTCAATTGAAAATAATAAAAGCAAAAAATGCAATAAGATAAAAATGGAAGATTCTTGGGGTTTGACTTGGACTATTTAGATCAGAGTATTTAGCATAATTTGGATTTGAAAGCCTGAGAATGATAGCCAAAAAGAAAAGAATAAAAAATGCTAAATAAAATGCTAGCAAATAGAATTCAGCACAATATCAAAAGAATGATGAAACACAATTAATAAGGATTATTCCATATGCAGCTATCCAAATGCCCACTTAACATCTCCTTCTGGATAGCTAACGGGCATCCCAAATTTAACACATTCCAAACCAAATTCCTGATCTTCCTTTCAAAACCTGCTCTTCCTGCAATCCTCATTTCAGTCTATGACAACTCCATTCTACTATCTGTGACTCCTCTGTTTCTCTCATGCCTCATAGCCCATCTGTCAATGCATCTTGTGGGCTTTTACTTTCAAAATATATCCATATGTAGTCATGTGCTATATAATGACGATGTTTTTGGTCACCAAGGGACCACATATATGACTGTGGTCCCATAGATTATAATATGGCATTTTTACTGTGCCCTTTCTATGTTTAGCTATGTTTAGATACACAAATAATTAACCTTGTGTTACAGTTGTCTACAGTATACAGTATAGCCACATGCTGTACAGGTGTGTGGCCTCAGAGAAATAGGCTATACCATACAGACGAGATGTGTGGTAGGATAGGCGTGTATCCCATCTACGTGTGGGTAAGTGCACTCCATGAAGTCTGTACAATGACAAAATTGCCTAACAATGCATTTCTCAGAATGTATCCAGGTTGTTAAGTGACATATGATTGTATGTCCATAAGCTACCTCCACTGCTAGTTCTGTGGTCCAAGCCAAGTTCCCCCATCAGCTCTCACAGAGATGAGTGCAACAGATTCCTAAATGGTATCCCTACTTCCACTTGTGCCCTTCCCCAACCTATTTCCTACACAACAGCCAGAGTGATTTTTTTTCACACATAATCAGCTTGTCACTCCCTCACTTAAAACTCTCCAAAGGCTTCCCAGTCACAAAAGTCATCTGGCCATTCCTCAAACATGCCAAATGTATGCTTGTCTTTTGTATGGACATTCTATGTTTATTTCTGTTTATTGCCTCTCTCCACCATTAACGTGTGAGCTCCATGAGAGCAGAGACTTGGTTTGTCTTTTTTGCTGTTGTATCCCCAGAGCCTGGAACAGTGCCTGGCACACAGCAGATGCATAATAAATGTTTTATGAATGAAGGAATACCCCAAAACAAGGGTGATTCAACATTAGAAAATTCACTGTTTTAATTAATCACATTGGCCAGTAGTTCAAAGGTGACTGAGCACATAATTTTAATGGACACCAAAGAGATGCTTGATAAACTAGCAACCATTCCTAGTAGAGGACTTTGATGAACTTCCTGATTTTAAAAAATCAATTTCAAATGAAAAGCCCAGATCATAGCTGATTGTGAAACCCTAGAGACATTCTCATTAAACTCGGACAGAACATGAAGACCTTTATCCTATGAGTGTATAGCCCCAACTTAATTTTTCTTCTTGTACTTGTATTGGGACGGAGCATCAGATGCTGGGATAAGTTCCTCACACATGTTGTTTTATTTTTTTATTTTTATTTTTATTTTTATTTTGAGGTGGAGTCTCGCTCTGTCGCCCAGGCTGGAGTGCAGTGGCGCGATCTCAGCTCACTGCAAGCTCCGCCTCCGGGTTCACACCATTCTCCCGCCTCAGCCTCCCGAGTAGCTGGGACTACAGGGGCTCACCACCACGCCCGGCTAATTTTTTGTATTTTTAGTAGAGACGGGGTTTGACAGTGTTAGCCAGGATGGTCTCAATCTCCTGACCTCGTGATCCGCCCGCTTCGGCCTTCCAAAGTGCTGGGATTACAGGCGTGAGCCACCGCACCCGGCGCACATGCTGTTTTATTAATCATCATGCCAATCCTATGAGGGCAGCGGTATCCTCTACTGACAGTCAATATAATGGTGCCTCTGCAAAGTTAATCCCTTTCCCAAAGTCAGTGAGTACAGGAGGCAACTAGGATGCAGACCCAGGGCTGGTGGAGGGCAAGGGTCTGGCTCACTTGAGCCCCAGAATAAGAATGAGCATCAGAATGATGAACTCTAAATGGCCCACAGGCATAAAAGTAGTTCATTCTCACTAATTAACGGAGAAATGTAAATGAAAGCTATAATGCCTATCAAATGTCAAGTCTTATTTATTTATTTATTTATGATATTTTAAGTTCTGGGATACATGTGCAGAACATGCAGGTTTGTTACATAGGTATACATGTGCCATGGAGGTTTGCTGCACCCATCAACCTGTCATTTAGGTTTTAAGCCCCGTATGCGTTATGTATCAAATGGCAAGTCTTTTTAAACGGGTACGAATGACCACACTATTCGTGAGAGTACAAATTGGTGGGCACTGTCTTTCAGCACGGGAGAGTGAAAATGGTTTAGTCTTTCTGGAAGGTAATTGTCAGCTCATAGCTTAAGCTGTGGGACTGTTCATTTGCCTTGACCCAGCAATTCTGCTTCTAGTAATTTATCCTCAGAGAATAATTTAGGATGTGGGCAAAGATTTAGTTACAGGGATATTCAGTGCAGGGTTCTTGTACACTATGAATTCAATTTTTGATATATCTATATCTCTTTACATATACATTCATATCTATCTACACACACACACACACACACACAGAGAGAGAGAGAGAGAGAGAGAGAGAGAGCGAGCCTGGACAGGAGTATACTAAAATATTAACAATGATTTTTTCTGGATAATCAGATTACATGTGATTTTTTGTTTCCTTCTGAACAATTTGCTCTATTTTCAGAAGATTTATCATGATAATACATTATCGCTATAATTAGAGAACACCATAAAATTATTTTTGTTTTGGAAATAAGGTGGGTGCCTTCTTCTCACATGCCTGACATTTGAGGTGGGATCGATCACTGTATTTCATTCAACAAATAGGTTCTGTACCAGGGATGGAAATATATCAGTGAATGACAGACCCCAAGACCCTGCTCTCAAAATGTCTTTTATATTTACCCACATTTTACTGTTCGTGATGCTTACCATTCCTTTGTGCAGATCTAAGTTTCCATCTGGTGTAATTTTCCTTCTGCTTGAATGGCTACCTGTAACATTTCTTATAGTGAAGTTCTGTCGGTGACAGATTGTCTCAGCTTTTTCTTTCATCTGAAAATGCCCTTATTTTATCTTCATTTTTTGAAGGATTTTGTCCTAGATAAAGAATTCTAGGTTGACTATTTTTTCTTTTCTTTTCTTCTTCTTTTTTTTTTTTTTGAGATGGAGTCTCACTGTCACCCAGGCTGGAGTGCAGTGGTGTGATCTCGGCTCACTGCAACCTCTACCTCCCGGGTTCAAGTGATTCTCCTGCCTCAGCCTCCTGAGTGGCTGAGACTACAGGCGTGTGCCACCACACCAGGCTAATTTTTGTATTTTTAGTAGAGACGGGGTTTCTCCATGTTGGCCAGGCTGCTCTCGAACTCCTGACCTCATGTGATCCACCCACCTCGGCCTCCCAAAGTGCTGGGATTATAGGTGTGAGCCACCGTGCCTGGCCTAGGTTGACTTGGTTGACTATTTTTTAATTTCAGCAAGCTAAAGACATGTTTCCATTTTCTTCTGATTTGCATTGTTTCTGATGGGAAATCAGTAGAAATTTTCTTTGTTCCTTTTCATGTAATGTGTCATTTTTTTCTCCTGTTTTTCAGATTTATCCTTTATTACTGATTTTCAGCCTTTTGATTATGTGCCTTGGTGTGATTCAATTTTTAAAATTCTGCTTAGCACTTGTTGAGATCCATGCCTGTCTAGGTGCAGTCAGGGCTCTTTGTGTTGACGTATTTGGGTTAAAATTATTTAAAAAAATTGTAAGATACCTAGGAGAATGTTTCCCATTTTACTTCTGAGTAAACAGAGGCCTAGAAAAGCAGCAATCTAACCAGGGTCCCATAGGATAGTAGTAGGAGAGCCAAGTCTCAAACACGTCCTTGCCTGTGAAATGAGTGTCATAGCCTCAGCCAACATTTCCTATTTAGGGGTCTGTGACAGTGTTTTATGGGTTTGATAAACTTGAAGATGGTGATAACTCCTGGTTTAATTTCAATTAAAATTAACAACATTAAAAATTATTTAAATATTTCCCCCTTTAAAACCAGACCAGTTTGAAAGTATCTCAATAAGTGTTGAGTGAAAATGCGGGTTTTACTGTAGATGTGGTTAATATCAGTTTATAATTCAGCTAAATACTTCTATTCCCCATGGTCATTTTGACTCATTATACAGTTTAAATTGATTTTATTCTTCTGTAAAGAAAATATTGACTATTTATATTCGTAAAGGGCTACTACTTCAAGACATAGACATAAGGACCACATGATATTCAAATACAAGCAAATGAGGAGGATAAAATGATAATGATTTTGCAATTTCACCTCATGATGATTTTTAGCAGATATATAAGTTACATTCATCTCACAAAAATTCCTATAAAACACACTAAGAAATTTCTATTACTTCAAAAACAATGTTAAGAAGAGAAAATATAGTGGCAGGGACCAAAATGATTTGGTCTTTCATTTATTTGGAATAGACATGAGCAAGCTGTTTTTGGAGAAAAGTGTTTATAACTACAGCAGCCTTAAATGTTGTCTCTTAGCTAATCATGTAGACACAAGATCTGTAGATTTCAAATAATAACTACATGATTTTTAAAGTTTAAATACAAGAATCCAAAACATTAGGCCACAAAAGTAATTTTTGTCCTGCAGTATTTGATCCTGTAATAAGTGTGTTTTTGTTTATTTTTAATTACAAAAATATTTCTTTGGTAGAGTCAGGGTTTTGCTATGTTGACCAGGCTGGTCTTGAACTCCTAGCCTCAAGTGATCCTCCTACCTCGGCCTTCCAAAGTCCAGGGATTATTGGCATGAGGGATTTTTGGTGTGAGTGTTTATGAGTGATGTGTGTGTGTGTGTGTGTATGAGTGTGTTGGTGTATATGTGTAAGTGTGTGTAAACGTATATATGTGTGACTGTGTGCATGTGTATTTAAGCCTGTGTACGTGTCTGTGTTTCTGTGAGTTTGCCTGTGTATGTGTGAAACAGCCCAAGCTCTGGGGAAGAAAATCTAGATTCATATGACAGTGGAACAAGAAAATTCAAAACCACACAAACTTATTAAATTTGATGAAATAGATTCCTGATATCCTGAATGGAGCTGACAAGAGCCATGTCATCTCTTTCTGTGCTCATTTGGTGGTAGTCATGTAGCAGTAAGGATGCATGCACATGTGCACGTGTGTGTGTGTGTGTGTGTGTGTGTGTGTGTGTGTATGTGTGGATGTGTTGAAGGGGGGCCAGTGGGAAGCACTCAACAAAGTGGATCAACCTGTCAGCCCAGGTTCAGCCAACTGGGTGCCCCCTGGGATGAGGGCAGCTGTGGGTGCCAGCAGGTGAATCCATGCTGCCAGCGCAGAGTGGAAATCTCCCCAGCTCTTTGGTTGGTTCTCCCTTCTTGTCTCCCTCCCTCATTCTATCCATCCCCCATCGCCCACCTAGGACACACACACCAAAGTGGGCTCAAGCCTCTGTCTTTAATAAGCTCAGAAGACAGTAAATCATGGTAATGAGAAAAACAAGGAGCACATCTGCTCCCAATGAAGCATTGCATATGGGTTGATCAATTGCTCTAGAAATTGTCCTTTGGACATTATTCACGATGAAGCTGTCCTGTTAGAGTACAGTTTCCCATACATAATTGGATGATGTGTCAGACTGGTTGTGGGTCCTTCTAGTGGGACCATCATGATGTTTTCAGTTTAGGCCATTTTAAGGAATTTGGAGTCGCGTTACCAAAGTGCTTTTAATTTTTTTTTAACCTTAGAGTCCATTTTCACTGAAAAACAATTTTAGCAATGGTGGTGAATTTCCAGGAGCACCTTCTGGCTAAAAGACATGCTTTTGACCCCTGAATTGTTTTTAGAGTCTCCGATCAACATTAACCTCTCTACCACCATGAATTCACATTTGTTTGTGGCAAGGACTGGAGACAATTTCTGATTAAAAGCATTCACAGGCCCGTCTGTGAGCCCCTTGAGAGTACGCTCCTCTAAACCAGCTCTGACTCTCCCAGAGCCACAAGGGTAGGGAGTTATAAGTATATATAACCTTTTAGGGCTTCCAAGGACTGCTGATGCAATCAGCACATGGTCATTCATTCACTCATTTGACGCTGGTTTAGACACTTGAGATACACCAGTGATGCAAAGAAATATCTCTGCCCTCTGAGGTTTATGGGACAGCAGATAGAGAGAGACATATAATATTAATAGCATCATAAATAAGGAAATAGTATGTACATATGTTAGCAGGTGCTATGAAAAAAAGAAGAGCAGGATGCGGGGGATGTTACGAGCATTAAATGGAGTGGTCAGGGAAGGCCTCAGTGAGAAAATGTCATTTGAGCAGCCTTGAAGGATGAAGCTGACATCAAAGGGAGGTGCATTCCAGCAGAGGAGATAGGCAGAGCAAAGCCCCGAAGCGGGCATGCGCCTGCAGGTTTGCGGAACAGCAAAGAGGCCTGTGTGGCTGATTGGGAGAGAGCAAAGGGAGGAGAGTAGGGTGAGTGGATAGAAAGGTGATAGCATCAGATGACATACAGGGCCTCGCAGGCCATGGCAAGGACTTAGGCTTTGACTCTGTTGGAGATGGGAGCCCGTGCAAGCTTTTGAGCAGAGGAGGGGTGGGTCCTCACGTGTGTTTGAATGGAATCACTCTGGCTGCTATACTGGGAATAGATTGTAAAGCTGCAAGGGTGGAAGCTAGCTAATGTAGTAATTCAGGTGAGAAATGATGATGACTTGTCCCATTCGCTGGGTTGAGCTGCTGAATTGAGAAACCTGCCTCTAAGATAATGGCAGGAATTTAGCAGGGTAGGTTTTAAAGCTGTAAGTGGACAATGTTTTTTTGCTACTGAGGGTTCAATTTGGCTTCCAACTCCCCTGGAGCTGGCCGTGTATATTAAGCGTGAGCGCGGGGTCTAGTCCTTCAGGTTCTTATAAAGGCAGACCCTAAGGAGAGGCTGCTGCTCCCAGAGTGAGGCTAAACATGAAAAATCCTTCACAGCTGTGGGGGAATCTGGGTCCAAGGACGTGGGGGTCTGTTTGGGGAGCAGGGGTCGGATTCCTGGCCTGGAAGACAGGTGGGAAGGAAGGCTTACTGCTCTTTGACTGCCTAGCTGCCTTCAGAAGCTGCCTGTTATTAATGGCAGTCTCTGGAAGACTTCAGGACACACAGAAGGAGAATGGAGAAGGCTCTCTCATCTTTCTTTCCTGGCGTGCTCTGAACAGAAATGTGAGAAGATTGCAGCCTCTTACCCCCGCCCCCATGGAGGAGCTCAGGAAAGGGGGTCTGTAGGTACACCTGGGCAGGAGGCTTTCTGGAGGGGGAGGAAGCAGCGTACCTCGGAAGCTTGGGGGTGAGAGTGGCAGCAAACTCCAGGGAAAGGGCTAGTTGGAGGGCCTTTGCAAGCCTTAAGTCCATCGTGCAGTTCCAGGGACATCCAGAATTGTGTATAGGGTCAGTATTCAGGAGACCGGGCTTCTGGTCCTGGCTGCACCGCCGTGGCCTTGAGCAAGGCCCTGTCCCCCTCTGGGTGCCATCCCTCAGTAAGGAGAGGCCAGGTGACTTCTGGGGCCTTCCAGCCAGGACACGAGGGACTGCGGCTTAGCCAGAAGCCAGTTTCTCCCGCTGCGCTGAGCCAGCTCCGCAGAGGACGCCGACGCAGGAAAGCACGCAGAGTCCGGACTTTAATAATGCACGCGGCGGCTCGCTCAGAATACAAATGCGGCGGGCGGCAGCGCAGGGGCGCCCGCCACCCTGTGGTCAGCCTAAGCACTGCAGGCTGCGCTGCGGTCTTGGAATTTATTTCACGTGGGGCGGGGCGCGTGGGGAGTGAAGGTTGGAGGGCGTCAGGAGAGGGAGGTGGGTATAGGGAGGCGGTGAAGAGCGAGGCTCCAAGAGAGCGCAGCAGCTCCCGCAGCTCCCCTCTCCTGGCTGCAATCGGTTTCTCGTCCACAGCCCCTTTCTGACCATCTCTTGGGGATCTTTCTACACATAGAGTCACAGTTTGACTTTCCCTTTCCCAGTCTCAGCTATGTGGACTGTTCAATGGGAGCAATAGCACTCACTTCACAGGGTGATTGGGCGGTCATTATTGCCCTTGAGCCTGAGCAAGCCCCGTGTTTCAGGGGCCCCATGCTTTCCAGTGCCTTCTAAGCAGGAAGCTCCCCACCAGCTCCTGGAACCTCTGGACCGACCAGAAGGTAACCCCAAGCCCAGACTACGGACCTGCATGAAACCTGGTACTGGTTTCCCTTCTCTGGGCTCCCTTCAGTCCTCTATTTTCCACCTGACCCCCTGCAGTCAGATATCCTGAGAAGCTCCAGGACTCCCACCTATGGGAATCATCCCAGGGCGCCATGCTTGGCCTCTGCTGAGGGTGTTTTTGGGAAAAAAGATTGCTCCCACTGGCCAGCAAGGTATTTCTTTCATAGGAGCGAGACAGATTAGGTCATCAGGCTGGTACCGACACACGGATTTTGGTAACTCAAATAGTCTATATAGACAGGGGCCCAGTACACCTTAGGGGTGCCCTGTGGCAAACAAATATGTGAGGTGCTGCTGCCTGTGCTGTTTATTGATAAGGAATGTCGGAGCATTAATCCCCTCATTCCACAAATCTGGAGCACCTTTTCTGTGCCAGGCACATTGCTGGGTTCTGGGCCCTGCCTCTAGACTCAAAGAACCTCTGTCTTCTGAGACCTTTTGACCGCTCTGGCCTATGGCTCCTCTTCAATTTCTGAAAGCTGTCTTCTGCAGGCTTCCAGGACACCACCCTCTCTTGGCTTTCCCATGACCTCTCTCTCCACTGTAGGATTGTCTGTCCCTCAGGTGGGTCTCTGTTCTGGACTCCTTCCCTTGTTTCTTCCCACACTGCCTTACCACCAAGCTTGTCCACACCCAGGACTTGAATTGCCACTGTGTGCAGCCTGAACTGATACCCCTACCTCTAGCTGTGCCCTTTCTCATGAGCTCTAGAACCATATACTCCACTGCTATGGGGGCATTGCCACATGGATGTCCCATAACCAACACCCACTCACTGTGTTCAAATTTGACCTCATGATCTCCCCCTCCCCCACAGGTTTCATGGCCACTCAGATCTAGTGCAAACTCCTTTCCATGACCTACAAAGGCACTAGTGCCCCAGACCCTGCTTGCTACCTCATTCTCCAACTTCCCATTGACATCAGTCTTTTGGTCCTCACAGAGCCACACACTCTTTGTCCATGCTATGCCCTCTGCCCCTCTTATGGGTTTATCAGCCCCTCCTGCCTCATTGTCCACCCAATTCATACCAGCCCCCACCATGTACCACTTTAACCCCTGTCTTCTAACACCTTCAGTGCACCCCTACCCTGGCGGTCCTGCTGCTGCATGGGCCTTGAGGACTCTAGCCATCCACTGTCTTCTGGAGTAGAACTCCTTTTCTACTAAGCTTGTTTTAGTGTTTCTCAACAAAATGCTACTGGCATTTTGGGTGGGAGAATTCCCCATTGTAAGGTCTTTGGAGGACTTATAACATGTCTGGCCCTTACCCTCTATATGCCAGCAGCACATTCCGCAACACCAGTAACTGTGACATTCATGAAACCTACATGCCCCTTTCCGAATACTGCCTGGGGAAATCTCCTTCTCTGGGCTCCCAGTAGATTGTACCTCTACTGATTGAGAATCACTCTAGTCTTTCCTGTTTGAAGACCTTTCTTTTGGGGAAGTGTGGATGCAAAATAAGAGCTGAGTAGCTTTGCTTTTTGTCTGTCACTTATTAACTTTGTGCCGTCTGCTTCAAGCTGGGGGTCAGGTAATGATAGAGGATGCCAGCCATTTAGAAATGGGAAAACAATTGGGAAAACAGAGGGTGCAAGTGACACAGGGGTTTATGCCAGGGAAAGGGCATAAATCAGTGGTTCCAGGGCAGCAGAGCAGCTCATGGTGGGAGTATGAAGGTACCAGGTCCAGCTCCCAAGTAAAGGGGATTCTGCTCTTGCCTCCTGGAGGAGCCCACCTGAGGCTATCTCCCTTGGTCCTGGATCTGCCTCAGGGACCACAGGGCCCAGCCATACCATTTGGCATCCTAGAGCTCTTGGCTCAGAGGGGGAAGAGGGAGCTGAGAAAAACATCTTTGCCTTATATTTGCTAGACCAGAGGTTCTCAACTCTCATGAGTATGGGTCTGAATTTCAGTTCAGAAATATTAATGTGCAAGAAATATATATGTTTCTTCTAAAACAAACTAATTACTGATGCCATATCTTATTCTTCCAGGATGTCAGAAAGCTTAACCTCAGGACTCCTCCAGGGTTGTGCCACAAATCAGAGACCTTGGACCTATGACCCCATCAACCCAGATGCCTCAAGTAGTCACTCACCCCATTCCCCTACCAAATTTTCTCAGCCACCTTGGAGTGCTCCAGAATCACCTGAGATGTGTGTTCAGTCTCTTGTTCTGCCCTCAGGTCAGACTCAGTCAGTGTCATTTGACCCTTACTATACCAACAAACAGCATTGACTGCACTTTATATGTACTAGCCATATTGCTGAGCATGCTGCATACACCTTCTCAGGTGGAGGCTGCCAAGAGTTGGGCTAACTGTTCTGGCTCTACGGTTAGACTACCTGTATTTGAATTGGATCACTGCCACTGACTGGTTGGGTGACCTTGGGTGAACCACTTATTCCACACTTCGGTGTCCAAATTGATAGAATGTCCCAACTTCATAGAGTTGTCATGAGGATCACAGATTCAAATACCTGCGAAGGGCTTGACATAGAGTAAGTACCACAAAGTATTTTGTACTATTATTAGTTATCCCCATGATACCATGAGCTAGGTATTTATTACAATGTTCATTTTATAGATGAGGGAATTTTGGCCTACAGAAATCAAGTAACTTGCCCAGGATCGTAGACAGAAGTGACAGAACAAAACCTCAAACCAAGGTGGTCACATTCTAGTGGTTAATGTCATTGAGCCTATGGCTACTGATATGGTTTGGCTCTGTGTCCCCATGCAAATCTCACCTTGAATTGTAATAATCCCCACGTGTCAGGGGCAGGACCAGGTGGAGGTAAATGAATCATGGGGGTGGTTACCCCCATGCTGTTCTCGTGTTAGTGAGTTCTCATGAAATCTGATGGTTTTATAAGGGGCTTTTCCCCTTTGTTGAGCATTCACATGAGATGCAAATATCTTCACAGTTTTTGACCACTCAGAGAGGTCCATCCACATAGCAAGTGTGCAAAAGAGGGGCCTACTTACCATGGAGAAGAACTCACAGGCTCAGAGAAGTGGCTTACCCAAAGTTATATGGTCACATGGCTCATCAGTGGGAGAGGTGAGATTTCCACTATGGCTAATTCCAAATCCCTCGCAAAAGTGTGTAGATATGAAAGGGTGAAGAAGGCTTTGGAAGCATTGAATTGACTCAGATTACTAACTCAGGGTAAAAACAAATGATGGCTCATGTTTCCGTTGAAATGACAAGCAGATGAGCAGCATTTTAGAATGAACTTGTTTGATGAGGATCATCAATGGTGAAATGTCAGTCTTCATCTTACTTGAGTTTTGAGCAGCGCTTGATACGGTTGCTCACTCCTTTTTCCTTTGAAACACCCTTCAATGGCTTCCAGAACACTCCTCTCTCCTGGTTTTTCCTGGTACTTTACAGATTATTTCTCTTCAGTATCCTTTGCTGGCTCCTCCTCATCAGCCTGTAACTTTTCCTCTTTTTTTTTTTTTTACATTTTTTATTGTGCTAAAATATATAAAACATAAAATTTGCCATTGTAACCATTTTAAATATATAGTTCAGTGACATTAATTACAATCACAGTGTTGTGCAACCATTACCACTGTTCATCTCCAGAACATTTTCATGATCCTAAACTGAAACCCTATACCCTTTAAGCAATAACTCTCCATCTCCTCCCCCCTCTGATAAAAGTGCTTATTAATTCCCATTCTACTTTCTATGTCTATCGATTTGCCAATTCTGAAGACCTCATATGAATGGGATCATATAATAATATGTGATCATTTGTGACTGGCTTATTTCACTTAACATCATGTTTTTCATGTGTATCCATGTTGCAGTGTGGATCGTTACTCGACCTTTTGTTTCTGAATAATGTATGTATATCCACATTTTTCTTATTCATTCATCTGTTGATATATACTTGAGTTGTTTCTATCTTTTGGCTACTGTGTATAATGCAGCAATGAGCATTGGTATACAAATACCTATTTGAATCCCTGTTTCCAATTCTTCTGGGTGTAAACCTTGTCCTCTTAATTTTGAAAGACTCCAGCAACCAGTCTTTGTGCTCTTCCCTTACTATGTTCTATGTGATCCCACCTAATCTCCTGAGTTTAAATACAACCCAATGCTGCTGTGTCCCAAATGCCTATCTTCAGTCCAGAAGTCTCCCCTGAACTCCAGACTTCTGTCTGCAGCTACCTCTTTGACTCCATCACTGGGTTGTCTGGTAGCGTCTCAAAGAACAGATCCACGCCAAACACTTTCTTGGTATTTTTCCCAAACATGCTACTGCTGTATGTTTAGTAAATGGCAACTCTGTTCTTCCATTTGATCAAGCCCCCAGACCTTGAAGTCTTTGCCTCTTTCCTCACTTATTACAGCCAACCCATTGACTTGTCAATCCATTGACCAATCCAACACAGTTTGTTGACTTTAATAATTTCACAGTATATCCAGATTCTGACCACTTCTCACAACCTCCATGACCACCACCCTGGTACCAGCCACCATCAGTCCTAGCCTGGGTTACTCTACTAATCTGCTAAATGGTCTCCTTGCTTCTGCCCTTGCATCTCTCACTCCATCATCTATTCCTACCCCAGCAACCAGAAGGGTCCTTTCAGAGCATAAGCCAGATTATGGAAAGTCCTTCAACGACGTAATCAAAGTTCCTACAATGGCCTACCTGATATGGCTCACTGTCTCCTTTGTGACAGATCTCTCTTCACTTCCCTCTTATTCACCACACTCTAGCCATACCAGCTTCCTTGGTTTCCTTCTAACACGCTGGACACACTGTTGCCTCATGTGATCTCATTTGCTGATCGCTCTGGCTCGAACACTCTTTGTCTAATCATATGCCAGTCTTTGCTCAAATGTCACCTTCTTAGAAAGTCCTTCTTTGACCCACTCGATTTAAAACTGTGCTCCTGCTCCCTTTCCAGTTTCTCCGTAGCACTTATCATCTGGCATACTCTATCTTTTACTTACTTACCGTTTGTCTTCTCCAACCAGAGCACCAGCTCTGTAAGAAGAGAGGCTTTTGCTTGTTCTGTTCTGTGATGTATCCTTAGTTCTAGAATAGCTTGGCACAGAGTAGGCACTCAATAAATATTTGTTGGATAAACACATGAATAAAAAAAAAAGTGTCATTTCAAACACAATCAACTGGGTACCACATCCTGTCTCAAACCAAAACTCTTTTTTCATAGTGCACTTCTATGCCGACTTTTTTGAAATCTGATGCCTCACTCCACACTCCCTCATCCCAGCATGGTTAAGGTCTCCATGTCCAAGCCCATATCTTCCCTGTGCTTTTCTCTGTATAAGCTTCATCAATATGTATGTATATGAGTCATTTTTTCCCAATCAAAACTGCCAACAATCTTGTCTGCACTTGCTGTCTCCTTTTTCTTACTTCCCACACATTCCTCACCTCACTCTGATCTGACTTCCTTTTCTATCATGTCACTAAAACAGTTTCTGTTAAGGTTCCAAGGCTCTCTGTGTCACCAAATCCCTTGGTCACTTTTGATCCTTATCTTTCTTCGCTCACATGCCTTCTTTTTGAAACCCGCTCTGTCCTTGACTTCCAGTCCCCAGCACTCTTCTGGTTTGTCTTCTATTGCTCCAACTGCTCCTTTGCAGGGTCTTCTTTTAGTCAACCTCTAAACAAAGAGTTTCTTAAGTTACAGCCTAAGACCTTCTCCTCTTCCTAGTGTTTACTCTAAATTTTCAGTCTCAGCCATCTATGGCTTCAGTCATCCCTGTACATAGACAACTTTCAAGCCTATACCTCCAGCCCAGACCTCTCCTGTGAGCTCCAGACCCATAAACTTATGGTTTGATGAACACATGTCCTCTTGGATATCACAAAAGCCCTTCAAACTTAACATGCTCAAAATCAAACTCATGATCTTCCTCCCTACTCTTTCTCCTTATATTCCTTCAGTGTTCCCTATATCAATGAATAGTACCACATTCATCCAATTGCAGAGCCAGAAATCCAAGTGTCATTCTTGCTGTCTCCATCTCCACCATATCGAATTCATCACCTAATTCTGACAATTTTACTTCCAAAATAGTGTATTTCAAGTTCACCAATTTCTCTCAATATCCACTATAACCACCCCAAGTCTAGCCACCATTATCTCTGGCCTCAACAACAGTAGCCTCCTAATTGACCTCTCCCTTTCCACTGTAGCATGCTCCAAGAACTCCCCATGCTACAGCCAAAGTGATCTTTTGAAAATGTGAATCAGATGATTTCAAATTACTGCTTAAAATTCTCTATGACTTCCCACAGTTCTTAGGAATCAGGCAGAAATCTTTTGTGTGGCATCTAGCTCTGGCATGTTGGCATCTAGCTCTGGCTCCTGTGTATACCTCCAGCCATACTTCTCACCTTGCACTTCTGTGTTGGCCCTCTTCTAGTTTACCAATAAATCCAATCCTGTTTGATCTTGCTATAGGGCTTTTGCAGACATTGTTCCC
The DNA here is from genome assembly GCF_000001405.40 of Homo sapiens. Classification (NCBI taxonomy): domain Eukaryota; kingdom Metazoa; phylum Chordata; class Mammalia; order Primates; family Hominidae; genus Homo; species Homo sapiens. The sequence goes on from NC_000023.11 coordinate 151,089,534, forward strand.
TTTGTTTGAAATGCTTTCCTTCTCATCTTTGCCTAGTTAACTTCTCCCCCCCTTTTTTTTCTTTGAGACGGAGTTTCGCTCTTTTTCCCCAGGCTGGAGTGCAGTGGTGCAATCTCGGCTCACTGCAACCTTCACTTCCCGGGTTCAAGCGATTCTCCTGCCTCAGCCTCCCGAGTAGCTGGGATTACAGGCATGTGCCACCACATACAGCTAATTTTTGTATTATTAGTAGAGACGAGGTTTCACCATTTTGGCCAGGCTAGTCTCGAACTCCTGACTTCAGGTAATCAACCTGCCTCGGCCTCCCAAAGTGCTGGGATAACAGGCGTGAGTCACGGTGCCCCGCCCTTCTCCTCATTCTTGATGTTCAGTGCAATCATAACTTTCTAAGGAAAGCCTTTCCTGACCTCCCTGATTCAGACAGATTCTCCCATCCTACTCCTTAATAGCACCATGTACTTATCTCTCCTTCGGAGCACTTTTCTCAGTTGCAATTCTCCATTTATTCATGGGATAATATAATTGATATCTATCTTTCCCATCAGACTAGAAGTCTATTATAACAGGTTCTTTTTATTTTTCTTCAGAGACAGGGTCTGTCTCTGTCACCAGGCTGGAGTGCAGTGGCATGATCATAGCTCACTGTAGCCCTGAGCTTCTGGCCTCAAGCAAGCCTCCCACTCAGTCTCTCAAGTAGCTGGAACTACAAGCGTGTATCACCAAACCCGGCTAACTTTTAAATTTTTTGTAGAGACAAGGTCTCCCTATGTTGCCTAGGCTGGTCTCAAACTCCTGGCTTCAAGCGATCTTCCCACCTTGGCCTCCCAAAGTGCTGGGACTATAGGTGTGTGCCACTGTGCCCAGCTGAGAAGGGGTTCTGATCTGTCTTTCCTTACCATTGTATTCCAGCATCCAATACAGTGCCTGGCACAGAGTGGGAGTTAAACAAATGTTTGTTGAATGAATTAATGACAAAGAGACTATTGGTGACCTTAATGAGAGCAACTTAAGAGGTGAGATAGGTAAAGGTAAGGGGCTGTGGTCAGAAAATGTGATGACTACATGAGGAATTTCAGAGGATCAGTACATTTGGGTCATGACTATGGAAGGGGTAGATTAGGAGTGGGGAGGGAAGTTTACTGAAATGAGATGGCTGGCACATGAAGCAGGGCCCACTACTCCTTGAAAGTCTTCATGGCCATATATGGTGACAGGCAGATGCAGGGGTATGAAGAGGGCTCCAGTGTTTCTTTGCTTTCCTCTCTTCCAAATTCAGGTCTCCTCAACAGTGGCCTTAGGCTCATTACTAGGCCCTTGGTTGTGGGTCCACAGAAGTGATAGCCACATAGAGGCAGCAGTTTCTCATAGACTGTCCCACAACTCCTCTTTGTCATTGACTTAAACAGCTAAACGTGCTTAACTTTCCATGTTTTCCTGCAAGCCCTGACTTGTCCACCACACCAGTGCTTTAGGGGGAGTCATTAGTAACTCTTGATCTGATCTTTCAATGCTCTCTTCTGGACCTTCACTTCCCAGCTCTTCCCACCCTTTTGCAAAGTCGGATTTCCCAGAATCCCCACAGTGGCTCTGCTTTCCTGACTGAACTATGACTGGTACAGTTATGGCTAGGTTCCTCTTGGACACCAAAGTCACCCAAAAGGATAGTCCAGCTTTGGAGTAGGAGGAAGACAGTAAACTAAATCTCCAGTGACTGAGGCGCCATGACTAGGAGGTCATTAGATGATGGCAACCAGGAGGGAAATAGAGTGGTGGAACCAACTAGATAGACTGAGTGGCTAAAAATTAGGGGGTTTTACATGCAGGTGGCAGAACAGTGGCCTGAGCAAAGCACTATAGAATGAGGAGAATGCTTACCCTTCTCCTACTCTTAGGTGAGGGGCTCCCAAGATACGCGGGTGAAAGCCAGGGCTCAGAATGAGAAGGTAGAGAAAGACTCCAGTTAAGAAAGCCAGACTAGAGTTTGATTTTATAGACTAGGGGTGGTTGAACAGTGCAGTGGCTGAACACCACTGTGCTGTTCATGTGTATGTGAAACAGCCACATACACAAGTGAGCTTGAGAGAATTGTTTGCCTCCTCTGTGCCTCAATGTCCCCATCAGTGCAATGAGACCATGATAGTACCTACCTTATAGGACTACTGAGGAAATTAAAGGAGTTAATGCATGCAAAGTGCAAAGAACAATACTCCCTTAAAGTAGTGCTTAACAAGTAATACATACTCACTGAAGTTTTTTTTTTTTTTTCATTTGGCCCTTATCAAAACTCTGAGGTGTCAGCAAGGTAGGGATTATTGCCCCCAGTTGAAGAATGTGATACCCTGAGAGGTTATGGAGTTTTCCAAGAATCACACTTAGGAATAGAGTTCAGACAAGTCCCTGGTCTCCTAACTTGCTGGCCAACACATTTTCTACCACTGCTCCCTGCATTAGGAGTTCTGAGAAATGGTGAGTGAACAGGTCAGATGATGAGTAGTGTTGCATAAGCCAGGAAATTCTTCTCATCAAATCATGCCTTCACAGAGCCCTCAGTTATAGCCACCCCACCTAACAGTCACCCAGTCTTTACCATCAGCCCCTTCAAGCTGGGGTTCATCCTTTAATTGTCTCTGATTCCAGGTCCCTCCGCTGTTGGTCCTCAGAGCTGGTGGAAGATTGAATCTGCCCTTACCTGACCTAGTACATCCTACTGAGTTCCTGTTGAGCTTAATGTTCAGACAAACTAGTGATCTGATTAGCCCCAGTGTCTCCTGCTCTGGTTAGCCCCCTGCTGCTCTAATAGAGGAGGAGGGAGATTAAATGAGCAATGATGGTGAGGTGGTGGAGCTGCTGAAGTGTGTTTATAGATGGATTTTTAATATAAAAAATAATGACAATTGGCACTGGCAATTAATATATAATGAAGGCCCAGTAGCTGGAGCTGCTGATAAGAGGATAATAAATTGAAGTGTGAGAAACCCCCAAACCAATAGAGTAAATATCTGGAAATATTCATACAACCAGTAACTATGCGCTTTCCTTTGCCATTGGTTAGGGTGATCCAAGAGGGGAGCAGACAAGCAGATAGCAGGAATTACCCTAATATCATGAAGGGCAGGGCAGAGTGGGATCCTTTTAGCAGGTGAAAGCAGGGTTCTTGGAAAATTAGCAAACAGTGGTGGCAAAAGCATCAGAGAAAGGAGCCTGACTCACAGGCCTGGGTAGTGAAGGCTAGGAGGATGAGCAGGGCTCAGGGAGGTTACTGCTATGATGACAATATTCCAGGGAAGAAAATCTGAAAAAAAAATCATTCCAATGGGTTCAGGAATCTGAAATATCATCTCGCTGTAGCTCTGACTGCATTTTAAAAAATAACAGTTTTATTGAGAAATAATTCACACACCGCAAAATTCACTCTTCCAAAGGGTACAATCCAGTGGTTTCTAAAGTACATTCACAGTTGTGCAACCATCACCACTATCAATTTTGGAACATTTTCTTTTTTTTAACCACTTTATTGAGGTATATTGCATTAAAAGTTGTGCATATTTAATGTGTACATCTCAAGGAGTTTGGGGATAAGTATACGCCTGTGAAACCATCACCATTATCAAGGCCATAAATATTTCCATCACCTCCCACTGTTTCCTCCTGCCCTCTTTATTATTGTTTTTGGGTGTGTGTTAACAACACTTCATAAGATCTAGTCTCTTACAGCATAGTATAGTAGACCTTCAGAACTTATTTATCTTGCATAACTAAAACATTGTACCATTTGACCATCACTTCCCTATTTCTCTCTTCCCCCTTGTCTTTATCTGCCTGACTTATTTTACTTAACAAAATGCCCTCCAGGTTCATCCATGTTGTTGCAAATGTCAGGATTTCCTTCTTTTTTTAAAGGCTGAATAATATTCCACTGTACGTATGTACTAGACTTCCTTTATCCATTCATCCATCCATAGACATTTAGGTTGTTTCCATATCTTGGCTATTGTGAATAATGCTGCAGTGAACACAGGGGCACCAATATCTCTACAACATACTGATTTTCACTCTCTTGTTTGCGGTATTTTGTTTTGTTTTGTAGTTAGTTAGAGATGGGGTCTTGGTCTGTCACCCAAGCTAAAGTGCAGAGGTCCAATCATAGCTCACTGCAGCCTCAAACTCCTGGACTCAAGAGATCCTCCTGCCTCGGCCTCCCAAGTATGCAGCTTTGATTTGCATTTCCTTGACAATTAATGATGTTGAGCACCTTTTTAATACCCGTTGGCCATTTATATGTCTTCTTTTGAGAAATGTATATTCAAGTCTTTTGACTATTTTTAAATCAGTTTATTTGCTTTTTTGCTCTTCAGTTGTATGAGTTCCTTGTGTATTTTGGATATTTATCCCTTATCAGTTATATGGCTTGCAAATATTTTCTCCTATTCCATAAGTTGCCTTTTCATTTTGTTGATTGCTTTCTTTGTTGTGCAGAAGATTTTCAGTCTGATGCAATCCCATTAGTTTATTTTTGAAATATCAGCCACCCTTCATTCCTCCTATCCCTCCAGCCCTGACAACCACTAGTCTTCTTCCTGTTTCTGTGGATTTGCTGACTCTGGACATTTTATATAAATGGACATTTTATACAAACCATACAATAGGTGGCCTTTTGTGTCTTGCTTCTTTTACTTAGCATAATGTTTTAAAGGTTCATCTATGTTGTAGCATGTATCAGACCATCATTCCCTTTTATGGCTGAATAATATTCCAATGTATGGATATAATGCATTTTGTTTATCCATTCATCAGTTGGTGGACATCTGAATTGTTTCCACTTGAGGGATCTTATGAATAATGCTGCTATAAATATTCATAGAAAAATTTTCTATGAAAAATATGTGTAGACATATTTTTTTTCATTTCTCTTGGGTATATAGCTAGGAATGAAATTGCTAAGTCTTATGATAACACTCTATGTTCAACTTTCTAAGGAACGGCCAAACATTTTCACAACAGCTACACAATTTTGCATTCTCACCAGTAATGTATGAGAGTTCCAATTTCTGTACATCCTCACCAACATTTATCTTCCAAATTTTAAAAAAATATAGCCATCATAGTGTGTGTGAAGAGGTATCTCATTGCGGTTTTCGTTTGCACTTCTCTAATGACTAGTAGTGTGGAATATGTTTTCATGTATTTATTGGCCATTTGTATATCTTCTTTGGAGAACTGTCTATTCAGAACTTTTGCCCAATTTTTAATTGGGTTGTTTGTCTTTTTATGGCTGAGTTGTAATGTTTCTTTATGTATTCTGGATACTAGATCCTTTCAGATATATTATTTATGAATATTTTCTTCCATTCTATGTGCTTTGTTTTCACTTTCTTGACAGTGTCCTTTGATACACGAAAAGTTTTAGTTGCGATGAAATCCAGTTAATTTCTCTTTTCTTTTGTTGCTTGTCCTTTTAGTGTCATCTGACTGCCTTTTTAAGGCAGTGGTTCTTGATCTTTCCTATCCTATAACCACTCCAACCCCAACTCCAATCACACTATTGAAGATCTTTGGTCCCAAGCAAATAAATTAAAAGCTGACTTTTCTGAGAACTTGTTGATATGCTTCCCGGCCTTCTGCTATGATGTGGTTAATTGACGGGCAGCTGTGAGGCCAGACTCAATCACAATGGGATGGAGGGAGGCAGTAGCAAGTTATATTTCCATAGCTCTACAACCCAAATGCACTCAACTATTTCCATTAGTAGTTGAAGGTTGTTATAATACAGTTGAAGAAATGTCACCTTTGCAGTGGCTGAACAATGCAAAGATGGGACATTTTTCAAATGACTTTAGTATCGATGGCAATAAATATGGTTGTTTTAATGAAAGCACTAAAGGCAAAGTAATACTGGTAATAACCATAACTGATATGAACACTCTGTTTCCCACCAAGACTAATCCTAGACTGAAACCTATACCATGTAAGCCTCTGTGTTTCTTCTCCATGTCTTTGAGGCTGCCTCCCACTGCATTTTTTTTTGAGACAGGGTCTCCCTCTGTTGCCCAAGCTGCAGTGCAGTGGTGCGTTCTCAGCTCACTGTAGCCTCTACCTCCCAGGCTCAGGTGATCCTCCCACATTAGCCTCCTGAGAAGCTGGGACTACCCCAGGCCTGGCTAATTTTTATACTTTTTTTTTTTTTGTAGAGATGGGGCATATTAGTCAGGGTCTCTAGAGGGACAGAACTAATAGGATAGATGTATACATGAAGGAGAAATTTATTAAGGAGTATTGGCTCACACTATCACAAGGTGAAGTCCCACAGTAGGCCATCTGCAAGCTGAGGAACAAGGAAGCCAGTCTGAGTCCCAAAACCTTAAAAGTAGGGAAGCTGACAGTGCAGCCTTCAGTCTGTGGCCGAAGGCCTGAGAGCCCCTGGCAAACCACTGCTGTAAGCCCAAGAGTCCAAAAGCTGAAGAACTTGGAGTCCGATGTTCAAGGGCAGGAAGCATCCAGCACGGGAGAAAGATGAAGGCCAGAAGACTCAGCCAGTCAGCTTCTTCCACCTTCTTCTGCCTGCTTTTTCTAGCCACACTGGCAGTTGATTGGATGGTGCCTACCCAGATTGAGGGTAGGTCTGCCTCTCCCAGTCCACTGACTCAATCTCCTTTGGCAACACCCTCACAGACACACCCAGGAACAATACTTTGCATCTTTCAATCCAGTCAAATTGACACCCAATATTAACCACCATATGGGATTTTTCCATGTTGCACGGGCTGGTCTCGAATTCCTGAGCTCAAGCAATCTGTCGGCCTCAGCTTCCCAAATTGCTGGGATTACAGTGTGAGCCACTGTGCGCAGCCCCACTTTACATGCCCAACTTTTACTCGACTTTTAAAGTCCAGCTCACCTTCTTCATGAAGCTTTCCCTGACTTCCCTCATCCTTTACCCTTAAAGCAACCTGAGGTGAGGGGTGCTAGTCAACTGTGTGTGGACTGATGACTTGCAAAGAGCCAAGGTTCAGGAGGAGGAGGTAGAGAAAGCCTCAAGTTGAGAGAGCCAGACTGAAGAGGAGTTTGATTTTATAGACCGGGGGCAACTGAATAGTGCAATGGTGAAACACTTAGTGGCTAATACGCTATGGCCTTGGGAAAATTTTTGCCTTCCCTGTGCTTCAGTTTCCCATCTATTCAATGAGATTATATTAGTATCTACCTCATAAGCATGTTAAGGAAATTAAATTAATTCATAAATGCAAAGGACTAAGGGTGATGCTCCTTTAGAGCAGTTTTTGACAAGTAATGTGTACTTATTAAAGGCTTTATTTATATATTTTAATATTGTATTTGGTTAAAAGCTCAGGCTTCTCATGTGAGAAGCCCAGGGGCAGATCTCAAGGGCTCAAGTTCCATTCCACAGGAAGTTCTCACAGATGTTAAAATATGCACAGAGCAGACTGGGATATGTGAGGTAGCAAAGACTCCTGTACCATAGCAGTGTCTCTAGTAAAATTTGGATATAGAATTTGGAGCAGACATAAAAATATCTGAAAATAAATTCTTAGAATTAATAAGTGACATCATTTATATAGACCAGCAACAAACAAATAGAAAAAATTTACATGATAAAATTGACAATTGCAACAAAAGCATCAATTATGTAGAATTTAGTATAAAAACGATGTATACAACCTTCATAATGAATGCTACAGGGCATTACTGATAGAAATTTTAAAAGACCTAGAGAAATGGAGATATATATCATGTTCACAGATTGAAAGAGTCAATATTGTTTAGATGTTAATTCTCCCAAAATTGATCTACAGATCCAATATGATTCCAATAAAAATAACAGTAGGTTGTGTGTGTGTAAATTGACAAGCTGATTATGAAATTTATATGGAAATGCAAAGGGTTGAGAATAGGTAAGACTGTCCTGAAGAATAACAGAACTGGGGGCAGTTACACCGCCTTATATCAGGATTTATAAAGCCACATTAATTAAGATAGTGTGTTATTGTCACAAGGATATAAAAAATATTCCTGAACAATGAAACAGAACAGAGTCCAGAGACTGATCGAATACATGTCATTTGACTTATGTAAAAGATGAAACTGCAGAGCAGTGGAGGAAGGATGGCCTTTTTAATGGTGCTGGGCCTCACCATTCTTCTCAGACCTGAAGTTAAGCACCACTTCTTGAACTCTGCCCACAATTTGCACCAATTTGTTAATTACATCACCAAAGGAGAAAATATCAGAGGAGAGGGCTGGGGTCCTTATGTGGTTTGGATATTTGTCCCCTCCAAATCTCATTTTGAAATGTGATCCCCAATGTTGGAGGTGGGGCGTGGTGAGAGGTGTCTGGGTCAATGGGAGTGGATCCCTCATGAATGGCTTGGTGCCTTCCTTGTAGAGATTAGTGAGTAGTCACTTTGAGTTCACATGAGAACTGGTTGTTAAGGGCAGTTAGGGACCTCCCCCTTTTCTCTCTTGCCCCCTCTCTTGCCATGTGACATGCCTGTTTTCCCTTCACCTTCTGCAATGAGTGAAAGTTTCCTGGGGCCTTGCCAGAAGCTGAGCAGATGCTGGTGCCATGCTTGTGCAGCCTGCAGAATCATGAGCCAAATAAACCTCCTTTCTTTATAAATTATGCAGTCTCAGGTATTCCTGCATAGCAACACAAAATGGTCTAATACACTTCCTAAGAAACACTAACATATGAGGGACCCATGGAGAAAGGAAAGCCCAGAAAAAAGAGTAAAAAGGAGTAGTCAGAGAGGTAGGAGGCCAATCAGGACTATGTGGGGACCTGTAAGCTGAGAAAAGAGAGCATTTCCAGAAGAGAGCATCTGCTATGCCAAATGCTGCTGAGAGTAAGGAAGGTGAGAACTGAAATGAGTCCCTGAGATTTGGCTAGGTGGAAGTTGTTGATGGTTTTGAAAAAAGTTGTTTTGGTGGAGCAATGAGCTTAGCAGCCTGACTGGAGAGATTTAGGGAAAGAAGAGGTGGAACAGAAGCGGAGAGAAGGAGGCTGGGTGCAGCAGCTCACGCCTGTAATCCCAGCACTTTGGGAGGCCGAGGTGGGCGGATCACCTGAGATTGGGAGTTTGAGACCAGCCTGACCAACATGGAGAAACCCCGTCTCTACTAAAAATACAAAATTAGCCAGGCGTGGTCACGCATGCCTGTAATCCCAGCTACTCAGGAGGCTGAGGTAGGAGAATCACTTGAACCTGGGAGATGGAGGTTGCGGTGGGCTGAGATCACGCCATTGCACTCCAGCCCAGGCAACAACAGCAAAACTCCTTCTCAAAAAAAAAAAAAATGTGGAGAGAAGGAGTCTAGGCTATTATTTGGAAGAGTTTTGCTGTAAAGTGGGGCTGACACAAGGTGGGCAGCTGGAGGGACACGTAGAGTTAAGGGAAGGCGTTTTTTTTTTTGGTAAGGATATGAACAACAAGGTTGTCTTGTGCTAATGTGATGAGGCCAGTGACCATAACGAATTATGTGGCTGACTTTATTTTAAAAACATTTCACGCATTTTCTTATTTGATCCTCACCGACCCTGTGAGGTAGGTAGATGCAATTATTAACCCAAGTTTACAGCTGAGGAAACGGGCTCAGAGAGATAAAGCAACCTAGCCTAGGTTGCAGAGATAATAAGTGGCAAACTAAGTTCTGATCCCAAGCAAGTGTCACCAGAGTCTGGGCTCTTAGCCAACATACAACATTGCCTCCCAGATAAGAGGAAGTAAGTAGAAAGACTGGAGAGAAAGAAAGGCGAGAGGAAATTCGTGAGGTGCTGAAAGTCTGAAGATCCTGGGAACCAGTACCCAGGGAAGGGATTGACCTAGGATGGAGAGAGGGTGGACCTCTCTCTAAGTGAGACACACAGCTAGGAAGTGGCTGTGATGTTTAATATTGAGTGTCAATTTCACTGGATTGATGGATGCAAAGTATTGTTCCTGGGTGTGTCTGTGAGGGTGTTGCCAAAGGAGATTAACATTTGAGTCAGTGGGCTGGGAGAGGCAGACCCACCCTCAATCTGGGTAGGCACCATCCAATCAGCTGCCAGCATGGCTAGGATAAAAGCAGACAGAGGAACGTGGAAGAACTAGACTGGCTTAGTCTCCCAGCTTCCATCTTTTTCCTATGCTGGATGCTTCCTGCCCTCAAACATCAGACTCCAAGTTCTTCAGCTTTTGGACTCTTGGACCTTCAACCACAGACTGAAGGCCGCACTGTCAGCTTCCCTACTTTTGAGGTTTTGGGACTCAGACTGACTTCCTTGCTTGTCAGCGTGCAGATGTCCTATTGTGGGACTTCACCTTGTGATCATGTGAGTCAATACTCCTTTATAAGTTCTCTTTCATATATACATCTATTCTATTAGTCCTGTCCTCTGGAGAACCCTGACTAATACAGAATTCAAACCCAGGACTCACTGCAGAGAGTGGATTGGAGAAAACAGAAAATGTCTTCGTGGGCTTGTAGATGAGAAGCAAGGCCTGGTTTACTCAATCATGTCAAACGTGAGGCTGCTTTAGGATAACCCAGAGGAAGCAGGTGTTATTTTTCTTTTCTTTTTTTTTTTTTTAAGCAGCCAGCTTCCATGCACAGAGAAGGCAGCTGGGAGGCAAGGGATCAGTGCTCAACTTCAACTCTGCCACTGACTCACTGAGGGACCAGCAAGTACATTGTCCTCAGCATCCATCTAAGCTCAACCTCTCTTATCTGTCTTGCAGCCTATGCAACACAATCACAAGTAAGTGACCACTCCAACTTTCTGTTTTACTTTAGGCCCTCTAAGATCATCCGGGCAGGTCCACCCTATCCCAGGTCTCCCACTTTCGTTAATGCAGCAAATAATTAATTGCCTTCTTTTTACTTTCTTTTCCTCTCTCTCTCTTTAATTTTGAGACAGGCTCTCGCTCTGTCACCCAGGTTGAAGTGTAGTGGCACGATCTCAGTTCACTGCAGCTTCAAACTCCTGGGCTCAAGCCATCTTCCTGCCTCAGCCTTCAGAGGAGCTAGGACCACAGGCACCTGGTTTGATTGCCTTCTTTGTGTTAGGCACTACACTAGTGGCTGGGAATCTAGGGGTGAACAAGTCAGACAAGATCTATGCCATCAGGAAGCCTGTGGTCTGCAGGGGGCCACAGGCCACTAAGAAGCAACTTCACAAGATGCTTGCATGAAAGACTGTTATGAGTGCTATGAGATTAAAGAACAGAATACCGTCCTGGAGAGAATGAAAGGATGGCTGAGCTACTGCCAACAGGATGGTCAAGGATGGTGTCTCTTGAGGAAGTGATGTTTGAACAGAGACTTGGATGTTGTGAAGGAGACAGTTATGTGATGATCTGTGGACAGAGCATTCCAGGTTTGGGAAATGGTAGTAATAAAAGTGCTGAGGCAGGAACAAACTTCACGTGTTAGAGGGATGGCAAGAAAACCAGTGTAGCTGGGTGGAGAGAGTGAGAAGGAGAGAGGGAGATGAGGTCATAGAGGAGATAGCCAAATAATGGCTTCCCCACAAGATGACCACACCTTAATTCCTGGAACCTATGAATATGTTAGGTTGCATAGCAAAAGGGACTTTGCTGAGGTGATTAAGGTCACAGGCCTTAACATAGGGAGATTCATCCTGGATTAACCAAGTGAGTTCAGTCATGTCAAATGAGCCCTTAAAAGCAGGGACTTTTTCTGGCTGGAGTCAGAAAAGATGCAGTAGAAGTCAGAGAGATTCAAAGTGTGAGAGCGACTGGACATACCATTGCTGGCTCTAAGTTGTAGGGATCATAGTCAAGGGCCGGAGAGCAGTCTCTGTGAGCTAAGAGTAGTTCCTGCCTGACAGCCAGCAAGAAAATGGGGACCTTAGTCTTATAACAGCAAGGAACTGTACTCTGCCAACAACCTGAATGAGCTTGGAAGCAGATTCTTCCCACAGTTTCCTGATAAGAGCCCAGCCCACCAACACCTTGATTTTAGCCTTGTAAGACTCAGAGCAGAGAAACTAGTTGAGTCCCCTCAGACTTCTTCTCCCCTCCAGAATGTGAGATAGTAAATCTGTGTTGTTTTAAGCCACTGAGTTTGTGGTAGTTTTTATAGCAGCCACAGGAAACTAATACACCATGGTAAGGACTTTAGATTCAATCTAAGTGTCCGGGGAAGCCACTGGGAGGCTTTAAGCAGAGAAGTGACATGATTTGATTTCCATTTTCAAAGTTCACCATGGCAGCTGTGGGGCAAATGGACTGCAAAGGAGCAAGAGTGGAGGTTGGGAGCTGAATTAGGCTTTTGCAGTTGGTCAGCAGACAGGTGATGATGGCTTGGACAAGGGGGTGGCAGTTAGGGTGGAGAAAAGTAAGCAGATTCAAGATATGTTTTGGAGTTAGAAACTCAATGACGAATATATGCAAAGATGGAGGGAAAGATCAAGAATAACATTCTGGTTTGAGCAACTGGATGGATTATGGAGCCATTTCCTGAGATGCGGAAAACTAGATGAAGTGCGGGTTTTTTTTTTTCTAGGGCGGGAGCTGGGCAGGGTTCAGAGCAGTGGATGGGCAGAGAGCTGAGAAGGAAGACAATGGGCTCAGTGTGGGCATGTGTGTGGAGTTTCGGGTCGGCAGCTAGATGTCAGGGTTGGATCTGAGGGGAGAGAATAGCTTGTGATTTCTTGGACCAGCCAATCAGAAAGCTTCCTGGATTCCTCTAGACCTCCCCAGTTGTGGCTTCAGGTGGAGCTGTCTGTAGAAACTCCAGGTTGGTAGGTGACAAATAATAGTGACTCCTCTTCCTGAGTCCTGGCATTCCTTACTCAAGGAACACTCAGCGGCCTGAACATGTTGAGGAATATTTTTTGTGTGTGGCCAGAAAGCCTACAGAAGGCAAAGAGGCATGGGGGGTTGACGGCCTTCTCCATTGCCAGGGGTGGCATGCAGGTGGGCAGTAACTCCCCATTCCTGGGTCACTGAAGGGACCAGGATCCATTCTCCAGATGGAGAATGCAATAGGCTCTGGGACTTCTGGCAGCTCCCACCTGACCTCTGCTTGCTCTGGTACAAGCACAGTGTTGAAGCCCAGAGGAGGTCTTCCTGGACCAAGTCCTAATTATTCCAGGCATGTCCATGATGCCATAATTTTTTAAATTTAATTTTATTTTTATTATACTTTAAGTTCTAGGGTACATGTGCACAATGTGCAGGTTTGTTACATATGTATACATGTGCCATGTTGGTGTGCTGCACCAATTAACTCGTCATTTACATGATGCTATAATTCTAAATAAGGTGTCATCCTGGTGTGGGAGGTCCCTGGGCCAGCCAAGGAGACCCAGCCATTCCTGTGATGCCTCACCACATCACAGGGGGGAAGGCTGGGGAAATCTAAGGAAATGTAAGGAAGATGGTACTATTTTCTCTCCTCTCTACCCTATCAATGGCCCTGGATTGCCCATGCAAGCACAGCCTGGGAGTAGACACAAAGCCACTGAAGACAGTTGTTCCACATCTCTGGAATTCGCAAGCCATTTTCTGCTTGAAGCCAGAAATAAGGATAGCACATTGGCATTCTTCCTCAGAACCTCCTGGACCTGCTGACCAGGCAGAGCCCTCACCCAGACTCCCTATCAGGGTAGGAGAATTAGACACAATTTAAGGCACCAACCAGTTCACAGAACTCATGCTGGTCTTTACTCTAACGTCAAAGGACAGCCACAGAGCTGACTCCCTGTCCCATGGGCTATGAATCTTGCTATCAGCTTTGAGTCTTCTGTCATCAACTGTACTACCCTTATTGTAGCAGCCATCTACAGGCTTCTGGATCATTCTCCTTCATTTCTTGGGAATCCACAGGTAAACAAGCTAGACACTGACCCCCAGTTAGCCCTGGCTCACCATCACTCTCTCTAACACTACTCCTTCCATAATTCTTGGTTATAACCACACAGATGATTCTTCCAATATTCTGGCTTCTCCTTTCCTTGAACTTCTTTCTCTGAATGATCTTGTCCATCACTTGCATCAGCCAGAGTCTATTCAGGAAACAAAAACATGACAGTTATTTGAACAGATAATTGTGAAGTAGGTATAAAGTTGTTAACCGGGTAACTGAAAGTGTAAAAGCAGGTACCATGGAGGCAACTGCAGGAAGCAGCTCCCATCCCGGGGCTAAGGGAACAGAGGGGATAATTACAACTTAGAAACTTATAAGAGGAGTCCTGTGAACCTGGATCAAGACCTCTGAGGATGCAGTGTGGATGGTGGGTGCTACTGTCTTTAAGCTTGGAAAAGAGTCCCAGGCAGCTGGGACTCAGACCTCAGAGGGGGGTGCTGGCTAATGCTGATGTCACTGAATTTGGAGGAGGACCTATGGGGCTGGGACCTAGACCTCTGAGGAGGGAACTCTGGGTGGCTTTTTCTCTCTTTCTGAGCTCAGTGGAGGGGACCAGATCTCTAAGTGTGCATGCATGTTCGGCAATAGGAAGGTTGGGGTGGGAAGGATGCACCAGTTGCAAAACATCACACTCTGCTGCTTTTTCTCTTTTCGCTGGCAGCTCATTCACCGTCTCCTTTGCTGCCTCCTCCTTATCTCCTCATACCTTGAACTTCTCTTTTGCGTCTCCACTCACTACCTTGATGTTCTCGCCTTGTCTCATGCCTTTAAATACACTTACTATTCTGTTGCCTTCCAGATTTATATTTCTAACCCAGTTAAGACTCTTATCTTACTGCCTACTCAACATCTCCACTCAGATATTCAACACTTTTATCTCAAACAAATGTGCATGCCCCAAAGCGAGCTCCTGACAAATACTCCCCTCAACCTGCTCTTCCTGCTGTTTCCCTAGCCTCAGTAAATGGCAACTCCATTCCTTCATTGGGTCAGGCTCAAAACTTTTAAGCCATTGTTGACTCCACTCCTTATCTCATGCCCTACCTCTAATCCATCAGCAAATTTGGTCAACTCTACCATCAGAACACATTCAGAGCACAGTCACTTCTCACTACCATACTGCTATCCTCCCGGGTTGAGAAACCACCATCTCTCATCTGGACCATTGCAATAGCTAATTGCTTCTCCTTTAGGCTCCTGTAGCAAACTGGCCACTAAGATTGGAACTCCCTCTTCTGTCGTAGGGAGTTGTTGCTGGGAAGTGGCTGTCCAGACGGGAATATTTCCCAAGTTTTTGTCTATTCAGGTGGGACCATATGAATTGTTTTCACAATTGGGATATCAGCAGAAATAAGATAAGTCATGTAAAAAAGATGACCATTATCTTATTTATAAGTAATAAGAAAATAAGATAACCAGTAATAAGGAAAAAGAGAACCGTCTGGGTCAAGGTGGTTTAGAAGCAGGTGTTTCTTGTTTCTTCTTCCTCTACCTCTGTGGCTCAAAACTGAGAGTGATTTTGCCCCACCCCTGCCAGGGCACATTTGGCAATGCCTGGAGACACTTTTCATTTTCATGAGTCGGGGGTGGGGGGATGTGTTACTGGCATTTAGTGGGCAATGGTGAGGATGCTGCCAAACATCCTACAGTGTCCAGGACAGCTCCCCCAAACAAAGAATTATCCAGCTCAAAATGTCAATAGTGCTGAGGGTGAGAAACCCTATAGGATAAAATCTTTAGACCCTAGTGGGTGGTAAAACCACAAAATCAAAAGAACTTGGTTTCCTGAATAACTATGTGGAAGACCATCCTCAAACCCAGAATGCTCACGTCGGACTGCTAAAGTGAATTAAACCACTGAAATGTTTAGGTTTATTTGTTAATTAAAACACTCCCTTAAGTCATTCTCAACATAGCAGGCAGAATGATCCTGTTGAAACATAACTCAGGTTACATCACTCTTCTGTTTAGAAACTCCCAATGTCTTCCCGTCACAGTCCAAGTAAAAGCTAAAGTCCTCATGATGGTCTAAAATGCCCTATGTGATCTGGCTTCCCAATATTCTCCCGACCACGTCTCCTACCCCTTTTCCCTATGGTACTGTGCTCCAACTAACCTGGTCTCTTTGCCTTCTTGAACCCTCTAGGCGGCTTCCAACCTTAGGGTCCTTGCATGGGCTATTCCCTTTGTTGTAAATGCCCTTCCCCCAGACAACCACACGGTGTCCTCTCTCAGCTTCTTAAAAAAATTATAATTTTTTTTACTTCCACATAATCAGTGGAAGCATTTAGTCATTCTATTAATCATTTATTTCATGTTTAACTCTTATTACATCTAAATTTAAAAGTATTGCTAAGAAGTTGTGAAGGTTTGGGAAGGAGGAGTCTCTAGATTCTCGTTCTTTTTAAAAAATACTTTCTAAAAATTAAAAAAAGTTTCAATAGCTTTTGAGGTACACATGGTTTTTGGTTACATGGATGAATTGCATAGTGGTGAAGTCTGAGATTTTAGCACTCCTGTCACCTGGGTAGTGTACATTGTACCCAATATGTACACTACCCTGTACATATTGCCCTGCTTTTGAGTCTCTATAGTTCATGATACCACTCACTATGCCTTTGCGTATCCATACCTTAGCTCCTGTTTATAAGTAAGAATATACAGTATTTGGTTTTCCATTCCTGACCTACTTCACTTAGAATAATAGCCTCCAGCTCTATCCAAGTTGCTGCAAAAGACATTATTTCATTCTTTTTATGGCCAAGTAGTATTCCATGGTGCATATATACCACTTTTTGTTATTCACTCATTGGCCTCCAGTGTCATCCATGTTACTGCAAAGGACATGATCTCATTCTTTTTATGGTTTTGTAGTATTCCAGAGTGTATATGCACCACATTTTTTTTATCCAGTCCACCATTGATGGGCATTTGGGTTGATTCCACACCTTGGCTGTTATGCTGCAGCGAACATACGTGTTCATGTGTCTTTATGGTAGAATGATTTATATTCCTTTTGGTATATACCCAGTAATGAGATTGCTGAGTTGAATGGTAATTCTGTTTTAAGTCCTTTAAGAAATCACCAAACTGCTTTCCACAATGGCAGAACTAATTCACACTCCCACCAACAGTGTATAAGTGTTCCCTTTTCTCTGCAACCTTGCCAGCATCTGTTGTTTTTTGACTTTTTATTAACAGCCCTTCTGACTGGTGTGAGATGGTGTCTCATTGTTCTTTTGATTTGCGTTTCTCTAATGATTAGTGATGTTGAGCATTTTTTCATATGCTTGTTGGCCATATGCATGTCTCCTTTTGAAAAGTGTCTATTCATGTCATTTGCCCACTTTTTTATTAGGTTGTTCATTTTTTTCTTGTTAATTTGTTTAAGCTCCTGATAGATTATGGATATTAGACTTTTGTTGAATTCATAGTTTGAAAATTTTTCTCCCATTCTGTCGGTTGTTTACTCCGTTGATAGTTTCTTTTGCTGTGCAGAATCTCTTTAGTTTCCTTAGGTCTCATTTGTTCATTTTAATTTTTGTTGCAATTGCCTTTGGCATCTTCGTCATGAAATCTTTGCTGGGCCCTATGTTCAGAATGGTATTTCCTGCATTATCCTCCAGGGGTTTTATAGTTTGAGGTTTTATATTTAAGTCCTTAATCCCTCTTGAGTTGATTTTTGTATATGGTGTCAGGAAGGGGTCCAGTTTCAATCTTCTGCTTATGGCTAGCCAGTTATCCCAGTATCATTTATTGAATAGGGAGTCCTTTTCTCATTGCTTGCTTTTGTCAGGTTTATCAAAGATCAGATGGTTGTAGGTGTGTGGCATTATTTCTGTGCATCTATTCTGTTCTATTGGTCTATGTGTCTGCTTTTGTACCCGTACCATGCTATTTTGGTTACTGTAGCCTTGTAGTATAGTTTGCAGTCAGGTAACGGGATGCCTCCAGCTTTTTTCTATTTGCTTAGGATTGCCTTGGCTATTTGAGCTCTTGAGCTCTTTTTTGGTTCCATATGAATTTTAAAATTGTTTTTTTTCCAATTCTGTGAAGAATGTCATTGGTAGTTTGATAGGAATAGCAAATTGAATCTATACATTGCTTTGGGCAGTATGGCCATTTTGACAATATTGATTGTTCCTATCCATGAGCATGAATGTTTTTCCATTTGTTTGTGTTATCTCTGATTTCTTTGAGCAGTGGTTTGTAGTTCTCCTTGAAGAGGTCCTTAACTTCCCTTTTTAGCTGTATTCCTAGGTATTTTATTTTATTGTGGCTATTGGGAATGGGATTGTGTCTTTGATTTGACTCTCTTCTTGGATGTTGTTGGTGTATAGAAATGCTACTGATTTTTGTACATTGATTTTGTATCTTGAAACTTTGCTGAGGTTATCAGATATAGGAGTTTCTGGGCAGAGATTATGGGGTTTTCTTGGTATAAAACCATATCATCTGCAAAGAGATAATTTTACTTCCTCTCTTCCTATTTGGATGCCTTTTATATTTTTCTCTTGCCTGATTGTTCTGGCTAGGCTTCCAGTATTATGTTGAATAGGAATGCTAAGTAGAGCATCCTTGTCTTGTTCCAGTTTTTAAGGGGGATGTTTCCTGCTTTTGCCCATTTAGTATGATGTTGGCTGTGGATTTTTTAATAGATGGCTCTTATTATTTTGCAGTATGTTCTTTGATGCCTCATTTGTTGAAGGTTTTTAACATGAAGAGACATTGATTTTTTTCAAAAGCCTTTTCTGCACCTATTGAGATAATCAGGTGGTTTTTGTCTTTAGTTCTGTTTATGTGATGAATCACATTTATCGATTTGTGGAAGTTAAACCAACCTTGCATCCCAAGGATAAAGCCTACTTGATTGCAGTGGATTAGCTTTTTGATTTGCTGCTGGATTCAGTTTGCTATTATTTGGCTGGGGATATTTGCATCTATGTTCATCAAGGGTAATGGCCTAATGTTTTCTTTTTGTGTTGCATCTCTGCCAGGTTTCAGTGTCAGGATGATACTGGCTGGCCTCATAGAATGAGTTAGGGAGGTGTCTCTCCTCCTTGATTTGTTTGGAATAGTTTCAATAGGAATGGTACCAGCTCTTCTTTATACATCTGGTACAATTAAGCTGTGAATCCGTCTGGTTCTGTTTTTTTTTTTTTTTCTTTCTTTCTTCTTCCTTTTTTTTTTTTTTTTGATTGGCAGGCTTTTTGTTACTGCTTCAATCTGGGAACTCGTTATTGGTCTGTTCAGGGATTTAGCTTTTTCCTGGTTCAGTCTTGGGAGGTTAGATGTGTCCAAGAATTTGTTCATTTCTTCTAGGTTCTTTAGCTTGTGTGCATCGAGGTGTTGAGAGTAGTCTCTGAGGGCTTTTGTATTTCTGTGGGGTCAGTGGTAATGTCCTCTGTCATTTCTGATTGTGTTTATTTGGCTCTTCTCTCTTTTTTTCTGGTATATCTTATTAATTTTTTCAAAAAATTAACTCCTGGATCCCTTGATCTTTTGCATTTTTTGCATCTCAATTTTCTTCAGTTCAGCCATGATTTGCGTTATTTCTTGTGTTCTGGTAGCTTTGGGGTTGGTTTGCTCTTGTTTCTCTAGTTCCATTAGTTGTGACATTAGCTTGTTGATTTGAGAACTTTCTAACTTTTTGATTTGGGTGTTTAGTGCTCTAAATTTCCCTCTTAACACTGCCTTAGCTGTGTTCCAGAGATTCTGTTATGTTGTATATTTGTTCTCATTAGTTTTGAAGAATTTCATGATTTCTGCCTTAATTTTGTTATTTATTCAAAAATCATTCAGGAGCAGGTTGTTTGATTTCCATGTAATTATATGGTTTTGAGTGATTTTCTTAGTATTGATATCTATTTTTATTGCACTGTGATTTATTGTCTGAGAATGCGGTTGGTACTTCAGTTTTTTTAAATTTATTGAGAATTGTTTTATGTCTGATTCTGTGGTCGATTTTAGAGTATGTGCCATGTGCAAATGAGAAAAATGTATATTTTGTTGTTTTGGGGTATTCTATAGATGTCTATTACATGCATCCAGTCAAGTGTTGGAGTTCAGGTCCTGAATATCTTCATTAGTTTTCTGCCTCGATGATCTGCCTAATACTGTCAGGGGGGTGTTGAAGTCTCCCACTATTATTGTGCCATCATGTAAGTCTCTTTGTAGGTCTCTGAGGACTTGCTTTATGAATTTGGGTGCTCCTGTGTTGGGTGCATATATATTTAGGATAGTTAGTTAGATCTTCTTGTTGAATTGCGCGCTTTACCATTAGGTATTGCCCTTCTTTGTCTTTTTTGATCTTTGTTGGTTTAAAGCCTGATTTGTCTGAAATTAGTGCTGTAACTCCTGCTTTTTTCTGTTTTCCATTTGCTTGGTAGATTTTTCTACATGTCTTTATTGTGAGCCTATGAGTGTCACTGCATGTGAGATGGGTCTCTTAAACACAGCATAAAAGAAGCAAAAAGGGTCTTGCTTCTTTATTCAGCTTGCCACTCTGTACCTCTTAACTGGGGCATTTAGTGTGTTTATACTCAAGGTTAGTATTGATCTGTGTGAATTCATTCCTGTCATCATGTTGTTAGCTGATTACTAAGCAGACGTATTTTTTGTAGTTGTTTTATAGTGTCACTTATCTATATACTGAAGTGTGTTTTTGTAGCAGCCAGTAATGGTCTTTACTTTCCATGTTCAGCACTCTCTTCAGGACCTCTTGAAAGGTAGTTCTGGTGGTAATGAAATCCCTTAGCATTTGCTTACACAAAAAGCATCTTATTTCTTCTTCATATTTGAAGCTTAGTTTGGTCGGATGTGAAATTCTTGGTTGGAAATTCTTTTCTTTAAGAATGCTAAATATAGGCCCCCATTCTTTTCTGGCTTTTAGGGTTTCTGATGAAAGGTCCACTGTTAGCCTGATGGGGTTCCCTTTGCAGGTGACCTGCCCCTTCTCTGTAGCTACCTTTAACATTTTTTCTTTCATTTGAACCCTGGAGAATCTGAGGACAATGTGTCTTTGAGATGGCTGTCTTGTGTAGTATCTCATAGGGGTTCTCTGCATTTCCTGAATTTGAATGTTGGCCTCTCTAGTGAAGTTGGGGAAATTTTCATAGATGATATGCTGAAGTATGTTTTCCAAGTTGCTCTCTCTGTTTCAGGGATACCAATGGGTCATAAATTTGGTCTCCTTACATGATCCCATATTTTTCAGAGGTTTTGTTCATTATTATTTATTGTTCATTTTTGTCTGAGTTGTTTCAGAGAACTGGTCTTCAGGTTCTGAGATTCTTTCCTCAGCTTGGTCAGTTCCACTGTTAATACTTGCAATTGTATTCTGGAATTCTTGAAGTGAGTTTTTCAGCTCTGTCAGCTCAGTTTGATTCTCTCTTTCTCTCTCTCTTTTTTTTTTTTTTTTTGAGATGGAGTCTCACTCTGTCACCCAGGCTGGAGTGCAGTGGCACGATCTCGGCTCACTGCAACCTCCACCTCCCAGCTTCAAGCGATTCTCCTGCCTCAGCCTCCTGAGTAGCTGGGACTACAGGTGCCTGCCACCACGCCCTGCTAATTTTTGTATTTTTAGTAGAGACAAGGTTTCACCATGTTGGCCAGGCTAGTCTCGAACTCCTGACCTGAGGTGATCTGGCCACCTTGGCCTCCCAAAGTGCTAGGATTACAGGCGTGAGCCACTGCACCCGGCCAATTCTTTCTTATAATGGTAATTTCATCTTTCATCTCCTGTATTGTTTTATTGTTTTTCTTAGGATCCTTGGATTGGGTTTTGACTTTCTTCTGAATCTCAATGATCTTCATCTCTATCTATATTCTGAATTCTATTTCTGTCATTTTAGCCATTTCAACAGAAGTGAGGAACCATTTCTGGGAAACTAGTGCAGTCGTTTGGATGTAAAAAGACACTCTGACTTTTTGAGTTGCCAGAGTTCTTGCACTGGTTCTTTCTCATCTATGTGGGCTGATGTCCCTACAATCTTCGACATTACTGTCCTTTGGATGTATTTTTTTTTTTTTTGCTTTTATCTCCTTTGATGCCCTTGAGCATTTAATTGTGATATAAGATAGATTCAATAGACTAGCTTCATTTCTGGTAGATTTTTTGTGTGTGTGTAAGGTCAAGGCTTGGCTCAGCACTCCTGGACTGTGTGCTCTAACTCTGGAGGGCTGGTACTGGGCCTCCAGCTTTATTCATTGGTCCCTCAACATTGGGACCCTGCTGTGCTTGAAGGGGCCAAGGTGTTCCTGGGCCACTGGCCACAGAACTCCAAAGGGTGGTGCCAGCCAAAGCACCTCATTGGGTGGTAGCAGTGAGATCTGTGTGCATTCCAATGTGCTTACAGTAATGGCAGTGCAGTGGGGTGCATGCTCATTGGTTGGGGTGGGATACTGATAAGTCTGGGATTACCAGCTTCCTTGCAGTCATTGGCAACAGCAGCAGTGGCAGCTAGCAGTGGGGGGACGTGGCAACTGGGGTCCATGTGCCCATTTGCACCCATGGCAGTTTCAGTGTGGGGGAATGGGTGCTGGCCGGTGTGGGGCTGCCAACCTTTGTGCCCACATCCAGACCAGTGGTGGTTGTGGCATGGGATGGGGGCAGGGCCACTGGTGTGAGTCTATGCGCTGGCAATGGTGGCAAGGTGGCACAGTGGCAGGGGAGTGGGTGCATTCATGCCAGTGGCAATGGCACCATGGGTGCACGTGCACCCATGAGCTGATGCAGAAGAAAAGACGAGGCCTGTCCATTCACATGTGCACCAGCAAAGCAATGGGGGAAGTGGCCATGGGTGAGTGCATGCCAGCAAAGTGGCACATGGGAGGCTGCAGTGGGAGAAGGATGCGGGTATGCTGGTGCACGTCGGCAGGGGCCACTCTGCTGGAGCTCTCTGATGGTCAGGTGTGGTCTGCCAGCACAGAAGCTATGATGTGGTTCCCTGGGAGGCACCCTGGTTGGGCATCTGAGGCTTCACTGCAAGCAGGCATGGCCAGGTTGTGGCCTTGGGAGAGGCCAGCAAACAGAAGGGTGCTCAGGTCAGACTAGCCCTGTCTCATGGGCAAGATTGTCCTGCTCTGTTTGGGTCTGACAGTTCACCTAAGGCTGGAATCTCTGAAGGGAGCATGGTGAGTGCTTTGGGGGATGGACATCTCTGGTCATGTTTCCCTGCAGATGTTCTAGCACCAAACTCTCTGGGCTCTGCACAGGCTGGAGTCCTGCCCCTACCACTTCTCCAAGCAGTTCTCCCTGCCAGCTCAAGTGTCTGTGCCAGTCGTGGGATCTCCTGCTGCCAGGATTCCAGAAGTCCGTGGAGAGAGTGGGTCGTTCCTCATCTGCTCAACTCACCCCAGAAGTCACTGGGGGCCAGGAACGAATCCTGGTGTGCGGTAGTCTGTGCACGGCTCCCAACTTCCTCCCGCTTCAGCACAGCATCTGTGTCCTCCCTCTCAATGCCTTCCTTCTAATGATCTTCTCAGAGTGTGCCAGTCTTACTGGTGTCTTGGTCCCTCGGTGGCAGATGTTCCTCCTAGCTGCATCTAGTCAGCCATCTTGCCTCCCCTGTCATCATTTCCCACATTCCAGGATGTCCCAGTATCCTCAATACAGATGTCCCAGTATCTGCAGGTCACAGGGAGACTGAAGCTGTGGGCCTCACCAAGCAGAGTCTCTCCCTCTCTTTCAGGGGCACCAATAAGTTGTACATTTGGTCTCCTTATGTAATCCCATATTTCTTGGAGGTTTTCTTCGTTCTTCTTTAATATTTTTTGTTTATTTTTGTCTGCTGAGTTATTTTGGAGAACTGGTCTTTGAGCTCTGAGATTCTTTCCTCAGCTTGGTCGATTCTGCTATTAATACTTGTAATTATATTTTGAAGTTCTTGAAGAGAGTTTTTCAGCTCTATCAGATCAGTTTGGATCTTTTCTTTTTCCTTTCCTTTCCTTTCCTTTCCTTTCCTTTCCTTTCCTTTCTCTTTCCCTTTGCTTTCCTTTTTTTCTTTTCTTTTCTTTTTTTTCTTTCTTTTCTTTCTTTTTTTCTTACAGGGTCTATCATCCAGACTGGAGTGCAGTGGTGCAAACATGGTTGACTGCAGTCTTGACCTCTCTGGACTCAGTTGATCCTCCCACCTCAGCCTCCTGAGTAGTCAGGACCACAGGCGTGCACCACAACGCCAGCTATTTTTTGTACTTTTTTGTAGTGACAGGATTTTGCTATGATGGTTAGGCTACTCACGAACTCCTGAGTTCAGGCAATCCACCTGTCTTGGCCTCCCAAAGTGCTGGGATTACAGGTGTGAGCCACCACACCTGCCTGATTCTTTCTCAAAATGGCCATTTTGTCTTTCGTCTCCTGTATTATTTTATTGCTTTCCTTAGATTCCTTGGATTTGGTTTTGACTTTCTCCTAGATCTCAATGATCTTCATTCCTATCTATATTCTGAATTCTATTTCTGTCATTTTAACCATTTCAACCTGGTGAGGAACCATTTCTGGGGAACTAGTGCAGTCATTTGGATGTAAGAAGATACTCTGACTTTTTGAGTTACCAGAGTTCTTGTGCTGGCTCTTTCTCATCTGTGTGTGCTGATGTCCCTTCAATCTTTGACACTGCTGTCCTTTGGATGCTTTTTTTCCCTTTTATCTCCTTTGATGCCCTTGGGCATTTGATTGTATGAGGTGGGTTCACCTTATACAAGGATATAAGGTGGGTTTAGTCAACTGGCTTTATTTCTGGAAGATTTTAGGGGGCCAAGGCTCAGCTCAGCACTCCTGGACTGCATGCGCTAATTCTGGGGGCTGGTACTAGGCCCCAGGTTTGTTCTCTGGCCCCTCAAAGTTAGGAACCTGCTGATCTGGAAGGGCCGAGGTGTTCCTGGACCACTGTCCACAACACTCCAATGGGTGGTGCTGGCCAAAGTACTTCACTGGGACAGTGGCAGCAAGATCTGTGCTCATTTGCATGTGCCAGCAGCAGCGTGGTGGGGTACACGCTCATTGGCTGGGGTGGGCGCTGGCAGGCACGGGACTGCTGGCCTCCGTGCATGTATTGGCAGCAGCGGCTGTAGCTTGAGCAGCGTCACTGGCCTCGGTGTGTGCCTTTGCAATGGGGGCAATGTCTGCATGGGGATGGGATACTGGCTGCCACAGGGCTGCTGGCCTCCTTGCATGCATTCATGCTGACAGTGGTAGTGGCGTGAGGTGCAGGTTGTGGGCCAGGGTTGCTATCTCAGCTTCTTGAAATCATTGCTTAAATGTCACTCATGGGCCCTTTTCCAAATATCCTATTAAAATTCCAACTCCTTGCCACGCCTGTACCCTGCCTAATTTTTTTTCCATAGCACATCTTGCCATCTGACATACTATGTATTTTACTTATTTAATTGTCTGTCTGCCTTAACTAAAGAGAAGCTCCATGAGGGAAGAGATTTGGTATCTTCTGTTCATAACTGTATCCTTAGTAACTAGAAAAGTGCCTAGCTTAATGCTACCATTGAATGAATGAGTGAGTGAATAGTACATGAATAAGGCCATCTGTGTGCTTGCTGGGCCCAGCTGACAGAGGTAAAGTGGAGTGACGGGCTTTTGGAGCTGGCAGACAGGTTCCCACCATTGTTTCTCAGACCCACCCTCTTCCATTGCTCTGGGTAACAGTATTGGAGAGGACTGAGGAGTAGGTGGTTAGTGCTCACTGCTTTCTCCAGCATGATCTCTGGTTGTCAAGAGGACACAGGGTATGGGGCAGAGGATGGAGTTGACAGGACAGTTGTAGCAGGAGGATCTGCATGGGTGCTTGTCCCCAAGATCCTTAAAGTCCCCAATGGACCTATGTGCCTGGTACCTATGGGCACATGCTCTGCCTTGCTTTGAGGTGTGGAGGGGATCCTCAGGGGTTTTTGTTGGGGAGGGTACACAGATTCTCCAGGTATTAGTAGGCTACTAGAGAGGGGGCACTCAGGCTTCAGGGAAGTCATGGCTGCTGTGAAATATTGTGTCATAGGTGAAGGGGACAATCAGTCATCTCAGACCAATTTGGGCAGAGATAGATAGGCAGGACAGCTGTGCGACCCGGGAGATGTGGGGGATAGTGGCAGCAGTGTCTTGAGATTCTGTTGTGTGTGCATACACACGTACTCCTTACAATGAACCTGTGAGGTAAGTACTGATACCATCTTTGCTTTTTTAAAGAGAAAACTGAAGCGCAGAGAGGTTAAGTACTTTGCTCAGTCTCACACAGCTAATAAGTGGGAGAGTCAGGATTTGAATCCAGGCAGTTGGGCTGGGTCAAGAGTCACACTCTTAGCCATCACTCTACCGCTTCTCATGATGAGCCCAGAACTGGATGTATTCATTTGCTGGTAAGGAGAGAAACTATTTTCTGTTAGGTGCAGACCATTCTTACGGTGGTGCTGGGTACCTAATTCAGGCCTACCTGACTATATTGTCTTTGGTTCAGCCAGGGATGGAGAAGGGGGTGACAGGTCTTAGATATGTGTGTGTGAATGGGAAGGTCTATGAAGAGGACTTTGCAGAATGGGGATGTGATTCAAGAGGACTTTGCAGAATGGGGAGGTTGAGTGACAGGCTTCCCCTGGAGACAAGACACCCCTACTGGAGAGAAGGATAGTGTCTGGAACTCATAGAGGCCCAGTACTCAGGATGAAGTATGCGATCGTGGCAAGGATACCTCTCCATCTAAGATGGTGTTGTGACCTTGGAAAGGTGGTCATATCTGTGATGACATCAGTGGTATTGTCCTGAAGAAGGGGGAGTTAGGACTTGGTATTGTAGTCTTTAAGGTTCTCCAGGTCTGCCTTTGGACTGAGTTCTGGTATAACTAGTGGTGGCATCCTGGAAGACACCAGTACCATTAAAGAATACTGTGACAGACTCAGGGTTCCCAGTGGCCTCCAGAGCCATGTGCTGAGTGTCAAATAGGCCTGGGTGGCTTGCTAAGGTGGAAATAGCATGGTGTGCTTGCTTTCCCCACCAGGACTTACAGCTGGCTCTTGCGGAAATTATATCATGCCATGCCTCACACCTTGCTCCTTCAGAGCATACGCTGGAGTGGTAAGCATATTGATCAGACACTGGTGTTTGCCTGGCTGTGTTGCCTCAAACATCCATCACCACAGCTGAATGGCCCCATTGTTATCAGACCATAGGCTTCCAGGGCTGTGGAGGCTCCTGCTGTCTCTTGGAGTGATGGCTTTGGTGAAAAGCATCTGGGTGGTGATTTTGGCTACTCACACAGATTATCTGTGGAAGCTGAATCTCTGGACAAATTACCTACTCCCCAGGACAGGCTGAGCTTTGGTGTTGATCTTACTGCTGCTGCCTCTGACCATGGAGAAGACATGGGCCTCTCTCCTGGTGCCAGGCAGATCACTAGCCTCAGCCAGGCAGTTTCTGTGAGAAGCTGGCTCAGGTACAGGCCCCTGAGTCCTGATACTCTGCAATTGCCTCGAAGAGCTGACTTCCATGACTTTCTGAGTTTAGTCAGGGTGGAGAGTAACATTTCTCAAGTCCTGGAACATCTACCAGGGTAAGACTGCAGGTAGTCTTTTTCCATCTCTGGGAGACGTGCTTTCAGGCTGGGTGGGTGAGGGGAGCTGCAGTGGCAACTTTTTCTCCTCCCAGCACTCAGGCCAGTGGCCATGGGCATTTGGGAAGAGCCCTGGCTAATTGCTGCCAGCTTCTTCTCAGCCAACCCTTCCCGTTGCCAAGTTCACTTCATCTCAGACATGGAAATGTCCTCAGGTCACTCTGCTCACCATCATTTTGCCAAAACCTTTCCCCCCAGGTTCCAGGTTGTTTAGCTTGGGCTGACATGGAACACTGGATCCACACGGAAGGGACCCTGATGGCTAGCCCAGGCCCCAGATACCCACTGCCAGGCTTTCCTCCTCAGCCTGTGCTTCATTCACCTGGTCCTGAGGGGTGATGGGGCAATATTCTCCGAGCCCCACAGTTGCCCCACTCAGGAACTGATAGGCAGAAGCTTCAGACTGCGTCCTCCTCCACCTCTGCCTATGCCGCAATACCCTCTGGTGGTCAGCATGCCCCAAGCCTCAGGGAGAACTGAGAATTGCCACTCCTGAGAACTGTGCCTGCACCCAGGGTACAAGCTCTAGCTAGGGCTACCCCCTCATCCCCGCTTCGGGGGAAATTAGCAAGCCACATTTCTAGATAAATGGAATCTGAAGTCTGTTCTAGGTGAGTTGCTTTGTGAGTGCCCAGCTCTAGCTTGCTGGGGGACTTAGACTTGGCTCCTTCTGCAGCTGGTCTGCTCCTCCCTTTCTGGTGCCTATAGAAAACCCGAGTATGTACTGGTCCTGCTCTATGGAGGCCAGTCCTTGATTCCAGCAAGGGGAAGGTTCAGGAGCTCATCAGGCCACAGAATTTCTCCTTCTTGCCTGTGGGCTCACAGTCAATGCCTCAGCTTCTGGGCTTGTATTATTTTCCTTTAGCTGCCACAACGAAGACCCACAAATTGGATGGTTCAAACAACAGAAATTATTCTCTCACAGTTCTGGAGGCTAGAAGTCTGAAATCAAGGTGTTGGCAGAGTTGTTTCCTTCTGGAGGTTGTGAGAGAGCATCTGTTCCTTGTTTCTCTCCTAGCTCCTGATGGTTTGCTGGCAATCACTGGCGTTTTCCAATCTCTGCCTCCATCTTCATATTGCCTTCTCTTCTCTTGTAAGGACACTTGTCATTGGATTTAGAGCTCATCATAAAACAGGACAATTTTGCCTTAAGATCCTTATTTCCATCTGCAAAGACACTTTTTCCAAATAAGGTCACGGGCTCTTGATGGTCATAACTTTTGGGAGCCACTATTCAAGCAACTACAGGGCTCATGCCAGGAGGACCTCAGGAGCACACGTCTATACCTGGACCCCTCCAGCCCTTCAGGACTCAAAGGAGATCCATGTATAGGGAGAGGCACATCTAGTGACTTTTCACAGATGCACAGAGCAACTGTCTTGCTCCTGCTGACACCAGAGGGACTTGGAAACTTGATGCAAGTGTGGGTGGATGTGCTACCAGGTTGGCCTTTAGCTGCCACAACAAATACCCCAAAATTGGATGACTTAAACAACAGAAACTTATTCTGTCACAGTTCTTGAGGCTAGAAGTAATGCCACGCACTTCATCCAGGACTACTCACCTCAGAGGTCTCTGCCACTGGGACCCACCTGGCCCCTCAGGCCAACAGTGTTGTGTTGGGGAAGGGTATATTTACATTCAAACCCTCACTGGGCCTCTCATTAACTAAAACAAGTTACTCAAATGCCCTGTGCCTCACCTATAAAATGGAGACTTCTACCAGAGCTTGTTATTATTATCTCAGTAGAACTATTTGTCCAGCCCCCAGTGATGGTACCTCAGAAAGCTCCAAGTTCCAGACCCAGGTGCCCTCTGAACTGGCCAAACTCCAGTTCATATAAGGAGACACTGAGGACAAATACTATGTTTGGCAGAATAATGCCCCCCCCACCCCCGGCACCCCCACAAGATGTCCATATCCTAATCCACAGACCTTGTGAATATGTGACCTTACCTGCCAAAAAGGACTTTGCACATATGATTAAGGTAAGGATGTTGATAGCAGAGATAATCCTGGATTATCCAGGAGCCCTAAATGTAATCCTAAATGTAATAATCCAGGAGCCCTAAATGTAATAATACCTAAAATGGTATCCTTATAAGAGAGAGGCGGCTGGGCGTGGTGGCTCACGCCTGTAATCCCAGCACTTTGGGAGGCTGAGGAGGGTGGATCATGAGGTCAGGAGATCGAGACCATCCTGGCTAACACGGTGAAACCCTGTCTCTACTAAAAAAATACAAAAAATTAGCCAGGCGTGGTGGTGGGCGCCTGTAGTCCCAGCTACTCGGGAGGCTGAGGCAGGAGAATGGTGTGAACCCAGGAGGCAGAGCTTGCAGTGAGCCAAGATTGCACCACTGCACTCCAGCCTGGGCGACAGAGCAAGACTCTGTCAAAAAAAAAAAAAAAAAAAAAAAAAGAGAGGCAAGAAGGTTAGAGTCAAAGAAGGAGATGTTGTGGGCTTTTTAATCCTATTGATTAAAAAATAAATGCATAAATAAATAAAGAAGAAGAAGATGTGACAATAGAGGCAGAATCAGAGAGCATAAGACAAGAGCAAAGAGGGATTTGAAGATGCTCTGCAAATAGCTTTCAAGATAGAGGAAGGGGCCTTGAGCCAAGGAATGCAGATGGCCTCCTCTAGAAACTGCAAACTGATTTTCTCCTGGAACCTCCAGAAGGAAACCAGTTCAGATTTGTAGCCTCTGGAACTGTATGAGAATGAATTTGTGTTGTTTTAAGCTACTATGTTTGTGACGATTTATTACAGCAGCCATAGGAAACTACTACATGTGCCCATTGTTGTCAGTACCAGGGTCTCACAAGCATGCCTATTTGGTTTCCCAGTATATGGGGACACTGCATGTCAAGAAACTGGTGCTGACTATCAGTCTTGCTTCACTTTCCCAGAGCCCTCAAATATTTCCAGTGGAAAGTTCACAATTCAGCCACCTCCTGCCATGCTTTCACCCATGTTTCAGATGCATACCACCCACTTACTAGGAGACATTTGTAGTCATTGTGGTCAGAAGGATGGCCATGACACCATGACCCATGGATGAGATCCCACAATTGACTTGGTGTACAGGTCCCATGTCCCTGCCTAGTGTGTGCATTCCCCTTCAGAGCCCCAGGCCCAGGCCCTGGCAATTCAAACATTCACCCCACACAAGACCCAGCCTCTTTTCACATTTTCCTGAAAGAAGGCACATGCATCCAAAGCATTACCAAGCAATGCTGGTTTCACCGAAGATTTCCCAGGGGAAGTGGAAGAGCCTTCATTCCACATGTCCTTGAGCATGCTACTTTATTGAAGTCCAGGCTCTTCTCTCCCAGCCTCTACATACAATGGCTATGCTATAGCCAGGTATGAAAGCCAATCTTCTAGAGGGCAAGAAGGAATTATAAATGAACAATGGATAATTTTGTCTTGCTACATATATACTAAGGTGTGGCATGGGCTCATCTAGAGTCTTCTTATTCCCACTGATCCTAGATTTCTCAGAAAAGCTCTGTAGGCTAGCAGTATTTATGACACAGAATGACCAGGAGCCCCCATCATCATCTCTGAGGGGTCAGCAAGTAGCAAGTGACCCCTCTGAGGGATCAGCCATCTGAATCAATTCAGCAAGAGGATATAATAATTCTAATTATACATGCAACACTGGAACATCCAGATACATAAAACAAATATTACCAGACCTAAAGAAAGTGATAGATAGCAATACAGTAATAGTGGGAGACTTCAACACCCCACTCACAGCATTACATAGAGAGAAAATAAACAAACACTAGACTTAAATTGGACTTTAGACCAAATGGACCTAACAGACATTTACAGAACACTTTACACAACAACTTCAGAATATACATTATTCTCATCAGCATATGGAACATCCTCGAAGATAGATCATATGTTAGTCCACAAAACAAGTCTTAAACTTTTAAAATTCCTAGTCTCTGATAAAACAGACTTTAAACCAACAAAGATCAAAAGAGACAAAGAAGGTCATTACATAATGGTAAAGGGGTCAATTCAACAAGAAGAGCTAACTATCCTAAATATATATGCACCCAATAAAGGAGTACCCAGATTCATAAAGCAAGTCCTAAGAGACCTACAAAGAGATTTAGACTCCCACACAATAATAATGGGAGACTTTAACACCCCACTGTCAATATTAGACAGAGCAATGAGACAGAAGGTGAACAAGGATATCCAGGACTTGAACTCAGCTCTGCAACAAGCGGACCTAATAGACATCTACAGAACTCTCCACCTCAAATCAACAGAATATACATTTTGCTCAGCACCACATCGCACTTATTCTAAAACTGACCACATAATTGGAAGTAAAGCACTCCTCAGCAAATGTAAAAGAACAGAAATCACAACAAACTGTCTCTCGGATCACAGTGCAATCAAATTAGATCTCAGGATTAAGAAACTCACTCAAAACTGCACAACTACATGGAAATTGAACAACCTGCTCCTAAATGACTACTGGGTAAATAACGAAATGAAGGCAGAAATAAAGATGTTCTTTGAAACCAGTGAAAACAAAGACACAGCATACCAGAATCTCTGGGACACATTTAAAGCAGTGTGTAGAGGGAAATTTATAGTACTAAATGCCCACAGGGGAAAGCAGGAAAGATCTAAAATAGACACCCTAACATCACAATTAAAAGAACTAGAGAAGCAAGAGCAAACATTCAAAAGCTAGCAGAAGTCAAGAAATAACTAAGATCAGAGCAGAACTGAAGGAGATAGAGACACAAAAAACCCTTCAAAAAAATCAATGAATCCAGGAGCTGGTTTTTTGAAAAGATCAACAAAATTGATAGACCTCTAGCAAGACTAATAAAGAAGAAAAGAGAGCAGAATCAAATAGACACAATAAAAATTATAAAGGGAATATCACCACCAATCCCACAGAAATACAAATTACCATCAGAAAATACTATAAACACCTCTGTGCAAATAAACTAGAAAATCTAGAAGAAATGGATAAATTCCTGGACACATACACCCTCCCAAGACTAAACCAGGAAGAAGCTGAATCCCTGAATAGACTAATAACAGGCTCTGAAGTTGAGGCAATAATTAATAGCCTACCAACCAAAAAAAGTCCAGGACCAGACAGATTCACAGCCGAATTCTACCAGGGTACAAAGAGGAGCTGGTACCATTTCTTCTGAAACTATTCCAATCAATAGAAAAAGAGGGAATCCTCCCTAACTCATTTTTTGAGGCCAGCATCATCCTGATACCAAAGCCTGGCAGAGACATAACAAAAAACAGAATTTTAGACCAATATTCCTTATGAACATCAATGCGAAAATCCTCAATAAAATACTGGCAAACCGAATCCAGCAGCACATCAAAAAGCTTATCCACCAAGATCAAGTGGGCTTCATCCCTTGGATGCAAGGCTGGTTCAACATATGCAAATCAATAAACATAATCCATCCCATAAACAGAACCAATGACAAAAACCACATGATTATCTCAATAAATGCAGAAAAGGCCTTCGACAAAATTCAACAGCCCTTCATGCTAAAAACTCTCAATACACTAGGTATTGATGGAAAGTATCTCAAAATAATAAGAGCTATTTATGACAAACCCACATCTAATATCATACTGAATGGGCAAAAGCTGGAAGCATTCCCTTTGAAAACCGGCACAAGACAAGGATGCCCTCTCTCACCACTCCTATTCAACATAGTGTTGGAAGTTCTGGCCAGGGCAATCAGGCAAGAGAAAGAAATAAAGGGTAATCAATTAGGAAAAGAGGAAGTAACACTGTTCCTGTTTGCAGGGGACATGACTGTATATTTAGAAAACCCCATCATCTTAGCCCAAAATCTCCTTAAGCTGATAAGCAACTTCAGCAAAGTCTCGGGATACAAAATCAATGTGCAAAAATCACAAGCTTTCCTACACACCAATAACAGACAAACACAGAGCCAAATCGTGAGTGAACTCCCATTCATAACTGCTACAAAGAGAATAAAATACCTAGGAATCCAACTCACAAGGGATGTGAAGGACCTCTTCAAGGAGAACTACAAACCACTGTTCAACGAAATAAAAGAGGACACAAACAAATGGAAAAACATTCCATGCTCATGGATAGGAAGAATCAATATTATGAAAATGGCCATAATGACCAAGGTAATTTATAGATTCAATGCCATCCCCATCAAGCTACCAATGACTTTCTTCTCAGAATTGGAAAAAAACTACATTAAAGTTCAGATGGAACCAAAAAAGAGCCCACATAGCCAAGACAATCCTAAACAAAAAGAACAAAGCTGGAGACATCATGCTACCTGACTTCAAACTATACTACAAGGCTACAGTAACCAAAACAGCATGGTACTGGTACCAAAACAGAGATATAGACAAATGGAACAGAACAGAGGCCTCAGAAATAACATCACACATCTACAACCATCTGATCTTTAAAAAACCTGACAAAAACAAGAAATGGGAAAAGGATTCCCTATTTCCCAGCTGGGAAAACTGGCTAGCCATATGTAGAAAGCTGAAACTGGATCCCTTCCTTACACCTTATACAAAAGTTAATTCAAGATGGATTAAAGACTTAAATGTTAGACCTTAAACCATAAAACCCTAGAAGAGAACCTAGGCAATACCATTCAGGACATAGGCACGGGCAAAGACTTCATGACTTAAGCACCAAAAACAATGGCAACAAAAGCCAAAATAGACAAATGGGATCTAATTAAACTAAAGAGCTTCTGCACAGCAAAAGAAACTACCATCAGAGTGAACAGGCAACCTACAGAATGGGAGAAAGTTTTTGCAATCTACCCATCTGACAAAGGACTAATATCCAGAATCTACAAAGAACTTAAACAAATTTACAAGAAAAACACAACCCCATCAAAAAGTGGGCAAATGATATGAACAGGCACTTCTCAAAAGAAGACATTTATGTAGCCAACAGACACATGAAAAAATGCTGGTCATCACTGGTCATCAGAGAAATGCAAATCAAAACCACAATGAGATACCATCTCACACCAGTTAGAATGGCGATCATTAAAAAGTCAGGAAACAACAAACGCTGGAGAGGATGTGGAGAAATAGGAATGGTTTTACACTGTTGGTGGGAGTGTAAATTAGTTCAACCATTGTAGAAGACAGTGTGGCGATCCCTCAACGATCTAGAACTAGAAATACCATTTGACCCAGCAATCCCATTACTGGGTATATGCTGAAAGGATTATAAATCATGCTACTATAAAGACACATGCACACAAATGTTTATTGTGGCACTACTCACAATAGCAAAGACTTGGAACCAACCCAAATGTCCATCAATGATAGACTGGATTAAGAAAATATGTCACATATATACCACGAAATACTATGCAGCCATAAAAAAGGATGAGTTCATGTCCTTTGCAGGGAGATGGATGAAGCTGGAAACCATCATTCTCAGCAAACTATCACAAGGACAGAAAACCAAACGCCACATGTTCTCACTCATAGGTGGGAATTGAACAATGAGAACACATGGACACAGGGCAGGGAACATCACACACCAGGGCCTGTTGTGGGATGGGGGGCTGGGGGAGGGATAGCATTAGGAGATATACCTAATGTAAATGACGAGTTGATGGGTGCAGCACACCAACATGGCACACGTATACCAATGTAACAAACCTGCATGTTGTGCACATGTACCCTAGAACTTACAGTACAATAATAAAAAAAAAATTTTAAATCAAAATCACATTGAGTATCTTTTCCACAGAGCAATAAAACTAAAAATCAATACCCAGAGAATTTCAGAAGCTATACAAATACATGGAAATTAAACAATATGCTCCTGAATGACCACTGGGTCAATGAAGAAATTAATACAGAAATTAAAATGTTTTTGAAATGAATGACAATGGAAACACAACATACCCAAGTCTGTGGGATACAACAAAAGCAATGTTAAGAGGGAAGGTCATAGCATTAGATGCCCACATCAAAAAAGTAGAAAAACTTCAAATAAACAACTTAATAATACATCTTAAATAACTAGGAAAGCAAGAGCAAACAAAATCCAAAATTCATAGACGAAATAATAAAGATCAAAGCGGAAATTAATGAAATTGAAACAAAAAATACAAAAGATCAACAAAATAAAAAGTTGGATTTTTGCAAAGCAGAATTACCATTCGACCCAGCAATCTTAATACTGGGTATATACCCAAAGGAATATGTCATTCTACCCTAAAGACACATGTATGCATATGTTCATTACTGTGCTATTTATAATAGCAAAGACATGGAATCAACCTAAATGCCCACAAAGGTCTAGAACCAGAAATACCATTTGACCCAGAAATCCCATTACTGGGTATATACCCAAATGACTATAAATCATTCTACTGTAAAGATTCATGAACACGTATGTTTATTAGAGCACTATTTACAATAGCAAAGACTTGGAACCAACCCAAATGTCCTTCAATGATAGACTGGATAAAGAAAATGTGGCACATATACACCATAGGATACTATGCAGCCATAAAAAAGAATGAGTTCATGTCCTTTGCAGGGACATGGATGAAGCTGGAAGCCACCATTCTCAGCAAACTAACACAGGAACAGAACACCAAACACCGCATGTTCTCACTTATAAGTGGGAGTTGAACAATGAGAACACATGGGCACAGGGAGGAGAATATCATATACCAGGGCCTGTTGGGGGTGGGGTGCAAGGGGTGGGAGAGCATTAGGGCAAATACCTAATGCATGCGGGGCTTAAAACCTGGATGACAGGTTGGTGAGTGCAGCAAACCACCATGGCACATGTATACCTATGTAACAAACCTGCACATTCTGCACATATATCCTAGAACTTAAAGTAAAATACAAATAAAAAAATAGTAGACTACATAGCCATATAAAGGAAGATCGTGTCCTTTGCAGGGACATGTATGAAGCTAGAAGCCATCATCCTCAGCAAACTTACACAGGAACAGAAAACCAAACACTGCCTGTTCTCACTCATAAGTGGGAGATGAACAATGGGAACACATGGACACAGGGAGGGGAACAACACACACTGGGGCCAATCTGGGGGTGGGGGGCGAGGGGAGGACAAATACCTGATGCATGCGGGGCTTAAAACCTAAATGATGGGTTGATAGGTGCAGCAAACCACCATGGAACACGTATACATATGTAACACACATGTACGTTCTGCACATGCATTCCAGAACTTAAAATAAAATAATAAAAAAATAGTATGCTGCATAAAGAAAATGTGGTACATATGCACCATGGAATACTACAAGCCATAAAAAGCAACAAGATTATGTCCTTTGCAGCAATATGGATGGAGCTGGAGGTCATTATCCTAAGCAAACTAACACAGGAACAGAAAACTACGTGCCACATATTCTCATAAGCGGGAGGTAAACATTGAGTACACATTGACACAAAGAAGGGGACAACATATACCAGGGCCTACTTGAGGGTGAAGGAAGGGAGGAGGATGAGGATCAAAAAGCTTCCTATTGTGTACTATGCTTATCACCTGGGTAATGAAATAATCTGTGCACCAAGCCTCCATGACAGGCAGTTTTTCTATATAACAAACTTGCCCACATATCCCTGATCCTAAAATAAAATTAAAAAAAAAAGAAAATGTGGTATATATAGATAATGGAGTACTAGTCAGCTGTAAAAAAGAATGGAGTCATGCCTTTTGCAGAAACATGGATGGAACTGGAGGCCATTATCTTAAGTGAAACAGCTCAGAAACAGAAAATCAAATGTCACTTGTTCTTACTTGTAAGTGGGAGCTAAATACGTGTACACATGGGTATAGAGGGTGGAATAATAGACACTGGAGACTCAGAAGAGTGGAAGGATGGGAGGAGAGTGAGACGTGAGAAATTACTTAGTGCGTACCATGGACACAATTTGGGTGATTGTTACACTAAAAGCCCAGACTTTACCGCTATGCAACATATCCATGTACCAAAACTGCACTTGTACCCCGTAAATCGATACAAATAAAAAAAAGTAAGGTGTATACATGAATGTGGAGTGTGGACATGCAGCATGTAATAATAGACAATGGAGATTAGAAAGGCTTAGAGGGTGGGAGGTGGATGATGTGAAATTACTTAATTGGTACAATGTATGTTATTCAGTAATGGATACACTAGAAGCCCTGACTTCACCCTACAGGATCTGTGCATGTATAGGTTTGTGCAAAAGTAATTGTGTTTTTTTTCCCAATAGTTTTCTTTATTTTTAAATAAAAAATAAATTGCACCCTATAAATTTATACAAAATAAAAAATAAAGAATACAGCCTTCAGTATGTGTCCTAGCCAGTTAGAATATAATGATAATCATGATACTGACAGATGCCTTACATAAAGCATTTACTATATGCCAGGCACTGTGCACAAAGACTCAGATAGATTGACACAGATTTAACACATGCTCTCCCATTAGATCTTCACAACAGCCCCATGAAGTAGCTTCTGCAAGTATCCCCGTTTTACAGAATGAGGGGACTGATGCACAGAAAGGCTGAATCACACAGACAGTAAGTGGCAGAGTTGGAATTTCAACCCAGGCAGTTGAGCTCCAGAGCCTCCACTCTTGGCCATCACATTTTACTGCTTTTCTAGCTGTGCCAGGTATCAACATGTTGCCTCTCAGCCCCAAATCCAACTTTTGCTGCCTGGTTGTGATCCTGGAACATTGTCTCCTGGCCAGCTGGCATGATCTTAAGCTTTGCCTGTATAGGGTATTGGAGGGACTCTGGAGGATGAAAGGGCTTCTGTTCATGGTTTTGGTGTGCTGTGCCTTTTCCTCTTTTTGGGGCACTTGGCTGATGTGTGGGACACCCAGTGAAGGTCATTCCTGCTGCTTTCAGCAGCAACCCTTCCCCTCCACCCCCATCTTATGTACCTTTCTAGAGGTGAGTAACAGCAGCATTCCCCTCCCCTGTGTATGGATTCCCTGTGCGTTCTGTGGGTGCCCCACCTGGTTTCTAGGCAAATTCAGCAGGTCCTGGTAAAAGGGCAGTTTCCTGGAGAGTTGTGAAGATGCCCTAGCTGGCTTTCCAGCATGTTCAACCCCTTCTCCTGGGCAGTTTCCCAGAGAATTTATTAGAAATTCAAGGGGATGCTTTCCTGCCTGCCATCTTCAGACCAGTAGGAGGCTTCCAGCCTAGTGGACTTCTCCATCATTTAGTTGGCTGAAACCATACCCTCTTCAATGACATCTAAATCCTAGCCCTGGGGAAGCACCTCCCACCCTTCCAAGTTTGTTCCTTCCTTGAATACTCTCCCTTAGTCCTAGGATATTCTTTGGAATCCTTTTTAAATTCCTTCTTAGTAGTTAATTTACTATACATAGTTAATAATTCTTTATAATAAACATTTCTTGTTTAAATTACTATGTGTTTTCTGTCTCTCTCCTGGTTGAACCCCAATCAATTCACTGGCTGAGCCCAAGGATGGACATCCTTCTCAACTGTAGTTGTCTTATGGTGAAAGAAACACTATTATATAGTAACTGTTTTAAAATTTCACAAATATGCAATAATAGTGATAATAAATACCAGTCATTGATCATCCATTACCTGCCAGCCCCTTTACATACTATACATTAGCTTCTTTAATTCTGACCACAGCATGGGTTAAATTCTAGTATTATCCTTACTTTGCAGAAGCCACACTGAAGTTGTTGGTGCTATGCAATACTTGGGTTTCCTTTCAGTGATTAGAGTATATGCCACCCTTTTTGATCTCTTGATATATTTAGTATCTGGATGTCATCCTGATTTATTCTTTTTTTTTTTTCATCCTAATTTCTTCTTTAACTTGGCTTTTGGACCCATGGTTCCTGAACTTCTGCATTGTCTGCATCAACTCCACCTGCTGACAAGCCAGAGAAATATATACAGGCATACTTTGGACATATTGCAGGTTCTGTTCCAGACCATCACAATAAAGCAAGTCACACAAAATTTTTGGTTTCCCAGTGCATATAAAATTTACGTTTATGCTATACCATAGTCTAAAGTGTCCAATAGTATTATGTCTAAAAATGTGCATACCTTAATTAAAAATACTTTAATGCTATAAAAATGCTAACAATCATCTGAGCCTTCAGTGAGTCATAATCTTTTTGCTGGTGGAGGGTCTTGCCTCAATGTTGATGGCTGCTGACTGATCAGGGTGATTGATGGTCACTGAAAGTTGGATGGCTGTGGCAATTTCTTAAAATAACACAACAATGAACTTTGCTGCATCAATGGACTCTTCCTTTCATGCAAGGTTTCTTTGTAGCATGCAATGCTGCTTGATAGCATTTTACCCACCACAGTAAAACTTTTTTCAAAATTGGAGTAAATCCTTTCAAATTCTGCTGCTGCTTTATCAACTAAGTTTATGTAATATTCTAAATCCTGTGTTGTCATTTCAACAATGTTCACAACATCTTTACCAGAAGTAGTTTCCATCTCAATAAACCATTCTTTGCTCATCCATTAGAAGCAATGCCTCATCCATTTAAGTTTTATCATGAGATTGCAGCAATTTGTTACCAAAACAGCAGGGGTTTGGTCTAGGTCCTGTTGCTGGCTGCAGAGAAAGCCAATCACTGAGTTGAGTATTGCCAGGGAAGAAGGATTTATTCAGGTGCTGCAGCTGAGGAGATGGGAGGTCAGTCTCAAATTCATCTCCTCAATTGACTAAAATTAGAGGTTTATATAGCAGGGAAAAAAATGTAACTACATATGGGAAAACAGGAAGAAGGGGTTAAGGAAGAAGAGTTGGTAAACAGGAATCATGATGGATGAGGGGTCTGGCATCTCATTGTTTGGATGTAGTGATGTGGTGAATTTATATTCTTTGAACTATCTGGGAGGCCTGAGGGTTGGTTTCCTGAGGAGGGAACTCAGATAAGACAAATGCAGATTTCAAGCTTTAAGACCAAGAGGGTCAATTTCAAATTTCTATGTTTATCCAAAAGACGGTAAACACCAGTTCTGTGAGACAATTGGCCGGTTTCAGTCCTCTATTTCTACTTATCAGTTCCTCAATCATGGGGAATCTGGTGGTTGATCTTTCTGACTGCTTTATGCTGAGGAAGGGCATTATATGATACTGATGAGGAA
Organism: Homo sapiens; assembly: GCF_000001405.40. Lineage (NCBI taxonomy): Eukaryota > Metazoa > Chordata > Mammalia > Primates > Hominidae > Homo > Homo sapiens. The sequence continues at coordinate 151,130,216 of NC_000023.11, forward strand.
TGAAAATGTTACCCCTGTAATTGGAAGTATTCATAAGTACCTGGTCAGCATCTGACTTGTTGGAACACCAGGACCTGGATACTTTAATGGTTTTAGAACAACATTTTAAGTCACATTGACTAGGATGATTAATAACATGGATAACCTAAATTTTAAAACACCAAAGGATATGGAGTGGATCCCTTGGGGAATCCAATAAAATAATCGCGAAAGCTACATGTTCCCTTTATGATTTTTTAACTAGGGTCTTTCACTGGACTTTAGATATTAAGGCCATCTGAGGGTTCACAAGACCATGACTGATTCCCTGGGAGAGATTCCAGAGGGACTGGTTTTACCCGAGTATAGTGAATCCACGACTTAGCACCAGCTAACTTGACAGATGAGTGAGTGATCAGCAGCACCTCCAAAGGGCTGACCCATTGTGGTTGCAGCTCATCTACAGCTTGGTGGGATTTCCAGGTCTTCAGCAGGACTTGGGATCTCCCAGTTTCAAAAAGTGGAGAGGTACATCTCTAGGGAACTGAAGCCTGTTGGAAGCAAACTTAGAGACTAGTTAATATATTTCCTAATTGTTTTATATATGACCTAGCTTCTGTGTCAGAGGAGGAAAAATACTAAAGTGTCAAGGAGTCTGGAGGTTAGAGAAATGGTCTTCCATACATTTTGGAGGCTCTAAAAGCCAATCCACTTTTAGGGGCTACCCACATCCTCAGCAGGGCAAGGGACAAGACCTTTTCCCAGTTAAGATTTATCTCTTGGCAACTGGGGTCCCCTTGGCCACAAGTGGGCCTACTCAGTCAATGGGGGGCTTAGGAATTTATTTTGTCCCATAGTGTTGCCAAGGTGGTGTGGCTACATGTTTTAGGTCCATCTCATCCCTCAGTGGGACCTCTATAGCCAAGGGACATAGAGTCAAAAGACTAACAGCCAATTAAACACTGTAGACCAGACAAGAATGGAGGGGGGCAGGCACTCATTAACACTTAAAACCCTTTAAGCAACATAATAGCCAAAAACTAAAAGCCAAAAAGTAAGGTTACAGAATTGCTTATGAATCAAAGGAATTTCCTTTGCCATTTAAGAATGGAAGCCCAGTTCCCTGCACCCCTGCCCGCCAAGCTGAGTTGTATGTTCAGCATCGGCCTAGAACAGTGAGATCTTTTGAAGGTTACATAAGGACACATACAACCACCACAAAAGAACATACATAACTAATTTTATTTGTCAAAATTGGCCCTTACAATCTCATGTGCCTGCCCCCCTTCTGCAATAGTTCCTGGGCCTAGATGGATTGGATAGTTTTAATTCCTGGCCCTGTGTCTCATGAAAGCAGTTCATTTTGATTGCTGCCTTCTCCTGGGTCTAAAGATGAGGCTTTGACTGGTGTCAATGTTCAAGATTTAGCAGGTATCGGCACCTTTTTCAGACCCAGGAGTCAAGACCCTGTAACTTAACAGCACAAGGATTAGTTAATAGGATGCTTATCAAAGAAATTAAAAGACTTGAAACGTTTTATTAAAACAGAATCACAGGTCATTGTAAAATAACAGTTATTCATTTAACCAAAAGTGATCATCAAAAGGCTTTAAAAGCAATATAGAAATAAAATTACAATAAAGGGGCACTCTACCCATAATATGCAGACAGACTACTTTGCTGTAAAATAAGTTTCTATCTACAATATAAATGATCGAGTATAATATATGCATTTATGCTAAAAACAGAAGCCAATGTTTAATGAAACATTTAAAGACATAAAAAAAGAACATTTAGAAATTAGTGCTTCAGTTTACTAATACTGCAGAAAGTCCTATTATTCTCTCTAACATGTCACAAATTAAAACACTGTGATTTGGTCTCCAGTAGTTACTGCCTGCAGCACTTCAAACCACTGCCCCAGAAATACACTGACTACAGAGGAGGAGACAGCCCCTGCAGGAGTTAAAGATGCCAAGGACAGAATAACTGTGCTAGAATGTGCTAATGCCACAGGCACACATAACTGTCAGCTTACTGTGGTAGGCAAAAGCTTGCATTTTTGTTGTTTTCAAGGAGTGAATTTCTTTTAAGTCCATTATTATGCTAACAATAAGGCATGGATCGCTAGCGATGCCTTTTCTGATTGGTTTCACAATTTGTACCAGCAGCTTGTGCTCACTTCAGGGAAGCTGGACTGGGTGACCATTGCAAGATTTAGTTATTCCTTGACAATTGTTTTGCTCGTTCCTCAGCTGAAATTCTCATTAAAAATAATGTTTATACCATGTATTTCCCCCAAATGTGACTCTATTAACTCAGCCATGTGACTGGGGTATCCTTAACTCACTGAAGAGTAAATATTTAAAAAAAAAACTTTATCGAACAGCATGCTAGTAGCAATGAAGAAAGGTATGGGTGTGGAAGGTTTTTAAAAGGAGTTGGGCATAAATGATACCATATATACTGTTACTAATGCTTGGAAAACAGTGACTAAGGACACAGCCGTGCATGCCTGGCACAACCTCTGGCCTGTGATTATGCTCAGTAATGATGAACAATCCAGTTTTTCATTCATTAACCAGTGGTGGAAGAGTCAACATGATCCTGAATAAAGGTGATATGATCATAGCAATGATGAAGATGACATTATTAACACTGCAGAAAAAGTGCCTTTAGATGATATGGTGAAAATGTATGATGGGCTTATTGGAGGACTAGAGCAGTATGCATTCATAACAAATAAGAAATAAGAAATCATGTCAGTTTATAAAATCAAGAAGAGAAAAACTGTTGTTAATGAGACAAATTACTCTGGAGGAAACACTTTAAAAAGTCATCTAGCAGAATGCCTCCTCATCCCTAAAGGGCCTACTTCCTGGTTTCTCCACTGCTTGTGGTATTTCTTCTCACCTAAAAAATAAAATACAGTGTACAGTACCCATTTTAATGGAAACACAGCATCATACGTGGAGATTGAAAATGTGGTATTGTATGTTGTTGCTGTTGTTGAACAGCTGACACAGGAATTCTGGTGGTGCTACTGTGCTGCTTAGTTACTTGAACACATTATGTTTTCACTGTATGAATGATATGTCATATTTTTTACTGTTAAGTACTTGTGTGTAAACAAGTGTAAGAAAGTGATTGCTTATTCGTAGCATATAAATTCAGAGTTAGGAATAATGGATGCCAAACAACCACAGATTATCCACATGGATGGCTGAGATAGTGACACCTTTGCTTTCTGATGGTTCTATATACACAAACCTTGTTTCATGCACAAGATTATTAAAAACATTATATTGGCCGGGCACAAGTGGCTCATGCCTGTAATCCCAGCACTTTGGGAGGCCAAGGTGGGTGGATCACTTGAGGTCAGGAGTTTGAGACCAGCCTGGCCAACATGGCAAAACCCCGTCTCTACTAAAAATACAAAAATTAGCCATGTGTGGTGGTTTATGTCTGTAATCCCAGCTACTTGGGAGGCTGAGGCAGCATCACTTGAACCTGGGAGGCAGAGGTTGTAGTGAGCCAAGATCATGCCACTGCACTCCATCCTGGGCAACAGAGTGAGACTCTGTCTCAAAAAAAAGTATAAAATTACCAAAAAATAAAGTGATTAGGTTACTCCTTGCACATATCTAATTGGTAGCATTTTAGTGATGGAACTGTGACCTAAAGCATCAGAAATGTTATAGGTCCTATGGCAAACATATCTAAGTAAGACAATTAACTTTTCTCTCCATCATTTAAAAAATGGTAAATGCAAATATCAGTTTTGGAATTCAGTGTGAGGATAAATAAGTTCCTTTCACTCAAATATTATCCAACAAAACAGGGACAGAGTAAGAACAGGTACAGAATAATTTCTTTTCAGCTATTTTAAAAGAGTATCATCACACATTTCCATGATTGGTTTCTAGATACAGTACTGACAACTGATTCAGTAACTTTCACCACTGGAATCTTCAAACCACTGCAACACTTGTACATATTTTGTTTTCAGGCACACATATGAGGGCCTGACAGTGATAAAAGTCTTGGGACCAAATATCACTAGAAAGCCTCACATTTTTATTATTACTGCTTAATCCAAGTGAATGTCATTTAATTTTAATAATGGTAAATGCAACTAAAGTAGTCTGAGAGAAATAGCAGTGAATGTAATTTCCTTAAGGACAAGGCCAATCTTTCATGAACATTAAAACTTTGTACACATATCACGATTTTTCCTCAATACCTGAAGGAAAAGATCTGAAACCAACCCAAATTATTAATTGAATTGAATTAACTTGGAGATAAACACCATTTAAACACTTTCAACTACATTTCCAAATAACAAACCAATGTACTATTTCTGTTCAGAACTTACAAAAATAAATCTTTTATTTGATTTTTTTTGCCAGGAACCTTAAAGCTCTTATACCTCTCTAGATCATGAGAGGTGAGCAAAATCAATCAAAGTTTAAGTGAACAGTGCGTTCTATCAATTTTTAGAGGCTTAATAAAGTAGCTTAGTAATTTCAGATAAATAGAGCAAATGATATATTTTTGGAAATGCACAGGAAACACAAGACTATTCATAGAACCAAATGAAAGTTCTCTATTAGAAACTAGACAGCATATATATATATATATATATATATATACACACACACACACACACACACATATATATACACATATACATACATATACATATGTATATCTTGTATGATAAATTTTTGTCCTAAGTAAAATGGTTACTTATTTTAAAAAGAAAAAAAATTACAACAAAATAGAATGTCTAAGCATGTAGGTATGTATATATACATACATATGTGTAGGTATGTATATATACATACATATGTGTAGGTATGTATATATACATACATATGTGTAGGTATGTATATATACATACATATGTGTAGGTATGTATATATACATACATATGTGTAGGTATGTATATATGTATATATAAGTAAAACCCAAAGGAGAACAAATAGCAAAATTAAAATGAAAAGCAAAAACAAACAAGAAAACAACCCCCAGGTTTTCTCCTACTCAGTTCACCTTAAAGGCTCCAGCATTACCCAGAGCCTAAAAAAAACACATGAGGGATATTTTGTTCCTGGTATACAAATTAATGTCTTTAAGTCCACCAATACCAGTATAGATTTTATGCAATTAAGAAATTCACTTTAGGCACATGACTAGTAAGTACTTAGTGTTAGTACTGTCTATGCAGCATAGCAAATACATTGTGAAGTAAAGGAATGCAAACATTTATGTGAAATTTGGCTCCATGTTAAATCTGGCTTCATGCTTAACTACATTGAAAAAGAATGGCCAAACTGCCAATGTATTTCTTTACAATATTTCCTATTTTACCTTAATCAAAATTAAGAGCTTTAACTATGAGCAATGTTAGCCAAATTTCTCCATTTTTTATTAGGTTTTAACAAATATTTTATTATCTAAACTTTTTAAACTTTCTATTTTCTTTGTATGTGCATGAAGATAGACACACAGAGAACCAGAAAAAAAAAAACACAACTGTATATGATTTACACAGACCATCCATGACATGCTTGGACATTCTATTTTGTCCTAATTTTTTTCTTTTTAAAATAACTAACCATTTTACTCAGGACAAAAATTTATTTTACAAGGTTCTTTCTCATATGAAATTATTCTTTCTTTATAAACTTCCTTATTAAAAATACATCTTCATATCCACAACTTTCTTCAAATCTCTCTCCCCTACTTATTGGTTTCTTTCTACCTTGTTTCATAAATAACCTTTTCAAGTCCATAATTTGAATAAACCTTCAGACAACTTCCGAATTAAACATAATTATTCTTTTTCTTAACAGGAACACATCTTCTTTAGCACATTTTATATACAGAATTATCTATTAACTATACTTCTTATTCTTAGTAACCATAAATTTTAGTGAAAACCAAGGAAGCAGAAAATCCTGAACTATCAAATGTTAGCATTTTCTAGATGAGAACCATTCCACACTTTAAAAAATTGTTTCCCCATGTCAGAATGCTTTCACAATTGAAAGTGACCCAGGCATCCAATGAGCATCCAAAATGATCTTAAGATTTTAAGTTACACAAAATGTTCACATACAGCATTTATCCCATTTACATTTCATTCGTTTTTAGCAGTTTATCTACATAACTTATGAGAACTGAGATATTAGACAAAGCTAGTCGTCATTTCATTTTTATAACCTGTGCATAGTAGGTGTGCACCTAAGTAAGAATCTTTAAGTTAAATACATGGGTATTTTTACCAATAATTCAGAAGATTCAGCTGTGAAACCAACAACATTAAATTGGTCTTATTTGTCAAAAGTCACACAAACAGAGATCATTTTGGTTTTGGCTAGATTTATAGTTTTATAACCTTTCGTGCCAAATCCTGACACCTCAAAGTATCTAGCATGGACAAATGTAAAATCCAGACAAAAATGTATGCTGACAATTTTAAAGACATTTCTATTTTTATTTTACCAATAATTTTAAAGCCAGCTTGTTTATTAAAGAAGATATATTCAAGTCATGTGAACTTGAAAAATGCTAGGACATATTTATTTAACTTATGTGCTCCTTTAATTTAAGCACTCTCAATTATAAGCCAATTTGGAAGACACAACATATAACCTAATAAATGTACATACAAATAAACACATCTAGACATGTATATACATGCACAAAGTTCCAATGGCTTTTACCTTGGAACTCTAGCCATAAGATAGCAATACAAGCTCACTAGTTTATGAACATTTTCACATTGCTAAATTTTGTTTGCCCTGGTAGGTAATCCAGTTATGGTTGTGAACCAAAATTTGGAGTAAAGCAGTTTCCATGGCATTTTGATTTTTAAAGGCCAAACGTCTTTAGACTCCAAAGAACTCCAGGGCCAAACAGTACCACAGAAGAACATCACGTATTAACCAGGCCTGATTCTGCTTAGAACAACAGCATAAAAGCCTGAATACATGAAATTCTATCCTGCTTTCTCATTCAACAACAAAATGAGACCCATGGAGAGGTGAAGCTGTTCCAGACTCCAAAGAATAGTGGGGCCAAACAGTATTATAAAAGATGATTTGTTTATCAAATTCTGATTTCCTGTGACTATACTGACACACACACACACACACACACACACACCATCACCAAAACACAATCCAACTGCTGTACCAACCAACAAGCCCCAAGAGGGCCCAAACTAAAACAGTAGGGGTGCTTCCTCTCTCAGTCAGTTGGGCTTGTTCAACCTGCACACAGAAATTCCTTCAGAGTTTCCCAAAATGAGAGGAGCAGATCCTGCTGTCTAGTATTAGTGCTGGCAGCTGCGGAGCCAGAGAGAAACTGAAAGTTACCTCCGGCTAAAAAAGGGATGGGCAGCTGCTTAGGAGGGCTTCTGAAACTCCTGGCCCACAGCAACTAAGCCATGAGCAATGCATTCCCAGTTAGGGAATCAAAGTCTGTTACTGAAATGCCAGGGGTTTGGACTAGGTCCTGCTGCTGGCCACACAGACAGCCAATCACCAGGATGATGAATTTTGCCAGGGAAGAAGGCTGTAGTCGGGTGCAGCAGCCAAGGAGATGGGAGATCAGTCTCAAATCCATCTGTCTGACTGACTAAAGTTAGGGGTTTATATAGCAGGAAGAAATGTAACTACATGCCAGAAAACAGGAATTACAGAGGGATAAAGAAGAGGAGTTGGTAAACAGGCATCATGATGGATGAGGGGTCTGGCATCCCATTGTTTGGATGTGGTGATCTGGTGAGTTTAAATTCCTTGAACTATCTGGGAGGCCCGAGGGTTGGTTTCCTCAGGAAGAAACTCAGATAAGACAAATGCAAGTTTCAGGCTTTAAGACCAAGAGGGTCAGTTTCAAGTTTCTATGTTTATCCAAAAAACAGTAAACATTAGTTCTATGTGCCAGTTGGGCCAGTTTCAAATTCAGTCACATCTTCAAGTTACACTTCTAATTCTATTTCTCTTGTTATTTTGATCACATGTGCAGTGATTTTCTCTGCTGAAGTCGTGAACTCCTCAAAGTCATCCATGAGGGCTGGAATCGACTTCTTCCATACTCCTGTTAATGTTGATATTTTGATCTGCTTGAATCATGAATGTTAATGGCAATTAGAAAGATGAATCCTTTCCAGAAGATTTTCAATTTACTTCTACCAGATACATCAGAGAAATCACTATCTATGGCAGCTATAGCCTTACAAAATGTATAAATAATGAGATTTGAAAGTCAAAATTACTCCTTGATCCATGGGTTGCAGAATGGATGTTGTGTTAGCAGGCACAAAAACAATATAAATCTCCTTGTATATCTCCATCAGTGTTCTTGGGTACTTAGTGCCTTGTCAATGAGTGGTAATATGTTGAAAAAAGGTGTTTTTTTTGGTTGCTTTTTTTTTTTTTTTTTTGCATTAGCCCCTAACAAGAAAGTCAGCATATCCTTTGAAGCTTTGAAGCCAGGCATTGACTTCTCCTTTCTAGCTATGGAAGTCCTAGATGGCATCTTTTTCCAATATAAAGCTGCTTCATCTACATTAAAAGTCTGTTGTTTGGTACATCCACCTTCATCAATAATCTTAGCTAGATCTTCTGTATAACTTGCTGCACCTTTTCCATCAGCACTTGCTGTTTCATGTTCTACTTTTATGTTATGCAGACAGCTTCCAACCTTAAACCTCATGAACCAACCTCTGCTATCTTTAAGCTTTTCTTCTGCAGCTTCCTCACCTCTCAGCTTTCATAGAATTGGAGAGAATTAGTGCCTTGCCCTGGATTAGGCTTTGGTTTAAGGGAATGTTATGGCTAGTGTGATCTACCCAGACCATGCAAGCTTTCTCCATACCAGCAATAAGGCTGTTTCACTTTCCTAGTATTGATGTGTTAACCAGACTAACACTTTTAATTTCCTTCAAGAACTTTTCCTTTGCATTATAACTTGGCTGTTTGGCACAAGAGGCCAAACAGTTAGCCAAGTTGTAAATGCAAAGGAAAATTATTTATAGCTTTTGACTTAAAGTGAGATACATGTGACTCTTCCTTTCACTTGAACACTTAGAGGTCACTGTAAGATTATTAACTGGCCTAATTTCAACATTATATTGTCTAAGAGAATAGGGAGGCCTTAGGAGAGGGAAATAGATGGGGAACAGCTGGTCAGTGGAGCTGTTGGAACACACACAACATTTATCGATTAAGTTCACCTTCTTATATGGGTGCAGTTCCTGGCACCCCAAAGCAATTATAATAGTAAGATTTAAAAAATCACTGATCACAGATCAGCATAACAGATATAAGAATAATGAAAAAGTTTGAAATGTTGTGAGAATTTCCGAAATGTGACACAGAGACATGAAGTGAGCACATTCTGTTGGAAAAATGGCGCCAATAGACTTTCTCCACACAGGGTTGCACAAACCTTCCATTTGTGAAAAAACACGTTATATGTGAAGTACAAATAAAACAAAGTATGCTTGTACTTGAAAGCCTGGAGGTGGAAATCCTAGGTGGCCTTCTGTCTATCCATGGCATCCTCACAGGTAGCTGTCCCTGCCTGGGAGGTCATGGTTGGACCAGGCACACATTGCCTTGCCCAGGTCTTTGACCCAACTGCCATTTTGTATCCTGTACTGGGGAGGATGCTATTTAAGTCCCTTCTCACCTACCTGATCACCTCCTGTAGACTATTGTTAGTCACTTTCAGTCTTTTATGCTTTTCAATCACTCCACCAACAAATATTCATTAACTTCCTACTATGTGCCAGGTGCTGGCTGAAGTTAACAATAGCGAAATAGATATTTTTCATCTGGAGAATTGTCCAGTATCTGAATCTCTTGCCATGTTTGAAGAATTCCTTGTCTCATGACTCCTAGTATAGGAGGCAGAGCCCATTTCCCAGTATAGAAGATAAAAATGTCACATATCCAAGTATTCTTTGCAGCTATGATGTGGGACATAACCTAGGCTCAGCCAATGATGCACCTTTCTGGGTCTTTGAATTTGACATTTAGAGATCTAAAGAATAAGGGCAGCAGAGAATTATTCTCTCTCTGGTGGTCGTGGTTGCAGCAAGACCATGTTTTTAGGGACAGCACTATCAGGAATGTTAGTGGCAGTGTCCAGTGTCTATTGCCTACGGTTTGAGATTACAGCTACAGCATCTAGTACATGGTGGTGACAGCAGAAGGGTTATCATCAGGTCACCTTTGTGGTGTGACTTGATTAATTGTTTCTGGCCACATAACTTAAATCTAGTTTTTGGATGCACCCAGTGACTTAATGCTTTACCAAATATTCTTGTTTTAAATTACTTTTCTGCTTTATTAAACAAGAGCCACTTTCTTTCTTTTTTTTAATTATTATACTTTAAGTTCTAGGGTACATGTGCACAACGTGCAGATTTGATACATAGGTATACATGTGCCATGTTGGCTTGCTGCATCCATCAACTCATCATTTACATAAGGTATTCCTCCTAATGTTATCCCTCCCCCAGCCCCCACCCCCCAACAGGCCCCAGTGTGTGATGTTCCCTGCCTTGTGTCCAAGTGATCTCATTGTTCAATTCCCACCTATGTGTGAGAACATGCAGTGTTCGGTTTTCTGTCCTTGTAATAGTTTGCTAAGAATGATGGTTTCCAGCTTCATCCATTTCCTTGCAAAGGACATGAACTCATCCTTTTTTATGGCTGCATAGTATTCGGTGGTGTATATGTGCCACATTTTCTTAATCTAGTCTATCATTGATGGACATTTGGGTTGGTTCCAAGTATTTGCTATTGTGAATAGTGCTGCAATAAATATACGTGTGCATGTGTCTTTATAGTAGCATAATTTATAATTCTTTGGGTATATATCCAGTAATGGGATTGCTGGGTCAAATGGTAGGTCTAGTTCTAAATACTTGAGGGATCACCACACTGTCTTCCACAATGGTTGAACTAATTTACACTCCCATCAAGTGTAAAAGCGTTCCTATTTCTCCACATCCTCTCCAGCATCTGTTGTTTCCTGACTTTTTAATGATCGCCATTCTAACTGGCATGAGATGGTATCTCATTGTGGTTTTGATTTGTATTTCTCTGATGACCAGTGATGATGAGTATTTTTTCATATGTCTGTTGGCCTCATAGATGTCTTCTTTTGAGAAGTGTCTGTTCATATCCTTTGCCCACTTTTTGACGGGGTTGTTTGTTTTTTTTCTTGTAAATTTGTATGAGTTCTTTGTAGATTCTGGATATTAGCCCTTTGTCAGATGGGTATATTGCAAAAATTTTCTCCGATTCTGTAGGTTGCCTGTTCACTCTGATGGTAGTTTCTTTTGCCATGCAGAAGCTCTTTAGTTTAATTACATCCCATTTGTCTATTTTGGCTTTTGTTGCCATTGCTTTTGGTGTTTTAGTCATGAAGATCTTGCCCATGCCTATGTCCTGAATGGTATTGCCTAGGTTTTCTTCTAGGGTTTTTTTTTTTTTTTTTTTTTGAGACGGAGTCTTGCTCTGTTGCCCAGACTGGAGTGCAGTGGCGCAATCTCAGCTCACTGCAAGCTCTGCCTCCTGGGTTCACGCCATTCTCCTGCCTCAGCCTCCTGAGTAGCTGGGACTACAGGCACCCACCACCATGCCCAGCTAATTTTTTGTATTTTTAGTAGAGATGGGGTTTCACCGTGTTAGCCAGGATGGTCTTGATCTCATGACCTCATGATCTGCCTGCTTCGGCCTCCCAAAGTGCTTGGATTACAGGCATGAGCCACCACGCCCAGCTGGTTTTCTTCTATGGTTTTTATGGTTTTAGGTCTAACATTTAAGTCTTTAATCCATCTTGAATTAATTTTTGTATAAGGTGTAAGGAGGGGATTCAGTTTCAGCTTTCTACATATGGCTAGCCAGTTTTCCCAGCACCATTTATTAAATAGGCAATCCTTTCCCCATTTCTTGATTTTGTCAGCTTTGTTAAAGATCAGATGGTTGTAGATGTGTGATGTTATTTCTGAGGCCTCTGTTCTGTTCCATTGGTCTATATCTCTGTTTTGGT